>NC_000001.11:65008380-65311410 GCF_000001405.40 Homo sapiens | reverse complement strand
TCTACTAAAAGTACAAAAATTAGCCGGGCATGGTGACAGGTGCCTGTAATCCCAGCTACTCAGGAGGCTGAGGCAGGAGAATCGCTTGAACCCGGGAAACGGAGTTTGCAGTCCGCCGAGTTCGCATCCCTGCACTCCAGCCCGGGCAACAGAGTGAGACTCCGCCTCAAAAAAAAAAAAAAAAAAAAAAAAAAACAGTCCTGAAACCATCAATCCCTTGGGGATCATTTTAGTTTTATTTAAAATGGTCTAAGAGAATGTCCCATCAATATCTTGGTTAACTTCAATAAGAGCTTCAATGAGTAGAATTTGTTTTCAGCCCAGGACATTTGAGCATCTGTGGACAATATTTCATCCCACTTTGGGACAAGGAAAATAGAAAATAATAGCCCAAGGACAGCCATTACACAATTAAAATAAACAAGCATTTGTTTGCAAAGCAGGGCATTTAAATTCAGTTTGATTTCATTACTGTTCAAACGACCCCATATGAATCTTTCCTCTGGAATCCTCAGTTGTCCAGTATTAAAGTTACCAGTGTAGAACCAACCACTGAGGACTTCAATTATAAATATCTCTGTAAACAATTCTCCGAACCTGGTTCCCTGCAGAAGTAAGCAAATAGCTATAATAATACTCCTAGTCCAACATGGATATATTAAATGACTGTTTTGCTATTGAAATCGCAAATGCCAACAGCAGTTCCAAGAGAGGACTCTAACTTGCCAAACCTTTTATAAAAGACAGTTGCAAGCCCCGATACAAAGTTTAGAGGAATTTCCTTGTCCCTACATGTAAAGGTTTATGAAATCTGTACACTCAAGCAAAAGGACAAACAAGATCAAAGCCAACACATGAAATAAATTTCATTGTGCAAACAGTAAAAGCTGTGTAAAAGAGCTCTAGATCCCAGGTTAAAAACTGCAGGAGAAAGGTAACATTAACCCTAGCAGACGGCTGAGTTAAGATGTGGCAGAGCTTTACAGAATTGCAAATAGCATCAGCATTGCAAGAATAACAATTGGAATAAATACCGTCTGCATGCTGCAAAAACAATCAACGCACATGCTCCTTCACCTCTCCCCCTCATCCAGCTGGGCAGTGAAAGCAGCTGCCTCTCCCAGCCCTCCTCCCAAGCCGTTCTTCGCCCCACCCGCTCCCCTCTCTTCTCCACCCCTCCCCTCCTCCTTCCCTCCCCCTCCCCGCCCCCAGCTGCCGTATTCAGCAGTCTAGAGAGATTAGGAGGAGCTCGCTACAGTCTCTGGGCCTCAGGACTGATCTAACGTTTCGTAGCTCCCTGGATGAGAGAAATTAGAGACTCGACACCCAGGTGGTATTAGAAGCCTTCGCCTCCAGCCCGGCTCTCTCGCAAACCGGGGCTGGGGGACCACGGGGGGGCCTCGGGCCGGGCGACTGGGAGGCTCCGGAGGCCGCGCGGGGCTCAGCGCTGCACTCCCCTCGGGCAGCGCTACCTGAGCTGTCCATGGTGCTGGCGCGGTCCGGAGGCTGTCGGGCGGGACTCCGCGCCGCTGCCCCGGCGTTCACTCTCTGCTTGCCGCCAACCCCGCCGCTTCCCGCACTTAAGTCCCCGTTACTGTCCACCAGCTGCAAAGATTCATAACCATCGTTGCTGGTCTTTTTCCGGTAGCTCCCGAGGAGGCTCATGGGCAAGCCCGGAGAAAAGAGAAAATAATCAACCTGGGAAGCGAAAAGGGAGATGGAAGGTGGAAAGGGCTGAAGAAGGAATTAAAAAAAAAAAAAAATTAAGTGCCCGACATGACGCAAAGAGGAGGGAAAAGAAGGAGCGGCCACCGGAGAGAAGCTTCGCCGGGCGAGGCGAAGCCGCCGCCCTGGGCTGAGCTCGGCTCGGGGCGCCGGGAGGAGGGAGGGAGGGAAGGAGACGCGGCCGGGCGGGGGCGCGCGTCCTCTGGGCCAACGCCGCGGAGCCGCCCGGCCCTGCCGAGCTCCGGGCCCCAGGCCAGCACCTCCTGGCTGAGGAGTGCCCGGAAGCAATCCTATAGGTGTCGCCGCGTCGCCCCGCCGCGCAGCAGGGCAGCGCCAAAGCCGCTGGCCCGCGGGGAGGGAAGGAAAGGGAGGTAGGAAGGGAGGGGAGGTTCGTGAGGAGGGGGGTTGAAGGGAAACGGGGCGGGGTGGTCGGGGGAGGGGACTACTACGACGTGGGTTGGGAGGGTGTGTTCGCACGCGTGTGACAGAGAAGAAAGGGGCGAGGTATCTCGGCCTGCGAAGCTTTGAGGACCAGGGGTCTTGTGGTAAAATCCAGACACACCCATTTCATGCAACTTAGCCTATTTTCACCGGAAGATTCCGCCAAAGCCACCAGGACGGTAACCGTCCTAGAGAACTGACTTGTAACTCAATTCAACAGAAAAAGAATGCATGTTAAGTGCCAGAATATATCTATGCTAGGATATAAAGGAAGAGCAATATTTTGCACATTCTCCAGAATAGGGATGATCCCTAAGGGAGATATCAAAGAGTTGGGTATTCTAATACTAGGAGGCAGCGTCCGTTCTGCCTAGAGAGCAGATGTGACTGTTTAGAACTCTTTGTTGAGCGAATAAACTGGGGAGAAGGGCAAGGTTAAGTCCGACGCATTTTCAGATCCGCCACCATTTACCTTAGGACCTGGAGAAAAGACTGTTTCAGTTAGCTAGCTTGAAGGCCTGCTTGGGAAGCAAGATAGACAAGGATTTTTTTTCCCCATCCTCTAGCCTCACGCCTTATTTTTCTTTCACAATTCTGGCCAAAGAAAGCAGTAACTCATAATCAGAAGAGAATTTATCATGAAGTTAATTAAGCTGTGTACCTAATTTTGTATCTGTCATCGTGTATTCTTAAAAGAAGACTCCGACATTGTATAAGTTCTGGATCTGAACAAAACCTGGATAAACTCTGGTAAGTCTTAAAATGTAATTATCGAATGTTTATTTTCACCTAAAATAATAAGATTTCAGAAGGATTGCTCATTCTCATCATCTTAGGTCAAGATCAAGTAAGTCTTGGTTAAAAATTATCATTTTCTCTACTAAAACTTGGAGGGACTAAGTGAGGCGCCCGTCAAGAGTCATTTGACAGAGTTTCCTCACCAAAACAGGAAAAAAGTACGTGCATGTAAAATGTACTTGAGCCCATACACAAAGCCAGCTTTGCTTTCTTCTCATCTTACATGGTTTTCTCTTGCTGTCCTTATATCAATCACCTAAGGACACAAAATCAAACAATAGCATCTAAGAGACTTCAGTCCAGATGATTTGGGTCTCAGAAAGTTTCCGGGAAGCTCTAGCTCTACACAGTTCTACATAAAATAAATTGGACTAAGAGACATTTTCCTGTACAAGGATCACCCAAACACAGATTCTTGTAGGAAGAGCATCAACCAGAAGAAGTCCAAAGAAATGTTTTCTAAATCCTTCCAGTCCTTCTGGGGAAACCTAAACTTCCTGGCCAGTTGCTTTCCCAACTGCATTCTTTGATGAGGTATGGTGTGACCTGAATTGCAAATCAGAGTTAATGCTCATTTATAACAAGATCAAACAATCTGAATGGTGGCAGGAAAAACTGCAATAAAAATTTTAAAACAAATTTTTATACTTTCAATTTTCCAAATCTGTCAGATTGAATTATTTTAGTTACTTGACTAAAGTAATAATTCTGTGAAGTCTAGTAAATCTTTTCCCATAACATCTTAAATAATCTTTCTCTGTACTTTTTCTTTTAATTCATTACAGACACACAGGGACAGTAAATACCTAGTGTTCATCATGTGCCCTGACAAATGCTGGACTATAATCATTGGATTAATAGAATTTAGAACCAGCCTCAGTGACAGACTGAGACCCTGTCTCAAAAAATAAATAAATAAATACAGGATCATTTTTGAAAAGTGAAAATTATTATTTTCAAAAAGAGCACTTTCAGTTATTTTTGCTCAACTTGCAGACATATTGCTGAAAGAAATTATAGATGAGACATATGCCTTTGTATTTTTCAATATCTATCTCTGGAGTTTGCAAGTGTAAAGAAAAATCTGAATGGGCTATAAGAATTTTATCTTTATACTTAATATAAATAAAGTCAATCAGGATAACTATTAATAATCCTATAAAATTGAAGATATAAGAAGCATATTAAGGCAGGAAAATACAATAACTAGGTTAATTTACAACAGCCTAAAAACTAGGGCTTGGGCCTAAATTTGGATATGCACCAATTTCAACATTAAAATTTTCTTTACTGTGCTAAAGATCAAATTCATATACTTATCAATGAATATCTCACTGTTCTACTCTATAAAACAAGCATAATATGAGTACCATCATTATATAGAAGAATTAGATTAGTACCTAACATATATATATATATATATATATAGAGAGAGAGAGAGAGAGAGAGAGAGAGAGAGAGAGAGAGAGAGAGAAACAGATTGAGAGAGAGAGTAGTACTTAACAATTGTTCTCTATTACCATTATTGGTCTGTCTTGGGTGCAGCTTTAAGCTCAGCGCCTGGCAGTCTTAGTTTTTCAAATGGGAAAAGCTCAATAAAGGCTAAATATTATTTTTTCCAGGGATATCCTAATGGAAAATTGTCTTTGTAACTTTGAATGAGAATTTGGGCTTAAGGGAGGTGGCACTGGTCAAACACAAGGTGAACATTTACAGCCTAACTCTTGGTTTTCCAAACTCAAGACTACTTCATAACTTATCTCAAAAATACTACATCATACATGAGACAACGGCAAAGGATAAGATGCCCTCTTCTGGGGACAGCAATCATTCCCTTTGTCTTTTCTCTTGCTGCCTTCAGGTGCTTTATTAACTTGATGAAGATTAGTGACACTGAGGAATACTGAGGAACCAGGCTCTATTCCACCCCATCCCCTTCATACACACCTCATTCCAAATGCTATCCTGTCACAGCAGATGCCACATCACTTTTGGGGTGGGCTAAGAGATCAAGGTATGTATGCCATGACCTATGTAGGATTTTGATCTGTGATTTTCATTTCCAGAGAATATAATACATTGATTAAAATTGAAGTTGCCAGCCAGGTGTGGTGGCTCACACCTGTGGTCCTGGCACTTTGGGAGGCTGAGGTGGGCGGATCACGAGGTCAGGAGATTGAGACCATCCTGGCTAACACGGTGAAACCCTGTATCTACTAAAAATCCAAAAAAATAACCAGGCGTGGTGGCAGGCACCTGTAGTCCCAGCTACTCAGGAGGCTGAGGCAGGAGAATCGCTTGAACCCAGGAGGTGGAGCTTGCAGTGAGCCAACAAAGCGAGACTCTGTCTCAAAAAAAAAAAAAAAAAAATTGAAGTTGCCTATGATTGATTCTTAGTTCCAATGACTCCTGGCTCTATGACTTTGGGCAAGTTACTTAACCTCTCTGCCTCATTTTTCTCCTCTGTAAAGTGAGGATTATAGTAATGCCATCATAATAAGGTTATAGTAAGAAGTAAATTAGTTCCTAACATATAATAAGTGCTTAACATATGCTATCTATTATTACTATCATTCCACTTCTTTTTAAAATGTCACTTTTTCAAAAATGCAACTTCCCATCTGTAAAATTAAGTTTAAATCTGCCCAGCTTACCTAAGAGATTTGTTATCATTATGACTATGATAACATAAAAGCAGTTTGTCAAATGTGAACTGATTGTTTTGCCCTGAGTTTTTAAATATTCACGTGTATGTATTTCCTATTGGATTTGGACTCTTTGAGGGCAAAAATCCATGTTTTGTTCATGTTTGTGTCCCCCATGACACTCCAAAGAGCACCTCGCTCTCATTAGATATTGAGTAAATATCTACTGAATTAATGAATAAACAAAAATGTCATGGCATTACCTAGTCCAGTGATTTAAACTATATGCTGTAGCCGATGAGTAAATTATAAAGTATTTTCATAAAAATGAAATAGGTTGGAAAACATCAGAGTTTGGAACGCAGTAAGATATTGTTTCTTAAAATATTGTTTTGGGTTTGTGTGATATGTATGAGTGTGTGTATGTTTCTGCTCAGTAATGATATAAATGTATTTCTCACTGTGTGTCCTGATTATAAATGTTTTTGAATGTCTATGTTATGGGACAATCTCTGGTACTAAGAGGTCCTAGTGTTCCCAATTATGAATGTCCTATACACTGTGACATCTGAATTCATTTGGCTAATTGGACCACAAAGAGTTTTGGCTAAGCAGACAGTAAATGAAGCCAGAGCTTCTACTCTGTTCTCTCTGTTACAAAATATATTATGATCAGGTTTCTAAAATGCGTCTCTTCAATTTTCTGTTTTAACAAACATAAATCAATGCACAGTATTGAAACTTACTTTGGCAATGTGCCTGAGGGCCATAATCCAGATTATCTCCTTATTGAATAAGGCCTATAGATATACATAGTGCAAGGCACTTCAACTGGGGAACATCAAGCCATCTCTGACTCCCAGATGTGTTTTGTCGGTCCTGTACTTCTTAAAATGAAAAACATTTTAGTTTAGATGCCTTTACAGAGGGTATATAGGCTCCAGTCTGAGGACCATAGTTCACTACTACTTCCCAATGTAGAATACTCAGCCTCCTCCACTCATTCCTATTACCAGTTAGCCCTTGCAGGCATTTGAGTTTGAGACCTGCAGTGTAGTGGCAAAACCTTAAGGAGAAATACCCCCAAGAGAGATGCCAAAAGACACATCTTTAGGCCACAGTCCAGAAGAAAGCAAAATAGACCGAGAATCCTCTCCTGACTCTGCTCTTAATCAGCAGGGTGGCCTTGATCCATTCTCCTTCTCTCAGCAGTAAAATCGAAGATGTGGAATTACATGATTCTCTTCAGTTCTCAAAACTTTAGTTGTCACTTCCCTCTCTCCTCCAAATGATGTCCATAGGGGAAAACCATAGTCATTTAAGTGCTACAGTTTGCTGTGTCCCAGTTAATCAAGGTTTTGCTATAGAAATGCATGCATAAATAGTAGCAGCTGTCAAGAGCGACATATAAAGCAACACACAAGATAGAAGAGGAGGTCTGCTGGAAAAAATCGGGTGAGCTGATGGATGACATTTAACAGAAGAAAATCTGAACTATTCCTATAATGTTTCTTAGGAGTGGGGATATCTGTTCTTGGTGTTTGATGGGGTTCTGGGTCTTCCAGAAAATAGGACAAATTTCCCAGGTAGGGCTTTTTTTTTTTCTTTAAGATAACCCAATATCATGAAACCTGTGTTTCCTTGATGCTCTAATAGTAACAAAATAACTGCCATTGATTATTTATCATTTGCCAGGTGCCTTACCTACCTTAAATCTAAAGATTTTATTCTTATTTTGAGGCAGACTTGGAGAGGTTAAGTAACTGGCCCAGGGTTACACAACAATCAGTTAGGATTCAAACCTCCATCTTTCTGATCATGCTTTGGCCACTGAGGCAGCCTAAAGAGGCAATTCCACTGATCAAAGTGAAAGCTGAAGGACATTTAGGTCATTCCTTAGATCTGACCTGCCTTACTAAGTGTGGTCAGTGGAAAATGGTTTGGGCAACTTATGGAAATTGCACTTTGGGAGGCTGAGGCAGGCAGATCACCTGAGGTCGGGAGTTCGAGACCAGCCTGGCCAACATGGTGAAACCCCGTCTCTACTAAAAAACAAACAAACAAACAAACAAAAAATTAGCTGGGCATGGTGCCACGTGCCTGTAGCTCCAGCTACTCAGGAGGCTGAGGCAAGAGAATCACTTGAACCTGGGAGGCAGAGGTTGCAGTGAGCCGAGATCATGCCACTGCACTCCAGCCTGGGTGACAGAGGGAGACTCCGTCTCAAAAAAAAAAAAGAAGAGAGAATCAAATGAGGCGCATGGAAGCACATAATAAACACTAAAGCCCTAAATACTGCATGTTATCAAATCTAAGAAACCATCCATTTTAAGTCACAACATAAGAAAAATATGCTACTAAAGAAAGTATGACATACTATCAATCTTAAGATACCCCAAGATTTCTTAAATGTTAATATGTTAAAAAACTTTTATAACCGATGTAACAAATGTTATTATTTGACCGTATATTAGTCTGAGAATATATTTGTCAATTTATTATTCACGTATTTTGAGCAACTCTGGCAGGTGAAGACAACACCCATCATGTTTTATGAGGTCTAGCACAGTGCCTGCCAAGTAATAGGTGTTCAGTAAGTATCTGCTAATTGAATGAAAATACCAAAAAACTTTATTTTGGAAGCCATCTTTAGTTTACAGAAAAAATCGCTCTGGTTTCTTTAATGAGCTCACTTAAAAAACACATTTCCATTTGCTAACATTTAACTTATCCTTGACTTTTCAAGGACATGCTCATAGTATAACAACGTTTGCCTTAGTTCATTTTGTGCTGCTATAATAGAATACAGGAGACTGGGTAATTCACAAAGAGCAGAGATTTATTTCTTACAGTTTCTGGGGCCAGAAAGTCCAAGATCAAGGAGCCTACATCTGGTGAGGGCCTTCGTGCTGCATCATCCCATGATAGAAGGCAGGAAGGCAAGAGAGGATAAGAAAGGAAGAGACAGGCCGGGCGCGGTGGCTCACGCCTGTAATCCCAGCACTTTGGGAGGCCGAGGCGGGTGGATCATGAGGTCAGGAGATCGAGACCATCCTGGCTAACAAGGTGAAACCCCGTCTCTACTAAAAATACAAAAAATTAGCCGGGCGCGGTGGCGGGCGCCTGTAGTCCCAGCTACTCGGGAGGCTGAGGCAGGAGAATGGCGTGAACCCGGGAAGCGGAGCTTGCAGTGAGCCGAGATTGCGCCACTGCAGTCCGCAGTCCGGCCTGGGCGACAGAGCGAGACTCCGTCTCAAAAAAAAAAAAAAAAAAAAAAAGAAAGGAAGAGACAGCAAGGGGGTTAAGGGGGAGGCAAACTCCCTTTAATCAAGAGTGCACTCCCATAGTAATGGCATTAATCCATTCATGAGGGTGGACCCCTTATGGCCTAATCACCTGTTAATGGTACCACCTATTACTGTCAGAATGGCAATTAAATTTCAACATGAGTTGTGGAGGGGATATTCAAACCACAGCAATGTTATACTGTAACATATATATTATATATATTATATATTATATTATATAATATATAATATATATAATATTATATATTAATATATCAATATAATAGTATATTATATTGATATAATATATTAATGTATATATTAACATAATATATAAATGTATAATATAATATATAATAAATATATATAATACGTATTATATATATTTTTTATATATATATATATATTATATATTATATATATAATATATATAATACGTATTATATATAAAATCCACAGTTCCTGTATAACTCCCATAGCCCTCGACATAGTAAACAAAACCTCTTTCTCTTTCTCTCCCTCTCTCTCTCTCTCTCTCTGATGTTCTACCTCCCTACTTTCACCTGTCCAAGGCAGGACTCTTATCTGATTGTGGGTCATAAGACCCTCATCCCAGAGGGTGTCCTGCCCCATCCCTGGGGGAAGAAATGCTGCACAGAGAAGACAAACAGAGTCTAAACAGGCCTTATTGGGTTTAGATCATATACTTTTTGTCCATGAATCACATTTTAACACAGTTGTCCATGCTTCAATCATGCCTACCCAATGAAGTCTTCATACAAGGCCCAAGAGGACAGGGTTTGGGGACCTTCCAGATAGCTAAGTGGAGGTTCCTGGAGGATGGTGCACCCAGAGAGGGCATGGCAGCTTGGCATCCCTTTCCTTGTATCTTTGTAATATCCTTTATTATAACCCAATAAACGTGTTTCCCTGAGTTCTGTGAGCCGCTCCAGCAAATTAATCAACCCAAAGAGGGGATCATGGGAACCCAAACTTGAATCTGGTCGATCAGAAGTTTTAGAGGCCCAGACTTGCAACTGGTGTCTGAAAGTGGAGGTGGTAGGTTGGGGGAGCAGTTTTGGGGACTGTGTCAGTGGTATCTGACACTTATCTCCTGGTAGATAGTTTCAGAATTGGAGGACACGCAGCTGGTGTCCACTGCAGAATTGATTGTTTGTTTGTGGGGGGGGAAGTGCCCATTTGATCACAGAAGCCTTTAATTTGTGTTGATTTTTGTTGTGAGAAAATAAGAAAAGGCACTTTGAGTGTGTTTTTCCACACACAGATACACCTACATTACCATTTCAAGAGCAACTCATGGAAGCATCAGTCCTTTTCATCTGTCATTTTACAAGTAGGAAAACTTCAGCTTCTCAAGTGGGCTGGTTCTGTGATCGACTTCTCTCAGTCTTGAAGAAAACACTGGAAATTTTTATGTGGTAAATAGTTTCCCAAAGTCAGCTGCAAACCAACACTGAAGTGAAAGTTTTCCTAAATCCTGGATAGTCCCATGTTTGGCCCTGAGCCCATTATGTGTGATTTTATGTTCAAGATCCTTAAAATCTGGATGCTTCATTTTGCAACCCCATTGTACCTAACAGGGTGCTGGGCCATAGAGGATGTAGAACTTGGGGCAAATCCTCTAAGATGGTGATGCAGAAGGCAGTCACCACCCCAGACACAGGTGGAACAAATTCTTAGGGTGCTGAGTCTCCAGAGCACCAAATCACTGCTGCTCACTTGACAACATCTAATTAAAGGGAAGGAACTAGCATTTTCTGAACACTAAACTAAGTGCATGGGTTTTTCATGTATTTATCCATTCGAATGTGAAAGGTTTCGTGAGAAGGATTACCATACCCAAAGAGATAAAACTCTGGAATGCAGCTGAGTGTGGGCTAAGCAGTGATTGCTAGTGATCCTCAATGTTGCTCTCCATCTTCTATGCTTCTGTGCCCTTTAGCTGGGCATGTGGCCACATAGTATAAATATTTTTCAGTCTCTTTCATGTCTTGGACCTGCCACATGCAAGTTTTCTGTAATCTACTAGATGCATACATAGGACTAAGTTGTAGCCATTGTAATTATAAGCAAAAATAATATGTGCAATTTCTGGTATGGATCCTTAAAAAGGAGGGTAGGTGGTATGTCCTTCCAATCCTTCTCCCTTTCTTCTAGTTGGAATATGGAGCTCCAGCAGGTACTTGGACCATGAGTTAACCTTGAGGGTGGAAGACATTCACAATGAAACAGTAAAATAGAAGAACCCCGAGCTCCAGAGAGCCCTAGCAACCCTAGACTGATTACCTCTAGATTACTTAGAGGTGAGAGAAAAACAAACTACTTAGTTATTATTTTGCCACTGTTATTTTGCTTTTTTCTGTTATGTGCATCCAAACTAACTGGGGTACAACCTACCACCATTAACCACTGGATTTCAGACTTTTTTTCTTTTTTTTTTTTTTTTTTTTGAGATGGAGTTTTCACACTCTTGTTGCCCAGGCTGGAGTGCAGTGGCGCAATCTTGACTCACCTCCCGGGTTCAAGCAATTCTCCTGCCTCAGCCTCCCAAGTGGCTGGGATTACAAGCACACACCACCATGCCCAGCTAATTCTTTTGTGTTTTTAGTAGAGACGGGGTTTCAGCATGTTGGCCAGGCTGGTCTCAAACTCTTGACCTCAGGTGATCCGCCTACCTCGGCCTCCCAAAGTGCTGGGATTGCAGGCATGAGCCACCGTGCCTGGACACTTTCAGATATTTATTTACAAAAATATTTACTGGGAATTACAAGTTCATGTGGTCATGGACAAATTTGATAACCTCTAAACCTGTGTTTTCTCATCCATAAAATACTAATAAAAACAGGGTAGTTATTAAAATTGCATAACATAAAGTACATAAAGAGCTTAGCATAAGGCCTGGCATATAGTGAGGGTTCAATGAATGCTATCTATTGTGTTATTTGTCATTGTCCTTCAACATAGCTCAGTCTATTGTGTCTGACTCCAAAGCCAGTGATCACTCCATCTCATCCTGCTATCCAGAGACTGCCTTTCAGGACAGACCCAGCCCAGAGCTGTGGACCCCTGACTCTGTTACCAGTGAACTCCCTAGTACAGCTATCCCTTCCTTTGCGTGTAATTCTCTTTCTTTGATCTACTTGCATGATCTCAATACAGTCTAGAATATTTTAAGCCATTAAAGGTGATACAGAGCTTTAAGCAAAATGTCAGTGTTATGACACAGTGGTTCTGAGACTATTAGCTTCAATATGGCCAAATGAGAGAGTCTGACTTATTTTCCATTTGTGCTAAAAGAAAACTTAGGTAATAAGTGGGGGTATTTTTATTTTATTATTCTATCTTTTTACTTTCTATTAGGGAAATTTTCAAACATATTCAAAAGTAGGGAAAATCATATAATGGACTTCTTTGTATGTATCACTCAGCATCAATACTTATCAAGTTGGTCCATTTCTCCATCATCCGGGAAAGACATTAGTGTTGATGCTGACATCCCTGTCAAGGACAATAACTACCATGGCTCTCAGTGCCTTGGTGTAACCTGGGATGTGTGGCCTTCTGGCCAAGCATCTGTCATTTCATATTGTTGGAGCATTCCTTATAACCCTGGGGTTGCAGCTCTCTGTAAGTTTGCTGTGGCCTGACCAAGAAAGAAGGCATATGCAGATTTCTACAGAAATTATAATTGAATTAAAGAATTTGAGATGAGGAAGGCTAATATCTCTCAGAGTACAAAGTGATTTTGGAACATAAAGTATTTCTTTGGGTTGAATTACATAGAAGTTTGTCACTGTACCTGTGTTCCTGAACTATCTGTGAAACATGAATATGTGGGCTAAGAAATTGTTTATCTTAATAAATAATTAACAAACACTTTGAACGGTTAAAAAAAAAAAGTCATGGTCAGTCTTTTTTCATATGTATAGACCCCTAACTACTACCGTTAAGCAAATTCCAGACTTCATAATTTGGGGGAAGTAACTATCAGATTTCATCTGTACTAGAATTGTGGCAAAGTACCATTCCACCTGCTTGCTGAGAGGCCAAAGCTATTTCCTAACCAGTTTCTCTTCAGGAGACTGTCAAAGGAAACTGCATACCTTCCCATTTCCTTTTTTCCCAGTAAAAACAACACATCATTCATTCAGCTTCTTGTCCTCACCTCACCTCCCACCTTCACCCACCCTAGACCCACAAAACTTGCCTCATTTTCAAGTACTAGTTGTAATCTTAGGCCTTGCTGCCCAACAGATCTCAAAATCAGCATGGAAGTAACGTAATCATCCAACTAGTTCACCTTGCCCACTGCCCAGATAAGAGCCAATTTATCAAGACAGGGGAATTGTAATAGAGAAAGAGTGTAATTCACACAGAGCCAACTGAATGGGAGATCAGAGTTTTATTACTCGATTCAGTCTCCCTGGAAAATTCAGACACTAGGGTTTTTTTTAAAGGATGATTTGGCACGTAGGGGGAGCCAGGGAGTGGGGAGTGCTGATTGATTGGGTCACAGATGGAATCATAGGGGGTTAAAGTGGGTTCTTCTTGCTGTCTTCTGTTCCTGGGAGGCACTGCAGAACTGGTTGTGCCAGATTACCAGTCTGGGTGGCGCCAGCTGGTGCCTCAGAATGCAAGGTCTGAAAAACATCTCAGACCAATCTTAGGTTTCACAATAATGATGTTACCCCAAGGAGCAATGGGGGAGGTTCAGAACTTGCAGCCTCCGGCTACAGGACTCCTAAACCTACATTTCCAATCTTGCAGCTAATTTATTAGTCCTACATGGGCAGTCTGGTTTCAGGCAAGAAGGGCTGTTATCATCTTTGTTTCAAGGTTAAACTAAGTTCCTCCCAAACTTAGTTCAGCCTGCGCCCAACAATGAACAAGGGCAGCTTGAAGGTTAGAATAGCAAAATGGAGTCATTAAGTCAGATCTGTCACTGTCATAATTTTCTCACTGTTATAATTTTTGCAAAGGCAGTTTCATTAAGTTTTGCCAAAATAGGAGAAATGTATGGACTACTAAAGCTGGACAGAGTTATAAAGGGTAGACTATCCCTTTCAATTTAAAGATAAGAAAATCAAGACAGAAAAATGAAAAAATTGATTCACATCTCAGCTTTCTAAAATGCAGATCTAATTATGTGACTCAGTTGCTTAAAACTATTCAAGGGTTTCCTATCACCCTCAGTCAAAGGTAGTCAGCATAATGGACTCTGCATTCTAGGACCAGCTAATTTCCCTCAAGACTCAGCCCTCAGCCTTCACCACTTCCCCCTTCCCAACCTCTTTCTAAGTCCAGACAAAGAGCTTTGTTGTGATCCCCCACCTGGCCAATCCCAGCCTGCCCTTCAGATCCCTAAATGGACAGCATGTCCCAGGAAACCATCCAATTTCTCAAAACCACGTTTGATATCATTTTATGAGGTCCCATAGAACAGTCTACTTCTTCTAACATAGCACTTACAACATGCTACACTGAAATTGCCTGTTTACATGTATGACTTCCCACACCAGACTGTAAGCTCCATGATAGCAGAACCATATTTGGTACCTAACTCCATGCCTGACACAGGGTAGATGCCTGATAAAGATGTGCTGAATGAGGCTGGGCGTGGTGGCTCACTCCTGTAATCCCAGCACTTTTGGAGGCCGAGGCAGGTGGATCACGAGGTCAGGAGTTCAAGACCAGCCTGGCCAACATGGTGAAACCCCGTCTCTAATAAAAATACAAATAATTAGCCAGGCGTGGTGGCGTGCGCCTTTAATCCCAGCTACTCAGGAGGCTGAGGCAGAGAATTGCTTGAACCCAGAAGGTGGATGTTGCAGTGAGCTAAGATCGCGCCACTGCACTCCAGCCTGAGTGACAGAGCTAGACTCCGTCTCAAAAAAAAAAAAAAAAAAAGATGTGTCGAATGAATGAATAACTACTGCCACTGGGCAGAGTCAGTCAACAACCTATGAAAAGATGTTCTACGCTGTTTAGCACCCAATGAAGGTTAGTTAGCCTTTGTACTTATTACTGATTAAGGTCACAGAGCTACATATAGGAGACTGGTTTTCTGACCAGTCCGGGTCAGAGTTCTCAGCATTCCATCACACTGCTTAATATGAATTCAGCCAATAAAGTTGTCACTTACTTCTACTTTCCATTTCTACTGTATTAAAGTAGACAAACAGATTTGTAGCCTATTGCAATTATTTTAGTTGAAAACTTTGACTTTATTTTTGATCCGAGTAGGAGACTGACAAACTCCAGACCATTTTTCTGAAAGACTTACAGATCATCATTTTTTAAAATTCCCTTTGGCTATATTTTATTTATGAATAACAGAGTATGACTCTTTCATCTTTGCCTCTGAAATCTCTATGCCCATGTGGTATAGACTATAGGGAACCATGTGTTGGTGAAAAATAAGAAGTTTTCAAAAGAAGGCAGAAGACTGCAAATTACAAAAAGGAAATGTCCAAGTAGTGGTAACTATGTCTTAAGCTCATGGTACAAAGATAATGATAGCAGTGCTTTTCTAACGCCTTTATAGCCTTGGTCACAAGATTGGAGAGCATAGTGGTGTTGGTTTTCAATTCCATAAGGATTTACTGAGTATTACCATGGGGCCAGTTCCCTTGTCCTCAATCTATCTTAACTTTCAATGGGAAGCAATGATAGGAGGAAAAAAATAGCAAAGACCTATTAAATAATTCAGTAAAACTTAAGTCGACACAAACCCCATTTACTAGAACTTTCTCAGTGTGGTAGTTAAGAACATGGGCTTTGGAGATGGACAGACCCAGACTTCCAGCCTGGATATTTGAACTTGAATGAAATACATAACTTTTCTGAGTCTCAGTTTCTCATTTGTTCATTGAGGTACTACCCTACTGATTGGCTGTACATATTAAATTAGCTAGAGTAGCTATAGTGTACATTTATTCTTTTATCAACCAAGAAGAATGGTCCCTTTTTCTGGGAAATTCTCTTCTGTGGTTGGGTTAGAGCTGCCATAGCCCAGGGATAGGTACCTATAACCAAGCTAGGTCAACCATGGCTTTTTCACAGGACTTTTCCATTTAAAACCAGAAAGAGCAAGTCTGAGTCTATCCTTCCCTAGAGCAAAGATGACACACAGAGGTTGAAGGAGCCATTCTTTCTGACATATGGAGACAAGTGATCTGAGAGAACAATGCTGCTGAGGAGGGAGAAGTAAATTTGAGAGAGGAAGATAGGTATATAGGAAAAACAGTGTTTATATTCTAGAAATTCAGGAGACCCAGATGCACTCCCATGCTTCATACAATTACAAGATCCCCCTTTTTCAATTTAGTTAATTCAGATTGCATCTCTGTCACTTGTAATCAAAGGAATCCTGCCTAATACAGTACTTAACACAATGCCTGCATCACTGTAGCTCAATACACTGAAGTTATTATGATTTCCTCACATAATTGGATTAGCACTTCCATCCCTACTTCTCTATAACACATAAAAAGAAAAACTTCAGATGCCTAAATAAAAGCTTACATTATAAATGTAGCAAAAATAATAAGCATCATGCTACCACTTAGAATCCTTACATATTCAACTAAACCTCCTATACTTTTTTTCTGGCTATAACTAACATTTATGCTGTACTCTATATTGTACAGAGAACATTTTTTAAGCAAAACATTGTCCAGCAGAAATATAATGTGAGCCATATGTGTAATATTTTAATTTCCAGCAGCCAAAATAAATTTTTACAAGTGAATTTAAAAAATAAACAAGTGAATTAATTTTAATAACACTTTATTTAACTCAATGGGTACAATATATTGCCATTTCAACATGTAATCAATAAGATATTTTATATATTTTTCCACCTAAGTGTTCAAAATCTACTGTGTATTTTATACTTACAGCACATCTCAATTGGACTAGCCACATTTCAAATGCTCAATAGCCACTTATAGCCAGTGGCTACTACATCAGACAGTGCAGATATAAAATGCTGTAGTCAATCTTCACACCAATTTTAAGAAGATTGAAGCTTTTGTAATTACAGATGATAAAATTGAACTCAAAAAAATTAAGTGATTTTTTTTTCATAGTCAACAACTAATCAGTCCCAAGCCCAGGATCAAACTTTGGCCTTTGCCCTCTACATTTTCTGCTTCTTATTTATGTTACCCATACAATAAGAACTGATGTTCAACATGATCCTGAAATACAGCCAAATCAAACAAATACATAAATAATGACATGACTTCACCTATAAAATGGAAAGACTGGATTGGTGGGCAATAGGTACAAGGATTTATCTTCTGTATTTTCTGTTATAGTTCACAAGTCAGGTTTCAAGAGAAAAATGGGTATTGCTGATATGTCTTAACCATTATCATTTTCTCTGAACCTTTTCACAAAGTCCTTTCATTGCTTTTTCTTTGTAGCAACAAATGAATTCCTTGTTTTGATGCAAATTAACCCTGCAAATTAACAAGAAACTTGTTTTTTAGTTAAGATAACTGAGTGAAAGTGCTTAGCACAATGCCTGGAACATAGTAATTTATGTTGATTTCCTTTGCATCATAGGGTAAACATGTTTTCAAGGAAAATTTAATACCTGGGAAAATACACTAATAGAACATAAGTTTGATTCTAAATGAAAATTATATTCTTAAAAGCAATCTGCCTCTGTATGTGTACAGACAAAACTATGCCTCTGTACGTGCATATCTGCCCCTATTTGTGCATAGACCAACATATTAACAATAATTAGCTCTTGATAATGGTATTAGAAATGACTTAAAGTAGATGTTTATTTTTGTATGTTATGAAAAAATGTTTGCAAAAATGGCTGCAAACATTCATCCCACTCACCCTCACTTGCTGCCACCCATATCACAATGCAATATTATTTTATATTTCTTCTCACCAAGAGGTAGGGTACACTTCTTCACTCCTTGAATCTGGGCTGGCCTTGTGACTTGCTTTGTACAATAGAGGGTGTTGGGGAGTGTCTGTGTCCCTCCAAAATTCCTATGTTGAAGGCCTAACTCCCAGTGTGGTAGTATTTGGAGATGGGGGCCTTTGGAAGATGATTACGTTTAAATGAGGTTATGTGGGTAGGGCCCCCATCATGGGATTAGTGTCCTTATAAGGAAAAGAAGAAACACCAGAGCATGTGCTCACTGTCTCTCTGGCTCTCTCTCACACACACCCCATCTACCCCCATGTGAGGACTCAATGAGAAGACAGCAAGCAGCCTTCTGCAAGCCAGGATAAGGGTCCTCATAGCAACTGAATCTGCCAGCACCTTTATCTTGACTTTCCCAGCCACCAGAATGGTGAGATATAAGTGTGTGTTGTTTATGCTATCCAGTCTATGATGTTCTGTGACAGCAGCCTGAGCTGACTGAGGCAGAGGGGAAGTACTGTTTTACCAGCTCCAGACACAGGCCCAAGAGCATTGTGGATTTCTGCTTGCTCTCTTGGCTCCTCTTCTCCTTCTCCAAGAGAACAAGCCCAAGCTAGTCTGCTGTAGGATGGGAGGCCACATGGAGGAGCTGATCCTGACATCCCAGCTGATGCCTCATACGTTTGAGTGAGCCCCAATGACAACAGCTGAGGTTGGCCCAGACTGGAAGAACTGCCCTCTGAGCCCATTTAAATTACTGCCAGCAGAATTGTGACCTGAATGTATGCTGTCTTAAGCCACTAATTTTGGGGGTGGTTATCTCAACACAGTGTAAAATAATAAAAATAAAAAATAAAAAAACTGGCTGGGTCTAATGGCTCACACCTATATTCCCAGTACTTTGGGAAGCCAAGGCAGGAGGATCACTTGAGCCCAGGAGTTTGAGACCAGCCTAGGCAACATGATGAGACCCCATCTCTACAAAAAAAAATTAAAGAAAATAGCCAGGCATGATGGTGTGTGCCTGTGGTCCCAGCCACTCAGGAAACTGAGGCAGGAGGATTGCTTGAGCCCAGGAAGTCGAAGCTGTAATGAGCCACATTCATGCCACTGCACCCCAGCCTAGGCAATACACCAAGACCCTGTCTCAGGAAAAAAGAAAAAAGTTTGGGGTGGTTTATTATGTAGCAAAACCTAAATTAATACAAACGTGTTTTCCAGAGTTTCTACAATGAAAAGCGTAATATTCATTAAAAAAAAAAAACAAAAAAAAAAAACCAGGCCGGGTGCGGTGGCTCATGCCTGTAATCCCAGCACTTTGGGAGGCCAAGGTGGGTAGATCATCTGAGGTCAAGAGTTCAAGACCAGCCTGGCCAACATGGTGAAACCCCGTCTCTACTAAAAACACAAATAATTAGCCAGGTGTGGTGGCAGGCACCTGTAATCCCAGCTACTCGGGAGGCTGAGGCAGAAGAATTCCTTGAACCTGGGAGGCAGAGGTTGTAGTGCGTTGAGATCGCGCCATTGTACTCCAGCCTGGGCAACAAGAGCGAAACTCCATCTCAAAAAGTAAAAAGTAAATAAAAAATAAAAACATTTGTAAAGAAGTCAGAAAGAAAGGAAGAACGAAGGAAAGGGAGTGAAGGTGGGAAAAAAGTGACAACGGTGGGAGGGAGAGAGGAAAGTAGGAACGAAAGAAGAAAAGCAAAAACAGATCTGTGTGCAAAAACACAGATCTGGGTACAAATCCTCACTCCACTATCCACTAGTTGTGTTAGTCAAGTTATCCAAAGCTTTTCTATCAAACTTTTCATATCAAACTTTTCTAATATTGCTTACCTCGTAGAATTGCTTTATGAATGATAGGTGATATTTACAGCACCCAGCAGAGTATCTGACCCTTAACAGCACTCAGTACATCTCATACCCCTTCCTCACCTTCTCCTTTTTTCTACACCCAGTAAAACCTGGATTTTTATGGCTCAGCTTTATCCCACTCAAGTATGCAGGGATATAGTTCACATTTTATTTTAAATTCATTTTAATCTCCTTTCCCAGGCAGAACAGGCTAAGTGACTCAAATCCATTTAATTAGGTCCTTCTGCACCTTTAGCTTTGGAGAAAATGTTAAATAATAGGAATGCTATAGATTCATTACTAACTTTCCTTGAATATTTTATTATGAAAATTTCAAACATACCAAAAAAGCTGAAAGAATTTCACATGATGAATATCTACATATCTAATGTATAAATTCAATAATTTGGCTAGGCATGGTGGTTCACATCTGTAATCCCAGCAGTTTGGGAGGCCAAGGTGGGTGGATCACTTGAGTTCAGGAGTTCGAGACCAGCCTGGTCAACATAGTGAAACCCCGTCTCTAATAAAAATACAAAAATTAGCCAGGTGTGGTGGTGTATGCCTGTAATTCCAGCTACTCATGAGGCTGAAGCAAGAGAATCACTTGAACCCAGGAGGCGGTCGTTGCAGTGAGCCAAGATAGTGCCCTGCACTCCAGCCTGGGTGACAAAGTAAGACTCCACTTCAAACAAACAAACAAAAAATTCAATAATTTGAAACATTTTGCAAGTTTGCTTTATCTAGATATTTGGGATTTTATTGTTTTTGCTGAACTTTTAAAGAATGAATTGAGACATTTTACTTCACCTCTTAATTTTTCATGATGCATTTCCTAATGGGGACATTTTCCTACACAACACAAAATTAATAATTCCTTACTGTCATCTAACATCCAATCTATATCTAAGTATCTCCAATTGTCTCTGAAAATGTCTTTGCTAATAGCTGACTTTTTAATAATAGCTAACATTTAGATAGTCATGATGCTTACAACAATACTCTAAGATGGATATTATTATTATCATACTATAGTTAAAGAAATTAAGTTCAAATGCTAACTGCCCTTCAGCACCATAGGAAAGGTAATAATTTAAAAATAAACAACAACAACAAAAAATGCTAACTGCCTTGCCGAAGATCACATAGATAGTTTGTGGAAAAGTTATTATTTAAGCTTATTTAAGTGTTTAAGTGTTTTTCAATAGATCAGGCTGATATGTGAACAAATGCATTTAAATTTTTTAAAAATCAATATACTCTAAAACAAAGCTTTCAGAAGAAAACCTACATAAAGTAATATCACGATATTGACGCAAACAGAATTCTTAAACAGTACTCAAAAAGTAGGAACTGTGAAGCAAATCAATAAAGTAGACTGCATTAAAGAATTTCGGTTCATCCAAAGACACCATTAAGAAAGTGAAAATATAAACCACATTGACAGAAGATTTTTCCAATACATACATTCAAAGGACTCAATATAAATCTCTAAGAAAATCTACAAATCAGTACAAAAAAGGCAGAAAACGCAGCTGAAAATTTGGCAATCTGCTGGCACCTTTATCTTGACTTTTCCAGCCACCAGAACTGTAAGATATATACGTGTGTTGTTTTAACATACAATGCTCAGACAGAGGCAGTGGCTCATACCAGTAATCCCAGCACTTTGGGAGGCCGAGGCGGGTGGATCACTTGAGGTCAGGAGTTCAAGACCAGCCTAGCCAACATGGTGAAACCCCATCTTTACTAAAACTACAAAAATTAGCTGGGTGTGGCAGTGGGCGCCTATAATCCCAGCTACTCAGGAGCCTGAGGCAGGAGATTTGCTTGAACCCGAAAGGTGGAGGTTAGAGTGAGCCCAGATCATGCCACTGCATCTCAGCCTGGGCAACATAATGAAACTCTGTCTCAAAAAAAAAAAAAAACAACAATGACACAGTGCTCTTAGGCCTATGTTTGGTACTGGTACAATAGCACTTCCCCTCTGCCTTAGTAAGCTCAGGCTGCTGTAACAAAATAGCATAGACCAGATAGCTTAAACAATACATATTTGTATCTTATGGTTCTGGTGGCTGGGAAAGTCTAGATAAAAGTGCTGGTCATAATCAGGCCTCTCACAAAAGACTACATACAAATACCCAATAAACTTATGACTAGGTGCTTAACCTCACAGTCATCATGAAAATTCAAATGCAAACCACAGTGACAGATACACTAACTAGAATGGCTAAAATTTAAATGACTGGCCTGGTGCAGTGGCTCACATCTGTAATCTCAGCATTTTGGGTGGCCAAGGCGGGTGGATCAGAAGTCAGGAGATCAAGACCAGCTTGGCCAACACGGCAAAACCCCGTCTCTACTAAAAATACAAAAGATTAACCAGGCTTGGTGGCACGCGCCTGTAGTCCCAGCTACTCAGGAGGCTGAGGCAGGAGAATCGCTTGAACCTGGAAAGTGGAGGTTGCAGTGAGCCGAGATCGTGCCACTGCACTCCAGCCTAGGTAACAGAGCGAGACTCCATCTTGGGGAAAAAAAAAAATTTAAATGACTGACAGTATCAAATGTTGGTAAAGATGTGGAATAACTAGAAATCTCACACCCTGCTGAGAGGAGTAAAACTTGGTACAACCACTTTGTAAAACTGTTTGGCAGTATCTATTAAAGCTCAATATGCACATACCATGTGACCCAGTAATTTTTAACATATATAACCAACAGAAATATGTATATAACCAACAGAAATATGTTCACATGGGCACCAAAAGACACATATGGGAATATTCATAGTAGTACTTTTCATAGCAGACCCAAACTGGAAATGTCTGCCAAAATGAAAAAACTAAATTAGTATATTCCCTTAATGGAATACTATATAGGAATGAGAAAGAATGAACTACAACTACCACACAATGGGTCTCACAAACATAAATTTGGGCAAAATAAATGAGAGCAAAAGATCATATACTAAATGATTCCATTTATACAAAATTCAAAAATGAACAAAATGAATCTACAGTGTAAAACATTGGGTCATTAGTTATTCTTAGTAGAGGTTGGAGGGTTGTCAGGAACTAGAAAGGGGCTTCTGGGTTGCTAGTAACCTCCTGTTACTTGATTTGGATGCTAGTTACACAGTGTATTCACTTTATAAATGCTTTACACTTTTCTGTGTACTTAAAATTTCGCCTACAAATTCAATGTTCTTTGGGCATACACACACTCACAAATCATTATGTAGGATTCTGAAACCGATGTTTAGCAGTTCATCTCCTAAGAATTCTGACTAAATATGCCCATTTGTGCAATGTTCTTACTTTCATATGCTGCCAATCTTGCTTTTTCCCAATGTTGCCATTAGTTATAAATTTTTCATGTTAGAGTTAAGCTTCTCTGTATTGCTTTTCTTTCAAACCTTTTAAAACTTTCTTATGAATTCAGAGAAAACAGCAACAAATTTTAGAAAATAAAAACAGAATGAATTAAGCTAAATCCTAACCTGGCAAGCTGAGTTACAGTGTGGAATCCCCTAAGGACTCAGGATTTGATGGCAATGTAGACAGGTGAAGGCAATACTAAGACAGACCCCCAGATCCCCTTCCTCAGACAATGCAGATGGGCAGTTGCCATTCCCCAACCCCAACAGAAGACTAGAGATTTATTCTCTGGAGAGGGCAACAAGAGGTTCAATGGACAGGGGAACACCAGGCAGAGTACAAGGCTGAGTATTACACTGAAAACAGAATTCAAATAAGCATTTACATTCTCAGTGCTAAGACCCCCAGTGTTCTTCCCAGCACTTCATGGGATGTAATGGCACCCTTTTAAAAGAAATTAGTCCAGGCACAGTGGCTCATGCCTGTTATCCCGACACTTTAGGAGGCCAAGGCAAGCAGACTGTTGGAGCCCAGGAGTTCAAGACCAGCCTGGGCAACATGGTGAAACTCTGTCTCTACAAAAAATACAAAAATCAGCCAGGTATGGTAGCATGCACCTGTGGTCCCACCTACTTGGGAGGATGAGGCAGGAGGATCACTGGAGCCCAGGAGGTCACGGCTGCAGTGAGCCCTGATTGTGCGCCACTGTACTCCATTCTGGGCAACAGGCTAAGACCATGCCTCAAAAAAATAAATAAAAGAGATTAAATGGCAAAGTAAATGGAGGTAGGTAAATGGGGGAGTGATTGTTCTTCATTCAATCTCTTGAAGCTTAATAAAATGGACCTAGTCTCCAAAGTCTAAAAAGATAAAATAAATGAAAGGAAATACATTGTAATAGGAATAAATAACCACTACTCAAGAGGTACTGAGGAAGGACTTTTAAAGAAGGAGATAAGGAAGTGAGGCCAAAATGAACTACAACAGCATCTTATTACTCTACTGACTGATGAACTTTTAAGTATCCATTTTTAAAAATCTTGTATATAAGCTCATTATCCCCTCAATGTTTTTACATTACCACTACTTCATTTGTTTGCATTTTTAATGGACTTTTAATCCTTTTAAGATAATTTTCCCACAAATATACCACCACAAATATCTGATTTTCAGTGTATTAGGATATCTGACAGACTAGTACATATGGTACTTCCAATCTACCCTATTCTTTCATTCACTCTTTCTCTCACTCATTCATTCCTTCACTCACTCACTGACTTAGGCATTTTCATATGGGTCAGTAAAAGTTTAATAACTTTCAAAATATACATTTTAGGTAAGCATTAACTTTACAATGTGAGAGTTTCTGCTTTTATCTAGAGAGGCAAAACAGCATAGAAAACATGGGTTGTGGGATCAAAGAAACCTATATGGGAATCCTGGCTACACTATCTATTAGCTCTCTGATTTTAGCAGGTTATTTCACAATTCTGATCCTCAAGGCCTTCATCAATATAATGAACATACCTCTCAGGATTAGTACTAGGTTTAAATGAGCTAATATATGCTAAGCACTTAGCACAATTCTAGCACATGGTAAAAGATAAATAAGCAGCACCTTTATTGTTTCTCAAATGTATTAGTAACCTGTTTCGTATACTTAAGATTTTAAATTTACATTCATCACCTCACTAGAGTTACTCCAAAACCAACACACTCCTACCATCTTTTCTGTTGTAGTCTTCTGCACATGGGCTTTTCAACCCTAAAAAGTGATCTGTAGGTGAACAGAAAACAAACAAACAAAAAGGATAACTGGCCAGGCACAGTGACTCATACCTGTAGTTCCAACACTTTAGGAGGCTGAAGCAGGAGGACTGCTTGAGCCCAGGAGTTCAAGACCAACCTGGGCAACAAAGTGAGACCCTGTCTCCACAAAAAATTTAAAAATTAACCAGGTGTGGTAGTGCATACCTGTAGTCCCAGCTACTCGGGAGGCTGAGGTGGGAGGATGGATTGTGCCACAGTGGTTGAGGTCGCAGTGAGCCATGATCACACCACTGCATTTCAGCCTGGGTGACAGAGCAAAACCCTATCTCAAAAAGAAAAAAAAAAGGATAACTACTGTTCTACATAACTTAGAATTCTGCTATTCAAATGGCTAATGCTGAACCCTAATTAACAAAAGTTAGGTTTTGGTTGTATGAGAGAAGAATACACACACAGCAAGAGTGGGGTTAATTCAGCACATGTTCATTGACCTTCCAAGTTGCTGGGGCAGGGAGGTAGAGGGATATGTTAAATTATTCCGTAAATATATCCTGCACATCAACTTTTGTGGTAGGCAGAGTGCTGGGTTTGACAAATTATCTCCTCTCAAAAACCTAAAATAAAGTGGGGCATGGTGGCTCATGCCTTTAATCCCAGCACTTTGGAAGGCCGAGGCGGGCAGATCACTCGAGGCCAGGAGTTGAAGACCAGCCTACCAACATGATGAAACCCCATCTCTATCAAAAATACAAAAATTAGCCGGTGTGGTGGTACATGCCTGTAACTGCAGCTACACGGGAGGCTGAGGCACGAGAATCACTTGAATCCAGGAGCCAGAGGCTACAGTGAACAGAGATCACAGCACTGCACTCCAGCCTGGGTGACGGAATGAGACTCTTTCTCAAAAAACAAAACAAAACAAAAAACCTAAAATACAGCTGAAAATGAAAAAACAATCATAGTGCGGGGAGAGAAAGCTATGGGAGACTAGAGAAGGGAAAAATGGTTGGGAACACTGGTGGGGGGGTGAGGATCATTTCCCAATCACCTTATATGACCATGACTCAGAACAGTGCTTGGCATCATGTGTAATATATATTGTTAGAACCGAACATCTAGTTCAGGCAACAATTCATAAAACGTTGCAGGGAATAAACTGTGGGAAAGGGTCTTTGACAAAGAATAAATTTCAGTTGACCAAAGACTGAATTGGGAGGTGTACTTCTAAGGCAGGGGCAATAAGATGAGGCCCAATAACAAAATCCAAAAAGAACATGGTCTGAGCAATTGTACGCCAGGCATTTCAGGGGCCACATAAATCATGTATAGGAGATTTGTGAAAACCTAGGCTGGGAAACCAGATGGTGGTCATATTGAGAACACTCCTACCTCTGTGCAAGGAAAGAAGAGCAATTGCTGCTGTTTATGCAAGAAAGTTAGAGCATCAGAGTTTGTAAAGATGAAACTGATGACACTGCAAAGCAGGAGCCAATAAGACTACAAAACCAAAGCAACCTGATAATTACAATTATTAATATAAATTTAAAGGAGCTGGGCAGAAATGCAGGAACCAGATGGAAAACCACAGAGTTAAAACCAGTGAGTCAGCCAGGCGCAGTGGCTCATGCCTGTAATCTCAGCACTTTGGGAGGCTGAGGTGGGCGGATCACCTGAGGTCAGGAGTTCGAGACCAGCCTGGCCAACGTGGTGAAACCCCATCTCTACTGAAAATACAAAATGAGCCAGGCGTGGTGGTGGGTGCCTGTAATTCCAGCTACTTGGGAGGCTGAGGCAGGAGAATTGCTTGAACCTGGGAGGCAGAGGTTGCAGTGAGCCGAGATCGCACCATTGCACTCCAGCCTGGGCAAAAAAAGTGAAACTCCGTCTCAAAAAAAAAAACAAAAAACAGTGAGTCCAGAACAAAATAATTTGGTTCTCCAAAATTTGGGGAAAACACTACTGAGGGGTAGTGTGAAGAAGAGGGGCCCAGAGGGTCCCTGAGGCAGCCGTCTCTGAATCTGACTCCCCACTGGAGGCCTTGAGGAGACTGATAAAAACAGAGACTCTCCGCCCTGCAAACCTCCAGAGATCCTGATTCAACAGACTCAGTACTAGAGGAGAGGTGTGGGTGTTCCATTAAGGACACTCTGAGGAAAAGGAGAACAGACGAAGGGAAGTCTGAAAATAGACTCCTCTGATAAATCCCTACCCTGGGGAGCTGGAGGCTCTCTGGGAACATAAGCACACATGAGGAGTTGGCTTCTGCAAGAAACAGAAAGGCAGAGATGGAGAAAGGAGATGCTGAGGGGCTTCAGACTGAACAGTCTCACTCTTGTTGAGAGGTGGTAAGGTCCTCTCTGAGAGAAGACCTCACTGTATGGAGCAGAGCCTGTCAGAAGTGGGAGGGTGACATCACTGAGGTAAAGGAAAGGACTGCCCAGGAGCTGTAACATCAGAGGCCTGGCAGCAGTGGAGAGCACTTTTGTGACTTTCTCCAGGCATTGGGAAGATGGCAGGATTGAGATAAAGCGATTCTGAGGTAAAAAGGGGACCCCGGGACCCAGGCTGGGGAGAGAAGAAAGAGAAGTCAGGTCAAGGTCATGGAGGTAGGAGGAGGTCAGAAGTATAGAGGCCTATGGAAATCACAGACCAGGCCACTGAGAGTTGGGAAGCTGAGTTCAAAACTTAACATATTTGTTTGGTAGGAGAAGGGGCAAAAAGTCAATGTATCACTACACACCCACCACAAATGCTAAAAAGAAAAATAGTGACTATACCAATTGCTGGCAAGGATATGGAGAAACTGGATCACTCATACAATAATGGTTGGAATTTAAAATGGTATATCCCCTCTGGAAAATAGTTTGGCAGTGCTTTCAAAATTGAAAATGGACTTACCATACAATCCAGCAATCGCACTATTGGGCATTTATCCCAAAGAAATGAAGACTTACTTTCACACAGGAACTTGTACACAGATGTTCACAGCAGCTCTATTCCTAGTAGCTAAGAATTGGAAACCACCCAAATGTCTTTCAATGGATAAATATTTTAACAAATTATGCTATATCCATTTTAGGGAATACTACTCAGCAGTAAAAAGGAATGGACTGTTGGTGCATGTTGTACATCCAACGACTTGGATGCAACTCAGGGAAATTATGCTGAGTAAAAAAAAGGCAATCTTGGGGATACCTTCATGGTTTCATTTCTGGAAAAAATCATGAAATAACATAATTATAAAGATGGAGAACAGACTAAATTTCCAAGGGTTAAGGACCGGGAAATGGAGGTGGCCATAAAGGGGTAATGCAAGAGAGTGTGTGGTGATATTTGAGCATCTTGATCACCGTGGTCATTAGTTAAGGTTACATGTATTCACATAGTACATAGCATAGAGCTACAAACATAAACACACACACATAAACTAGTGCATGTGTGACTGGTGAAACCTTAAGTTCTATGGATTGTGCAAATGTCAATGTCTTGGCTTTTATATTGTACTATGGTGGTATAAGATGTGAACATTCAGGGAGGCTAGAGGATGAAGGATGCATAGGATATCATTGTACATTTCTTTGGAATCTCTCGGACAAATCTATGATTATTTCAAAATAAAAAGTTTTCTTAAGTCAACAAGGCAAAAAACCAAGTAATCTCACAAATATTCACTGAATGACTCATGTATGCCAGGTTCCATATCAAACACTGGAGGTATAATTGTGACAAGACACAATCTCTGACCTCAAGGAGTTCATAATTTGGATAGGGACTCTGATATTGTTCTTCTTTTCAATCCCTTTTTAACTAGAGAACACAGTTCATGCATGAGTAAATAGCTCATTCCCTACAAACTGCAGGTGACTTCCTTATACTTTCCTTAGGAACACCAGGAGACACATAAGAGGAAAGGATTTTGCACCAATAGTGCAGCAGATAAAGTCCATCCCAGTTATGTACACCTGACATCTGTTGTTTTAACCCACCCACCATCCATCCCTCCTCCTTCTGGTGACAGGTTAATATCTTGATTTTTCCTCTGAAAAGAGCCTAACCCCAGCCTCAACTACCTTTATCCAATGAAAGTCTGGCCCTAATCCCCTCCCCTAAACCCAGAGGAGGAAAACAAGACTGGCAATCAGTATATCAGTCTCTTAGCTTTAAGGGGGAAGGGCAGAGCTTTAAAAGTTTTCACATGAACTAAATAGAGCCTTTTATTTAAAAGTCTGAAGTACTGAAATTGTTTTTGCATCTCAACAAACACTGCAGATAATGCATTCTACTGCTACGGGAATTCTAACAGCCTGACAAAACTTTTTTTTTCCAAACTTGAAAAAAATTTTTTCTAAAATGCTGTAAAAAAGGAATGGTGCCAGGTGTGAAGGCTCATGCCTGTAATCCCAGCACTTTGCAGGGCCAACAAAGGAGGATCACTTGAGCCCTGGAGTTCACTTGAGCCTGGGCAAAAGTGAGACTTTGTCTCTACAAAAAAATGAAAAAATTAGCCAGGCATGGTGGCATGCACCTGTGGTCCCAGCTTCACGGGTGGCTGAGCAGAAGGACAGCTTGAGCCCAGAAGGTCAAGGTTGCAGTGAGCCATGTTCGTGCCACTGCACTCCAGCCCTGGTGACTGGGCCAGACTCTGTGTCAAAATAAATAAATGAGTAAAATAAAAATTTTAAACAGGGCTGGGCACGGTGGCTAACGCCCGTGGTCCCAGAACTTTGGGAGGCCGAGGTGGGTGGATCATGAGGTCAGGAGATCGAGACCATCCTGGCTAACACAGTGAAACCCCATTTCTACTAAAAATACAAAAAATTAGCCAGGCGTGGTGGCTGGCGCCTGTAGTCCCAGCTACTCAGGAGGCTGAGGCAGGAGAATGGTGTGAACGCAGGAGGTGGAGCTTGCAGTGAGCCAAGATTGTGCCACTGCACTCCAGTCTGGGTGACAGAGCGAGACTCCATCTCAAAACAAAACAAAAAAAAAACTAAAAGGAATGGAAAAAAGAAATGAAGTACTTAGGGTACAACATGCATCAACTTTATAACCACTACGCTAAGTGAAGGCAGCCAGACCACATACTATAATTCCATTTACAGGAAATGTCCAGAATAGGCAAATCCGCAGGGACAAATAGATTAGTGGTTGCCAGGGGCTAGGGGGAGGAGGAAAAGGGGAGCGACTATTAATGGTTTCCATGAAAGCGTTATGGAATTAGATAGTAGTGATGACTGTACAACCTTATGAATATACTAAAAACCACTGAGTTGTACACTTTGAAAAGGTGAATTTTATGGTATGTGAATTATATCTCAATTTTAAAAAAGGAAAAAGTCCACTGAGATTTCATTTAAAATTTGAAACTTGAGCCGGGCACAGTGGCTAAGGCTTGTAATCCCGTCACTTTGGGAGGCCAAGGTGGGCACATCACTTGAGGTCAGGAGTTCGAGACCAGCCTGGCCAACATGGTGAAAGCCCGTCTCTACTAAAAATACAAAAATTAGCCAGTGTAATGGCGAGCACCCACCTACCCAGAAGGCTGAGGCACAAGAACTGCTTGAACCCAGGAGGCAGAGGTTGCAGTGAGCCAAGATTACACCACTGCACTCCAGCCTGGGTGATAGAGCATGACCCTGTCTAAAAAATAAAATAAAATTTGAAACGTGAAACTTAATTTTTTTTAGCCATGTAATTTTCCCTTGAGAGGAAATCTACCTAATATGAAAAAACATCTCCACAGAACTCTAACACTCACTCAGAAAAGCCCAGTCTGAAAATCTCTCTAATAAAACCCACTTCTCCCATGTTTACAAATGAAAAAAATTAGACCAAAAAATGAAAAGACTGCCTTAAAGTGAGTCAGTGACTGGACTGTAAGAAGGAAAATTTCTGACCTCCTAACTTCCAGGCCAATGGATTTCTTCATTTCACCTAGTTGCCTCATTACTTTAAAAATCAAAATAACCCTCCTATCCATGGAAATAAGCAAGAAAGGCTGAAAGAGAGAGAGAAGAAGGAATGGAGGGAGGAGTCCTTTTGCACCTTGTCCACTACATCATTTGTTTACCCAGGGATATGAATTATCCTCCTAACACGTAAACATATTGTCCTGGTAAAAGTAGAGTTTGAATGGATCAAGTGTCAGTTTCTAAATCTTCTTTTAATAACTGAAGGCCCAGTTATTATTACAAAATATAACATGGCAGTATTTTACAGACACTAAAAATGTGGAGAGTGTTTGGGCCGTCATATTAAGTGAAAAAAAAATATGAATAATCTGAACTCAGTACATTATATAGATACATAAAGATACACACAGAAAAAGAATCCACTCAATTTAACAGCAATTATCTCTAAGAGACGGGACAATGAATGTTTTCACAGGCTTTCTCTGTGCTTTTCTGAATTTTCATAATTTCCTTTTAAGAGTATATATACATTTTAAATTATGTTACACTGAGTACCTACTATGTGTTAGATATTATGCTAGGTGCCTTTAATATATTATTTCTAATCTCGCAACAACCTTATTAGGTTCTAATCTCACAACAACCTTATTAGGTATTACTATTTTCACTTTGAAAGTGAGGAAACTGAGGCTCAGAGAAGTTAAGGAACCTGTCTACCTTGCTAAGTTTAAAAGAAGCGATCCAAGGGTAGCTTTCTTTTATCTTCCCTGACTCCTTGTCTTCTCTTCTTTTCTCTATGTATTAAGGACATATGCCGTGCCCAAATTTCATCTAATAATTAAAAATACGGGAAGTGACACAAAAGGGAAAACACAGGATGCTCTGGAAACTTGTTATAGGCAGCGAGTGGGAAGGAGACCTAGAGTCAGAGGAAGCTACTACTGGAAAGAGGAGCAGAACTGAGCCAGGCAAATAGGAGAGAAAATGTATTTCAGGCAGAAGAAACAGCACTCTGGAAACCCAACATCTAGCCTTTGAGAATGTAAAATGAAGCCAGGATGACACTACCAATTCCAAGCTGTGTGTGTGTGCATGCATGTGCATGTATGTGTATATATATTAGATGTATATTTTAACATTCTGACTTAACATTAATATTAACATATTAATATTTATTTATTGAAATATTTAACGTGTATTTTAATATTAAATTCTGGATTTCCAAACCAGATCAGAAATAGTCTTCACTCTGTTTTCAGTAGGTCAGATCCCACAGGGCAAGAGGGGGAGGAGACAGCTCCCACTGTTTCTTGGCCTTACCTCCACCCCCATCCCAATTAAGGCACGTCCCCTTCCCTGCAGCTACCTCTCTAAAGAGCCCTCTCCTTTTAACACTGGTTCCCAGATTTTCCCATTTATCTCACAGCAGCAGGAGTCACAGCTGGGTTCAATCTCTGCACGCCACCATCACCGCCCCTCCCCCAAAGTTGTAGAAATGTTATTCTAAATTTAAACCACACAGCACCAAACTAAAAATGGCTTTAAAAGAGGATCAAACATACCTTGTGCTGGGCTCTTGTTAGATTTCACAGGCACGAATTTCCCTTTTTCTCAGCATATGCAGTCAAATGATTCTTAGGTGATGAAACAAGTATCTCCAGGTTTGCAGGAAATAAAAGTGTCTGTTTTTAAACTGCCATGGGGAAGGGGATGGAGGAGGGCAGAAAGAGTAGGGAGTGAAGTGCTGACTCGCAGGATACATCTGGGATTCTGAGAATGTCGCCCAGCTCCAATGTTAGCGCATGCCAGATTCTTCCCCACCCCTTTCCTGATCAATGAGTTAGGAAAGTCAGATGAACTAGGAGTCAGAAGGCCTGAGTACAAGTCCTGGTTATGAGACATTCCCCCAGTCCCCAGGTAATTTTTCCTTCCCAAGCTTCAATTCCCTCGTCCATAACATGAAGAGGCTGAACTTGATCAGAGGTTCTCAAGCTTTCTTTCTCTTTGGCACTTTCTTTGTTACTCTATCAGTAAAAAGTTCATTTTCTTTATTAAAGTATAACAGACATACTGAAACGTGAACAAACCATGTGCTGAGCTCCAGGAATTTTCACAAACTGGTTTAAAAACCAGCAGCCAGATTAAGTAACAGACTATTTCTGGCATCCCAAAGCCCTCTTACTTAGTACATTTTCAAGTACTAGAGTCAGAGTTGGGGAACATATCTGAAAAGACTGAAAAGTAAGTGTCAGTTTGTTTGTCTGATTTTAAAAGAAAATTTGGAGAAATGTGAAAAACATTTCCACAATTCCACCAATCACTCTGTTGCCTTTCAGAACTATGTCACATGAATTGACCTATTTAATTTCCCTGATCATTTACTAGAATTGCCATAATATTGATTTGAAAAAGGAGACCTGAGCACATAAGTGATCAAAAACATATGAGATGAATGAGTAAATGAACGGAGCTTGCATTTGAGAGGCTGAACACATTGGCAGTGACATGAAGCACATGAGAATGACAGCACTAAACGCAGCGCGCAACCTGGGAAAGAGGCTGAAAAAATACCTACTCAGCCACGGTAAAGGGTTTAGACTGTAACCAAGTACCCACCTTTTTCTAAGAGAAAGAATTACTTTTTTAAAAAATACTTTTTTCTTCTTTTCTGTTTCCTCCTTTTCCCTTGTTCCCCACTTCCTACTTAGCTCTTTAGAAATGCAATTATAACATTTACCTTTCCTTCACCAGACACTCCCTGTAGGGCAAGCTTATCTGTGTGCTTACTTGGAAGCTCTTGCTTACTTAGAAGCTCCAGAGCCAGACGTCTCTTCGACCAGGAGACTGCCTCGAGAGATAACAAATTATAACCTAAAGTATGCCCATGATGAAACTCACTCCCACTTGGAGAGTATCTCAAGACTCTGGCCACCTTACCACCTAGTTCTGCCCGCGAGGGCACCAGCTCAACCACCTGGTAGATAAAGCACCAAAGCAAGTCATTGAGACCCCCACTGGCTCACCCCCTCCCCTGCATGCCATTCATGTCAAGTCCCCCTTTGAAAACCCTTGCTTTTTTGCCCCAAAAGTGAAGCAGTACCCTTAAAGGCAGAAGCCTGTACTTCTCCCCCTCAACAAAGCTTTGGAATAAAAGTTACAAGATCAAGTTTTCTAAAACTTTTTGAAACTCAATCATTCAAATTATTTTGTACATTTTAGGATCATGTTGAATTGGGAGGTGAGAGTCGACAATTACAAATCATAAAATCACAAAAGTATTAAAACATTTGAATGGAGAACCAGACTCAGAAAAATTATAGTCTTTTAGTACACATATTCTCTGGAACAAAGCAACATATATTTGTAAGAATTTCAGAGTACATATGAAAAAAGGTACTGACAAGCTTTTAATAAGGCAAGAAAGAGTAACTAAAAATCAACATATATCCTTTATTAAATTTACATGTTTAAAATGACATTGTTACCTTGGTTTTTGGCCTGTGATTTTTATTTTTTAACATAATCCACTTAAAACAAACAAAAAAAAACAGACGTGTTTAACTTCCAGCTTTAATAGAGTAGGTTGTAGCAGACTGGTTCTGATGAGGGAAATTAGAAAAGCCAGATAAAATTTTTAAACATCTGTGTGAAGTAATAGGAAAGCTACTAATCAGCCACGATTTGAGGAACCAGATCTTGGAGAGAGGGGAGGCTCACTGAGGTGAGCCTGACTTTCTGCAAGCCCATTTTCCTATTTAGGGTATATGCCAATTCTTAGCATGGGGTAAGAAGCTGAAAAGCCAGGCAAGGGGCAGCTGTTAAGACACAGAGAAGCCTGCAGAATTTTAGACAGTTTCAAGGGCTGCAGAGACAAAAAGTGGAGTTTAGGACTGAAAAGGCATATCCTAGAGTAACTCACAGCCTGACAGGAGTTTTCTCCTTCAGATATTCCTGACTCAGCTGCCCAGAGCAGAGGCTAAGAAGCCAACGAGAAAGCAAATGAAAAGCACAATGAACATTTTGCTGAGTAGAGTTTTCAGCAAGTTCACAGTATTAGAGAGACAAAAATTAGAGTTTAGGGTCTGTCAAGGGGAAGGGGTGGTGAGAAACATCTCAGACTCTCAGTCAGTTTCCCTAGGGGCCTGGGATTAGGAGAACCAGAAGTAGACTAAACCTTAAAAGTCTGCAAAACAGCCTTAATTAGACTGAGTGCCTGATTGAAGTGATCTCTGTTCTACTTCTGACAAAGAGTAGGAAAAATACTCTCAACAGGTAGATGACATCATCCAGAGCATCTTCATACACAATACTGGACATATAATAAAAAATTGCCAGGCATATGAAGAAAGACAACCAAGAAGAAAAACAGAAGAGATAAAAAGACTCACAAGTGGCCCACACATTGAAGTTACTGAGCAAAGTTTTTTAAGATGACTGTGATGTATGTATTTGAGAAAACAGATGACAAGGTGAAGAATCTCTTTTGGTAAAGAATCTAATAGAGGCTGGGCGCGGTGGCCCACGCCTATAATCCCAGCACTTTGGGAGGTCAAGGTGAGCGGATCACTTCAGGCCAGGAGTTCAAGACCAGCCTGGCCAACATGGCGAAACCCCATCTCTACTAAAAATACAAAAATTAGCCAGGCATAGTGGTACATGCCTGTAATCCCAGCTACTCAGGAGGCTGAAGATCGCTTGAACCCAGGAGGTGAAAGCTGCAGTGAGCCAGGATCGCACTGCAGCCTGGGCAACAGAGGGAGACTCTGTCTCAAAAAAAAAAAAAAAGAATCTAATAGTAACTCTAGAACTGAAAAATACAAAACAAAATTAAGAAATTAATGGTTCTGTAACAACAAGTTAAACATAGCAGAGAGAACCAGTAAGCTCTAAGATAGGCCAGCAAAAAAATAACAAAACTAAAAAAGAAAGAAAAGGGCTAAGTATACAGAAAATGAAGGAATATATGGGACAGGGTAAAAAGTTCTAACATAAAGGTACCCGGAGTCCCAGAAAGAGAGAAAGGAACAAAACACTGTTTGGAGAGATAATGGCAGGGAATTATGAGAATTACAAAAAACCTCAAGCCGCACAGATTCAAGAAGGACTGAAAACCCCAAGCAGGATAAATACAAAGAAAACCACACCTGGGACAAGTGTTGAAAACCAAATCAATTGAGAAAAGTCTTAACAACAGCCGAAGAAAAAAGATGCAACACCAAATAACAACATAAGACTGACTGACAGCCTGCTTTTCCAAGAAAGGATGAAAACCAGAAGACAATGGGATAACATGTTTTAAAGTGCTGGGGGAACACCTGCTTCCCCATAATTCTATACACCTAGTAAAATTGTCCTTCAAAAGCAAAGACAAAATCAACTCATTTCCAGATCATAAAAACTGAGAATATTTGTTTCTAGCATATATGCACTACAAGAAATCCTAAAGGGAGTTTTTTTCATGCAAAAGGAAAAGATCCCAGAGGGAATACACAAAAAATCCGAAAGAAATGAAAAGCAATGAATAGGGTAAATATGTGGGTAAATTTAAATGAATATTTATTCCATAAAACAATCATTACAGTGTCCTATGGGGCTTTAATAAATGTATAATTAAAACAAAATACAATAATAATACAAAAGGCAGAAAGTGAGGTGAGGGAGAAGATAGGGTAAATGGAGTTAAAGTCTTCTAAGCGCCTAACATTGTCTGAAACATGATTAAATATAAGAAGCACTGGGGTAATCACTTGCACACGCACGCAGGCACACACACGCACATACACACAAAGAAAAGTAAAATGAAAACAAATGTGTAAAGAATATGTTGGAAAGTTAAAAATAATGCTTGATTAATCCAAAAGAAAGTGGTATATAAAACAGATGGGACACAAATAAGAAACAAGGAGTAACATGGTAGCTATAGCACTTAACACATCAATAATTATATTAAATGGTTTAAATATTCAAACTAAAGACCATATTGTCAGACTAGATTTTTAAAAATTCACTTATGGCTGCTTCTAAAAGATACAGATTACATATATGGGTATAGAAAAAAGTAAAGTATAGGCTGGGCACAGTGGCTCATGCCTGTAATCCCAGCACTTTGGGAGGCCAAGGTGAGTGGATCACCTGAGGTCAGGAGTTCGAGACCAGCCTGGCCAACATGGCAAAACCCTGTCTCTACTAAAAATATAAAAATTAGCTGAGTGTGGTGGCACACGCCTGTAGTCCCAGCTACTTGGGAGGCTGAGGCAGGAGAATCGCTTGAACCCAGGAGGCGGAGGATGCAGTGAGCCAAGATCACACCACTGCACTCCAGCCTGGATGACAGAGCAAGACTCCATCTCAAAAAAATATATAATAATAATAAAAAAGAAAAAGTATACAAATGGGAAAAGATCTACCATGTATCTATTAACACAAAGAAAGTTGGTATAGCTACATTAATATCAAAAAGGTAGATTATAAGGGAGTATTGCTCAAGATAAGGAAAGACATTTCATAATGAAGATATAACAACTATAACTGTATATGGTATGCACCTAATAACAGAGCCACAAAGTAAAGCAAAAATTGGCAAATATAAAAGGAAAAATAGACAAATCTAAAATTATAATGGAAGAGTTTGCCCTCTCTTGGGAACCAACAGAATGAGAAAAAAATCAGTGAGGATACAGAAGATCCGCACCTCAGGATTAACAAATTGAAATAATTAACATATATAGAACATGGAACCAAACTATCTTAGTATGCACATTCTTTTAAGTACAACATATAAATATAAAAATTGATCATATGAAGGGTCACAAAGCAAGTCTAAAACATTTCCAAGTCATCCAAAATATATTCTCTGACTACAGTGAAAGCAAGCTAGAAATCAATGGCAAAAAGAGAACTAGAAACTCCCCAACTGTTTAAAAATTAAAAAGTATGTTGTTACACTACCTTATGGGTCAAAAAAATCAAAAAGAAAAGTATAAAATATTTTAAACTAAATAATGAAAATATAACAATACTTGCAGGTGTACACAAAAGCTATGCTTAAAGGATATTATATATATAGCTTAAGGGATTTTTTTTTTCATTGAGACAGAGTCTTGCTGTGTCATCCAGGCTGGAGTGCAGTGGTGTGATCTCGGCTCACTGCAACCTCCGCCTCCCGGGTTCAAGCAATTCTGCCTCAGCCTCCCGAGTAGCTGGGATCACAGGCACATACCACCGTGCTCAACTAATACTTGTAATTTTTTAGTAGAGACGGGGTTTCACCACATTGGCCAAGCTGGTCTCAAACTCCTGACCTTGTGATCCACCTGCCTCGGCCTCCAAAAGTGCTGGGATTACAGGCGTGAGCCACCACGCCTGGCCGGCTTAAAGGATATTAATGTGTAGCCTTAAATGAAAATATTTTTTAAAAGAAAAGCTGAAAATCAAAGATACCTTCTATCTCAAAAAACTAAAAAATAAGTCATAAGTTATAGCCAAAGAGTGTAAGAGGAAATAATAAAGACAAAAGCAAGAACTCATGAGATGAAAAATAAATGTATAATACAAAAAATTAACCAGTAAAAGATTACAGAGACTACTCAAATGTATAAGACCTTGACAATATTGCATCAAAATAAGTGAGAATTACCAGGACAATAAATAGAAATGCCACTATCAGAAATAAAAAACAAGGACAGGACCACACCACCTAAAAACATTTTAAAGATCATAAGAGAATATAAAGAAAACCTCATGTGGAAATTCAGATGAAATGGACAAATTCCTAAAAAAACAGAATTTATTAAAACACACACAAAAATAGGAAATCTGAATAACATACACTATTAAAACAACTGAAGCCAGGCAGAGTGGCTCACGCCTGTAAGCCCAACACTTTGAGAGGCCAAGGTGGCAGGATCACTTGAGGTCAGGAGTTCAAGATCAGCCTGGGCAACATAGTGAGACCTCATCTTTACAAAAGTAAAATAAATAAACAAACAAACAAAAAAACATATTTTAAAACCTTCCAAGAACAAAATTTCCAGGCCCAAATGGCTTCACCAGTGAATTCTTCCAGACATTTAAAGAATAATTCTAATCTCACAAAAACCTTCCAGGGAATAGAGAAATAGGAAATACTTCCTAATTCATTTTACAAGGTCAACATATCCTTGATGCCAAAATGTGGCAAGGGCACCACAACAAAAGGAAATCACAGGTTAATCTCTCTCATGGACAAAGATAATCCTCAACAAAATATTAGCAAGTCAAATACAGCAATATATAAAAAGATATCACAACGAAGTTGTTTGTTCCAAAAGTGCAAAGTTGGTTTAACATTCAAGAATCACTGAAATTCACCATATTAACAGAATAAAATAATCATATGATGCACATAATACAGAAAAATATTTGTTACAACTCAGAACTGATTCATGATAAAAACTTAGCACAGTAGGAATAGAAGGTAACTTCCTTAATCTAATTTTTAAGTGTCCATATAAATCCCACATCAAATGTTGTACTTAATGGTGAAAATGTGATAGCTTTTCCCCTAAGATCAGTAACAAGATAAGAATACTCACCATCACTGCTTCTATTCAACATTATAAGAGAGATCCTAGCTAGTGCAATGAGACAAAGGGGAAAAAGTATAAGGATCAGAAAGAAGAAAAAGCTGTCATTATTTACAGAAAAATAAACGGTCTACATAGTAAGGCCCCTAAAATCTAAAAACTATTGAAATTAATAAGTGAATTTAGCAAGGTCACTGAAATAAGGTCAACATATAAAATCAATTCTATTTCTTTCTTTTTTTTTTTTTTTGAGATGGAGTCTCGCTCTGTTGCCCAGGCTGGAGTGTACAGTGGTGTGATCTTGGCTCACTGCAATCTCCACCTCCTAGTTCAAGCAATCCTCCCACCACAGCCTCCCGAGTAGCTAGGATTACAGGCACACACCACCACACCCGGCTAATTTTTTTTGTACTTTTAGTAGAGACAGGGTTTCACCATGTTGGCCAGGCTGGTCTCCAACTCCTGACCTCTGGTGTTCCACCTGCCTCCACCTCCGAAAGTGCTAGGATTACAGTCATAAGCCACCGCACCCGGCCTAATCAATTCTATTTCTACATCCCAGGAATAAACAATTAGAAAATGAAATTCTAAAGTGCCACAGAGAGTCAAATATCATATGATCTCACTTGTGTGTGGAATCTAAAAAAGCCAAACTTACAGAATTAGAGAATCAAAAGGTGGTTACTAGAGGCTGGGAGGTGGGGGCATGGGCAGGGAAAGGGGCAATGCTGATCAATAGGCACAAAGTTACAGTTAGAAGAATAAGTTTTGCTGTCCTATTGCACAGCACTGTGACTGGGGTTAATAATAATGTGTTGTATATTTCAAAATTACTAAAAGAGGATTTTAAATGTTCTCATCACAAAGAAATGATAAATATTTGAGGTGATAAATATGCTAATCGGCCTGATTTGATCATTCCAAAATGTAGTAGATTTCTATCAAAACATCACATTGTACCCCATAAATATATACAGTTATCGTCAAGTCAAAAATAAAAATGAAAAAATAATAATGTTTTTTAAGTTAATAAAAAAAAATAAAAAACAAGGTCAAAACCTGAGACTGGAGGGGCCCTCAACAGTTATGCTAGGAAGATTGTCCTGCTGAGAGAATATAAATAAAATGTTTTAAAAAAATTTTGCCAGGCCAAGTGGCTCACACCTGTAATCCCAGCACTTTGGGAGGCCAAAGGTGGCGGATCACTTGAGGTCAGGAGTTGGTGACCAGCCTGGCCAACATGGTGAAACCCTGACTCTACTAAAAATACAAAAATTAGCTGGGTGTGGTGGTGTGCACCTGTAATTCCAGCTACTAGGGAGGCTGAGGCAGGAGAATTGCTTAAACCTGGAAGGTGGACGTTGCAGCGAGCCAAGATCGCACCACTGAACTCCTGCCTGAGTGACAGAGCAAGACTCCATCTCAAAAATAATAATAGTAAAACAAAAAATAAAAATGTAAGTGGCAGTAACAATAGCATAAAAATAATCAACGACCAGTAACATCACTTTTAGAGATTTATAACCCTTATAACCCAGTATATCTGCCCTTTAAAGAGGGTAATTTATACTCAGCTCAATCTCATTGTTGCAGACTGCTCTAATCTTTATTAAAGAAGCCATAAATACCTTATTGAACCTATAGTCTCCAAAAGTTTTAATGTTGGTTCAAATTATTTTAAAACATTCAGGGGTAAAAATCAAGTCATTTTTAAACTCTGAGTAACATATAAAAATATTTTGTATTTTCTTGTTTAGTATCTCAAAATGAAATTTAAAGATGAAATAACCTAACACAAAATTAAACTATGCATATGTATATATATATACATATACGTTTCAACTGTAATGTAAAAGAGAAGTGAAATAAGTTATTTACAATAAAGCAACATGTATTTCAATATGCAAATGCTCAGACGACTATATTAGAAAACATAATTAAGTAGGTAGCTACTTGCACTTGTATATAGATTTTATGATTCAGGTGTGTTGTACTGGTGTCTAAAACACAAGTGGCATTGCTTTGGGTAAGTGATTTCCTGAACAAAATTCAGTATAATCTTCCTTAGATTTACACAGCATTTTTAATCCTGGAAGTTTCAGTGTACAGTGAAACCAATTTATGTTCTAAGCCCAGAAAAGTATAGAAGGTTTTACTACATCTTCAGCAAAACATTTGAAAATTGCACAGGACATGAGCTAATTCATCATTGAATGGAACAGCCCAGAACACCGGAGGGCACTATCATTTCTAGTTTCTGCCAATGGCAGCGCCCCTCAATCATATGACCATCAAATAACATACCTGCAGATTTCCAGTGTGTAGCCCAAAAAGCAATACCAGACCCATTGATTACCACTGGCATAGACCAGTCTCTAATCCCAGCTTAACCACATGCTACCCCTGAAGCTTTGAGAAGTCACTCAGTCATTTACAGATCACCCCAGCTAAAGTATCATTTCACCAACTCACCCAGTCACATGCAGCAGTGACAAAAATCCTTGAAAGAATTTGAGTTTTCTCTAAAAGTATCAAAGTAGTCAAGATGTTTAAGAAAAATCACAACTTTTTAAAAATTTTTTTACACTTATTTTGAATTACAGATTGGAGGATGAACACCACACTATTTTTTAATATTTAGAGCCTAAAAGTCTGAATCTGACCCTGCTCAAACCCAATTAGATTTTGTAATAACTTCCAGTGAAAAGTTATCTCAGGAACCATTGGCATAGACAACTTTTTTTTTTTTTTTTGAGACAGGGTCTCACTCTGTCACCCAAGCTGGAGTGCAGTCTTGCTATCTCGGCTCACTGAAACCTCCGCCTCCCAGGTTCAAGCGATTCTCTTGTCTCAGCCTCCCCAGTAGCTGGGATTACAGGTGCATGCCACCATGCCCGGCTCATTTCTGTATTTTTAGTAGAGAGGGGGTTTCACCATGTTGGCCAGGCTGGTCTTGAATTCCTGACCTCAAGTGATCTGCCACCTCAGCCTCCCAAAGTGTTGGGATCACAGGTTGAGCCACCACGCCCAGTCATGACAACTTTTAAATCCTACTATTAAAATGTTATGTGTAACTTTGTTTGCTAAACAAATGCCATGTTTGCCATTTTAAAATAAAATCTAGAAAAATAACAGAAAAATTGGAATGAGAACTATTTTCTTTGACCTCTTATAGACCAAAAAAAAATTCACCCAAATTTTCAGTCTTCATTCTTATTATTTTGTGCCTCTAAGACCTTGCTGCATAACATACTCAAAGAACTTAGTAAAAAGAAAATTTGGAGCTGAATTTGAAGAGTTAAAATATCTGTTTTCCAAATAAAAACAACCTAAAAAATTAGTCAAAAGCCATCATTTTCTAAGGTTCACATCTCCCTTTTTATATAGGTAAGTTAATTCTAAAAATGTTGACAATTTTATTAAAAACTGTAATTTTACAGAGTACAGGGCTACTTATTTTCAAGTACTTGCCTACCATGTGAATGGTTTTGGAGATAAAAAAAGACCTGATTTTGAATCATGGCTCTGCCATTAACTAGCTATGTATCCCTGTACAAAATTCTTAATCTATTTCTTCAGAATAAAATACCACCTACCTTGCAGTGTTGTGACAATATGTAAAGCACCTCCCAGAGAGCTTTTCACATAACAGTTGTTAATTAAATAGGAGCTATGGTTCTTATTGTTATAATTAGCTGTCATGTTTGCCAATATCTACTTATTAACTCACTCAACTATTTTCTTTTTAGTTGCCTTATACTTAATTTCTTTTTCCTGGCTTGCAAAACATTTTGAGATATGCTAGATCAATGTTACACAATGTCTTTTGTATTTAAAAACCTCACTGAATTGTCCCTAAGATGAACTAAAAAGATGGAAAAGGCAGGCAGGCAGTTCTTAAGGCACAAGTCAACATTTACTGAACCACTCATGTGATGGTAGCTTACAAAAATTCACTTTCTGAACCTGCAACATCCTGGTGATTTCTTTGCCCCATCAACCTCTTATAATTTTACCTGATTCTCTTTTTCAGTCTTTACAAAAAGAATTGACTTCCAAACAATTCATAATATTTTAATAGTTTTGTTGTGGTCCTTTTCAACACAGAGACTCTAATTTTTAGTGTTTTTATGTCTCATATTCAGGACACCAACTGGTAATTTGGGACCCAGGAATGGCTCTCACGGTCTGGTTGCTATGGTCACACCTACACACACACACACACACACACACACCACCTCACACCATACACTTATCTGGTCTCTGTCAACACATACCCATCTCCCAGCAGCCCTAAAGGGATACTTTGCTCTCAAAGAACTAGGCTTGGAAAAGGCCTGGGGGACCTTAGAAATACAGTAATTCATAACCTATTTGGAGTCTTAGAATCCTTTAAAAATCTGAGGAAAACTATTGACTCTCTCTTTCTCTCTCTCTCTGTCTGTATATATATGCATATAAAGCTGCATTTCACAGACTCCTTGAAAACCATTACTGAGCTATGATTTATTTCAGTGTTCCTCAAACTTCTTTGACTGAAACTCACAGGAAAAAAAAAAACCGATGTGATGTCAGAATACGGCTTATACCCACATGCATAAAGATAAATATCTATAACAGAAGTTTCAGGAAACAGTAGTTACCTCTGCTATGTGCAATGATTTCTGACAGTTTCTGTTCTATTTCATCGATCTAAAATGTTGCCTAAGACTCACTAAGTTGCTTTCTCACCACTCACAATCTGAAAAACAGGAATCTAGTCTAATAGCTCTCCATTTTAGCGATAAAGAAACTGAGACCCAAAGAAATAGAGTCCTGTCCTAGGTCACAAATGAGTTATAACTGAACAAGCCAGAGCCTACCAATCTTGACTCCCAACCCAAGGCTCTTCCCAGTACAAAGTAAAACAAAAATTCTAAATACCGGCCAGGCACGGTGGCTCATACCTGTAACTCCAGCACTTTGGGAGGCCGAGGCGGGTGGATCACCTGAGGTCAGGAGTTCGAGACCAGCCTGGCCAAGATGGTGAAACCCCATCTCTACTAAAAATACAAAAATTAACCGGGCGTGGTGGCATGGGCCTGTAATCCCAGCTACTCGGGAGGCTGAGGCAGGAGAATCGCTTGAACCTGGGAGGCAGAGGTTGCAGTGGGCCGAGATCGCACCATTGCACTCCAACCTGGGCGACAGGGCGTGACTCCATCTCAAAAAAAAAAAAAAAAATTCTAAATACCAACTCTCCTTAGAAAAAGGCTGGGGATCTGAGCTTAAAACACACTGATACACTGAGAAACCAGGAGTGTTTCCATTTCAAACAATGTTGAATATTAACCTTAACCTGGGCCTCCAATTCAAGCAGCTTTAATTTTTTTTCTAAATCATGTCCATGGCCTAGCATGACTTGGCAAATAAGCAATTTTTTTTTTCTCTCCAGAAACCCTTTCTCCAACCACTGAAAACAACACAGGAAAATCCAACATTCTTCCTAGAGTTAATTTTAAAATACTTTGATTTCACACACAGGTAATACCTACTCTTAAGATGCTGGCTTAGAAACAGGAGTGAACAGGTCCTCTTCCCCCTTACCAGGCACATGCATAGCTGTTTTCTTCCCCACTAAGGCTGCTTCATTAAAATTTAAACGTCAAAACCACATAGATCAATACGTGGCTGTGAATGATCCAGAGCCTATGAGATGTTAATACAAACACCACCAGCTACCTGGCCCTTTTGAAAGCCTCAATTATGGAAAGTGGGATTGTTTAAGAGCCTTCATTACAGTTTCGTAGATTAAAATACCATTCTCTCCATTGGCATTAGATTGTGAGTGGGGTTTTTTTTTCCTTCTTTTTCTAATGTTGAATATGTATATATCATTGCCCACCACGAGGTGGGAATCCTATAACAAGCCAGAGACGGTGGCTGACTCCCGAGGACTGGAGAAGGCCAAGCCCCGCGGCGCTGCGCGCAGAGAGCTTTGGGGCCTGCGTTGTTGCACGTCTCACCCAAAGAACTTAGCTCCGGCGTGGGGAGGGTCGCTGCGCGAAACCTGCCCAACGGGCTGCGTGCCAGCCCCCACCTGCGCACCCAAGCCCCCGAGCCCAAGGGGCAAGCGCCGGGGCCTCCTTAAAACACAGCGCACTCGAAGCGCAGACTGCTGCGCAGCGGCTCGCACGGAAAGCGGGTGAAAAGAAAGGGGGGCCGGCGAACCCTAAAATTAGCGTTCCGGAAGCAGGGGCCCGGCACCGCCGCGCGGAGACGGCGTCCTCCGCCCGGACGGGCACGCGACTCCGCTGCGCCCTTCCTGGGCACGCGGGCCAGGAGCACGACCAGCGCAATAGGAAGGAAGGGCTCCCCCTGGAAACGGGATCGGGGAACACGTGTAGCCTCCGGAGACCTAGGGGTCCATCGCTCCTCCCCCAACTGCGGCAGAATATTTAAGGAGCCTCCGAATTTAAAACCCCAGAATCCTCCAGAATGCTTGTTGTTGAACTTAAAATTTGGTTGGCTCATTTTTCGGTTAGCCCTTTCCTTTTTTGAGTTTTTATTTAAATTCGTTTCTCTCTTCCCCCATCCCTCTAACAGAATTAGAGTGTTGGGAGGTGAGGGGGAGGTAAGGTGTGGAGGCTGATGGAGTGGGGGTAGTTTACATCCCAGCATTTCTTTGCAAGATAAACAGTTCTGAAGGTCAGCGACGGCTCCCCATGGAGCGCTTCTAAAAAGATTAATGTTCATTAAAGGATTCTCCGTCAGCGTTTGCCTTCAGAACCCAAACTGTTTTAAGTCCCAATTATTTCAGATATTCCAATTCTCATAATGCATTGAAAACCTGTATATTCATTATTAACTATTGTGAACACCCCCAAAATAAAATTATCAAAAATCTGGGAGCTAGTCTAAGGAAATCTATGAAAGCTGTGTTACTCAGCCAAGATTAAGAATGCAAAAATAGGGTTATATTTAGGACTATAAAAATGGAAAGCTGAATGACACAATATTTGGAAACTAGAAGCTAGTCATTTTTTAAAGTCATCATGTTTATTATATAACTAGAATGTTAATATAGGTATGGTAATTTTAAACTAGCCATTAATACAAACTAAATATGTCTGTGGAGTGACATCGCATCCCTAGCATCTTTTAGCCTTTAGCCCTCTCTTAGCCATCTTTCTGCAGTCCGCCCCTTACCTTTATTTTCAGAATCTTTCATTCTCTGCTTCCTCCCTCTGCTGCAAATGAGCAGGAAAGTCCGGCTGATTCTGCAACCCTGACTTTTGATTTGTCATTCACAGTCAGCGGTCTCGGGGGCGAAGTCTCTCAACGGAGGAGCACTCGGGCTATGATAATTGCATGCAAGTCGGTGTGCGGGGTTATAATTTTGCTTATGCTGGAGCGGAAAGGATGGGGATGAAGGCAGACGTAAACACAAATTCCAAAACATGGCATGGAACCGGATCTGGAGCCGAGGCTTGCCTTTCCTTCCCTCAGGATAGGGAACCAACTGTTTAGCGCCTCCTCATCTCTGAATTGAAAGGGGAATGTCTGTGCCATGCACCAGGTTTATTTTCAGATGGTAAGTCAGCTTTGGAGGAGGATTCAGAGCCCTGTACTTTCATTCATTCATTCAACATTTATTTTACCTCTCTGTGGACCAGGCTGTATGCTAAGTACTGGGGATACAACAGTGCACAGGACCAGCCCTCGGTCCTCACGCTGCTCACAGGCTGTTACAGTACAGAGGCATACAGGGCAATATAATGGGCTGTGTCTGCTGCATGGACACAGGTTATTGAACCCATTTCACCCAGGCCTAAGTTGATACTCAAGGAGGCTTTAGTGACTGGTTGTAAGCCATTGAGTGGCAGACTAGGAATATGTATGAGGATGCCAAACCATAACACCCCTCTGTTGGGGAGCAAGGAGGATTCAAGTAAATCTTTCAGTCATTCAATTCAAACTTACTTTGAATCATTCCACAGCTCAGATTCATTCATTAATTCAATCATTTATTCAACACGTGGTTATTTGTGCCAGGCACTATTCCACCTCTTAGGGTTTCAGGTCCCTGCCTTCTTGGTTATTGCACTCTGGTGGGAGGATTCAGACAGGTAATATAGACATATAATAAATGGCAATAAATGCTGTGAAGAAAAATGAAACATGGTAATGAGGTAACAGGGGTGCCATTTTAGGTAGGGTTGCCAAGGGAGGTGCCATTTAATTTGTTTTATGGATAATAGGTAAGAGTCATCACAGTCTCTTCCAAACAGCTTCACTCAGAAATTGTTTTTTAAGTTCTGAACCCTCCCAGTCTCCTCTGCTTCATGCATACTCACTGATGGATGGTGTTTATTCCCCATGATACAGATTAGCAAACTGGTATCCAGAAAGACTAACTGACTCAAATACATAACCTAACTAAATTGGAAGAAGAGCAACAGAAAGGAATACATCTTCCTGTTACTCATCCTCAGAAATTACTGAGTTAAATGCAATATTGATATTAAAAATTTCCTGGACTAGGCATTAAAAGGGTTGAAGACCTGTCTCTACTGTCTCTACCTTTTATTAGCTGCGTAGTGTAGGGCAAATGACAGAACCTCTCTGGCATCAGTTTTCTCATCTGTAAAGTGGGAATAATCATAGCTGTCCTATATATGTACTGGGCTGTTCATATCATCAAAAGGGAGAACAGAATTTTGTAAACAAAACACTAAATAAATGCAGGGTATAATTACCAACTGCTTGGGCACATTTAAGAGGACTAATTGTCAGTGTTCACCTGTTCATTACTTCAACCCAAGAGTCAAACATAGCTATAATGTGAGAGCTTTCATGGCTACTAAGGACTTCTTGTTGCCACAGCTGGAAGATTCCTTGAAAGTTTTGGGAAACTTTAAGTATTTGTTTTTGGTTCCCATCTTTCCTTGGCAGTGGATAATATCTTTCTGCTGTCTTTGACAGCTTAAGACCAATAAGGAAAATCTGCCTTCATTACAACTCCTTACTGGCCACCAAATGCGACATTGGCTAAACCACATCAGAGAAACCGGCATCTTTATCTCCAAGGACCAAGTCCAGGATAGCCAAAATGTGCCCAAGAGGAGCACTTTGGGGGGCTGAGAAGGTGAGGGAGTAGGTGGTGAGAAGCCATCATTCATGCACTCTTTTATTCAATAATATTCATGGTGCCAGGCACTGCTATGAACACTAGGAATGACACGGTGCTGAACAAAACATTCTCTGTCCTCAGGAGCCTGTGGCCTCAGGTCAAGAGGCTTCCACTAGATATGCCAATTTACCAAAGTAGGCAAAGAAATGCCAAAGCGTGGATTTGAATAGTAGGGCAAGAGCTCTAAAGCAGAAGAGGACTGGGAGAGGTGGCTGACGCCTGTAATCCCAGCACTTTAGGAGGCCAAGGTGGTAGGATCGCTTGAGGCCAGGAGTTCAAAACCAGCCTGGTCAACATAGTGAGACCCTGTCTCTATGAAAATTTTTTTTTTTAGTTAGCTGGGCATGGTGGCATGAGCCTGTGGTCCAGCTACTTGGGAGGCTGAGATGGGAGGATGCTTGAGTCTGGTAGGTCAAGGCTGCAGTGAGCCATGGGCAATAGAGCAAGAAAGACCCTGGGTGACAGACCAAGACCCTGCCTCAAAAAATAAATAAAGAGAATGGATTCAAACATGGGCCCTGCCATGTACCAGCCCCTGGAATATAAGCTGAGACAAGTTGCTGCGCCTCTCTTAAGTTTCCATTTCCTGATCTGCAGGATGGAGGTAATAATGGTACCCACCTTCCACAGCTTGGTGAGGCTCAAACAAGTTAATAGGTTTAAGGTTCATAACACAAAGCCTGACACATCAAGTAAGGGCTCCATAAATGCTGTAAGATGAGTAGTATTACCTTGTAACTGGGTCAAGTTTATTCCCCTAAGCTTCAGTTTCCTCATAAAATACAGAAATTAATAACTAGTTTGTAGGATTATTGTGAGAATTACATATGAAGAAGAATATGAAGTCTTTGGCATAAAGGAATAGCCAATCACCAACCACCCTCACTCCGGCCCTTTTTAAAATTTTTTTATTTTTAATTTTTGTGGGTACATAGTAGGTGTATATATTTATGAGGTATATGAGAAATGTTGATACAGGCATGCAATGTATAATAATCACATCATGGAATATGGAGTATCCATCCCCTCAAGCATTTATCCTTTGTGTTACAAACAATCCAATTATACTCTTTCAGTTATTTTAACATGTACAATTAAATTATTATTGACTCTAGTCACCTTGTTGTGCTATCAAGTACTAGGTCTTATTCATTCTTTCTAACTATTCCAGGCCCTTTTTAATCAAGAAGGCTCCCTAGACCAAAATTTTAAAAAGACCAATGCTAGGAGTAGAAAAGAAGTGGGAGAAGGGAAGGAAAACACCCATTTATATTGCAAAAGGAATAATGTTTTCAAAAGTGTAGTCATTTCTAGGGGTATCTGCATTGTACCAAACATTATATTTTGAAAAGTTTCAAACATATCAAAAAGTTGAAAGAATTGTACAGTGGGCCCCATATCCAAGTATATTTGGGTATATTTGCTTCATCACATGTGTCTGTTTCTCTATCCAACTTTAATTGATCTTTTTTCTCCTAAAGTTGAAAGAGGTTTGAAGGCCTCATCAAATAAAAAGAGGCTTTATTTTCCCTCCTGACACCATATTTCCAGAAGCACAGGCCTCCTGATTCTGCGGCCGTTCCAAGCAGAGCTGGGTGAACTCTCAGAAGTCTTGTCCTGTCACACAGTAAATCTCAAGGCCACATCCAGTTAAGGACAAGGATGGATTCTAGAGCTTTCCACAACAAGGCAATGTCTCTGTCAGACCCCAAGCTTCAGATAAACTGGTACTGAGGATGATTAGGAACAGCCGCTAATGGAAAAGATGCTCTATCTCAAAAACTGGGTTTAGGAAAAGCTTCAGGCAGGCTCCACTGGCCACTAAGTCCCTTGACAACCCTGCACATCCTTGTCTTGTTAGATGCCACTCTGAGTCACTAAACCAGTGACTCATGCTCAGCAAGCAAGGCCATCTTGAGAGCTAAACTGAAGGGAATTTTCAAGAACAACGAGTGAAACCCTGAATTGAAAGGGAATAAGGCTTTTTATTGTCTGAGCAAAAAAACAAAAATGAAAGGAAAAAAACACTGCTGTCATACTGTGGATTAAACTTTCCCAGCTGCAAATTTTACTCTGAGGAAAAACTGGGCACCAAAAAAAAAAGCTTTTACACTCCCTTGGAACTTTTGAGGCATTTTAATTCTTGATTAGTTGATAGGTAAGCAGAGACCCAGAATATATATTCCAAATTAGGCAGATGAAATGATCTTTCAATAACTTGTCTAGAGCTTCTGCTAGCTTAGTCATTCATTCCCAAAGAGTGGCTTCACCTGCAACACCACATTTGGTCTTTCTGCATCCAGCCAAGCCTCTGTCTGGCTTGCTCAGAGCACCCAAATGGCCAGAAAAGAGGTGAGAAGGAAAAAGAAAATGTGCTTACTGCGGGGAGGGGATAGATGTTTAGGATTAGGGCTAGCCACAGAAGAGGGCAGCATGGCTTATATGGAGTACCTACTATATGCCAGGCTATTTTCTTATCATCATCATCATCATCCATTTTTTGAGAACTTATTACTTGGCAAGCATTGTCTTTAATGCAAGGACTCACAGCAGACCTCCCGGGTTTGAATCCCAACTTACTAGTTGTATAACTTTGGAAATGTTACTTAACCTCTCTCTGCTTCAGTTTTTCTTATGTGTAAAATGAAAGCTGTAAAACAGGTTTATTGTAAGAATAAAATAAAATCACATACTCTTTAAGACAGTGGCTGGCACATAGTGTGACAAAAGCAATGCACACATTAACTCTTGCCATTTGTTTTGTCAGATGAGAAAAATGAGGCAGAGAGGCAAGGAGACTTGCCAAAGGAGACACACAGCTAAACACAGCAGAGTCCAGAATCGTCATGTCATTTATTTCTCACACAGTCCTGTAAAGGAAATGGGAAGGAAGGAGAGTGGCTTCACCTGCTACACCACACTCGGTCTTCCTTTTAGTGGTGAGAGGTTGGAAACCCAAGACGGTCTAGTAATTTACATGTCACAAGTTGGCAAGTAGGAGAGTTGAGATTTAAACCCACATTTGCTGGCTGTAAAACCCTTGCTCATCCTACTAAGTCAGTGGTTCTCAACCTTTAGCATGTGTCAGAATTACTGCAGAGTTTATTAAAACACATTTCCAGGTTCCAGCCTCCTATCCCTCCCCATCCTCCCACCCCTCAGTTTGTGATCTGGTAGCTCTGAGATGGGGGCCTAGAATTTGCATTTCTAACAAGGTCCTGAGTGATGCTGATGCTGCTGCTCTCATGCTGCTGGTCTGGAGACCAACCTTGGAGAAGCACAGCTCTCTACAATCATGCACCTGTATGCAGAACAGGTGGTAGGAGAAGGGCCAGAGCCACAGACCCAAAGATTGTGGGTCAGTGAGGTTTTCCCACTCTGACAAAGTGTTGGTTACTTCCCAGAGCCTGGCTAACAAACCTTGTATTTACACAGCCCTTTCATTTTTATGGTCTCATTTGATCTCTCTAATATCCTTAGGAATAGGCTGGGTAGGGATCATTACATCCATTCAATGTGGCTTATTTTTAGGGACATATGGCTAGACAATGGCAGTGAGAGAATAAACCACTGATCGACGTGACAGAAATTCTGTCCTCTTTCTTCTCCAAGTAAATTGTTCTGCAAAATACTATCTACTGATGGAAACTGACTCTAGTTCCAACCTGTGTCTTCCCAGAGAATACCACAGCTCAGGAAAGGGCTCCTCAACCACCACAGGGTTTAGAGGAGGGAATTTCTGGTGGCAGGAACTCAAGGCCAGTTATCTACCATAATTCAAGGGCTAGAGAAGTCTACTGCTCATAAAATGCTTTTGTCATTTGCTCCCTTTTCTGTAACCTACGGACTTTGATATTTGAGTAAAATATGGTTCTCTGGAATGGACGGAAGCATTTGGAGGGTTAATTTCAACTCAGCACAGCTTGTTCATATTCCCATTTAGAACTACTGGCATGATTAAGTACATTTTTAAAAGTTGTTTAGACCTCTAAACCAACAAATAATTCATATCCAGAATATTTAAAGAGTTCCTAAAATGGATAGAAAAAAAAAAAACCCAAGTTAAAGAAATGAGAAAGACATCAATAGGCCTTTCACAAAGGTTCACACAAGAATGGCCAATATTCATGTGAAAAGATACTCAGCTTCATTATTCATCAAGAAAATTCAATATAAAACAACATGGAATATCATTTCATACCCATCAAATTAGCAAGCATTTAAAAGTCTGACCATATTCAGTAAGGAATCGGGGAGCTTACACACTGTTGGCAGAAACTGAATTAGCACAAATGTACAAAGGTCAACTTGGCAATATCTCTCAAAATCAAAACTATATATATATATATACACTTTGATGCAGTAATTGTCCTTCTAGATATTTATGCTATATTTTTAGTGACAAATGTTCACAGTGTAAATTTCAGAGTCATTCTCTTTGGAAATATATATAAATGAAAGGAATCTTTCATTCCAGACATATTTATTGAATGTCTGCTATGTTCAGGACACAGTGTTAGCATGAAAAGATGACAGGAGTCCCTAGAAGCTATGTTCCTTCTCCCCTGCAGCCTCCTGATGAAAAAGAAGAAGGTGGTAGAAAGATGGATGCTGCTGCAGAAGACCTTCTGGTTGACCCAGAAGGGTTAACTTCCTCAAAGAAGCCTCCAGCTGTGGTTGCTTCCCAGAGCACACTGAACTTTTAAACATATTTTGAGTGTGATCATATGGTTGAAATCTAGACTAAGCATTAATCTAGACTAATAGTAGTCTGGACTCTTATGAAAATCTAGACTATTATTATTCTATACTAACAATAGTATACTAATAGTAGTCCAGATTTTCAGCCATATTAATATTATGGTTTGCTAATAATTTCTAGACTTTTCTAGGTTTTCTAGACTATTTTCTAAGAATAGTCTAGATTTTCAACCATATTAGGTTTTGTTTTATTAATATTAATACATACAATAGTAAACCTAATATTAATTTAAAAATAACCAGCCCTTTGTGAACCTCTATGTACCAGAAATGCATTTAATCATCACAGTTACATGACATAGGAATTGTCATCCTCATTTTTCAGATAATATATAACTCCATTTTTGAAAGACTAAGGATGCTGTCTGATATCACACAGTTTATTAATGTGCCATTTATTAGTGGCAGATTTAAATCATAGCCTGTGTGATGTCAAAGTGTATGATTCTAGATGCCCAAAGTGATGTTAACATCATCATAAGAAATTCAGGTTAACTTTAAAAAATCAAATAAAATTGAGATATAGATTTATTGCATAATATTTATTCGTTTTACTTCCCTCTTCCATGAGTATAGCTATTGAAACATGTTTTTTCATGTGTGGAGGGAGATGTGGCAGAAAGCATGTTGTATAGGTAGGCAGGCCTGAGTCTGACACTCACCAGTCACATGACCTCCAGCATATCACTTAGTGCCGCTTGTTTCACCTTCCCTTATATATAAAATGGGGGAAATACATAACATCTGCCCTCTCTCCTTCCAGGAGTATTGTCAAGATCTAAACAAAATCCTGTAGTTGAACTATTCTATAAGATGTCAAGTATCATGTAACATTAGATATTATAATGGCTTTATCCCCAGGGCTTATGGGGGAAGGGGAAGATAGATAGTAGAGGAATGTAGTGAGCAGCCAAGATCCTATCTAAGAAAAGAGAGGTGTGGGATGGCAATGAGCCCTGGGAAGCTGTGAGTAAACGCTAGGTCAGGAACGCAGAAGCGGAGATGGTTGTATAGGCACTAAAGATCTGGTTTTAAAAATTATAAAACTAATGCAGGAACAGAAAACCAAACACCAGTTGTTCTCACTTATAAGTGGGAGCTGAACAATGAGAACACAAGGACACAGGGAGGGAACCAACACACAATGGGGCCCGTGGTGGTGAGGGCAGGGGAGGGAGGGCATCAGGAAAAATAGCTAATGCATGCTGGGCTTAATACCTAAGTGATGGGCTGATAGGTGCAGCAAACCACCAAGGCACACCTTTACCTATGTAACAAACCTGAACATCCTACATGTGTATCCCGGAACTTTAAAGATTTTAAAAATTAAAATAAAAATTATAAAACTAGAACACTTATTCTAATCCAAGTTACTACAGTGGCAATATTCATCTATTCCTCTTTTGTAAGCATTCACACAACATCTGGAATAACACTATGCATGTAATTATCACTCAAGGAATACTTGTTGCAATCATCGATCTCATTCAAGCTCATGATAAAAAGTGGTCAGCCTTCGGCCCTATTAAGTTTCAGCAATAGTTCTTTTTGTTTGTTTGTCTGAGACAGAATCTCACTCTGTGGCCCAGGCTGGAGTGCAGTGGTGCAATCTCAGCTCACTGCAGCCTCTGCCTCTTGGGTTCAAGCGATTCTCCTGCCTCAGCCTCCCAGGTAGCTGGAACTACAGGTGTATGCCACCACGCCCAGCTAATTTTTGTATTTTTAGTAGAGACGGGGTTTCACCACCTTGGCCAGGCTGGGCTCGAACTCCTGACCTTAAGTGATCCGTCCGCCTGGCCTCCCAAAGTGCTGGGATTACAGGGGTGAGCCACTGCGCCCGGCCTCAGCAATAGTTCTTGATGACAGTATGGAAAGAATTTTGTTGGTGCACTGACTTTTAAAAAGTAGGAACACATACTTAAAAGCCGGCAAGATGACAATGACAAGCTGCAGAGTCTCCCTAACAACCACCAATAGAAAAGCTTGTTTCCAATGCAATAAATAAATATTTGAAAGATAATTATTGCTGGTCATTTTCAAATTTATTTTTATAATGCTTAATAGGTGCTAACACTTTATAACTACTAACTCGTTTAATTCATTAATTTATTTAATCCTCAAAACACCGGGGGTGGGTGAGGGGGACTATATCGATGGCAGGGTCCTGGTGCAATCTGGCTCTGCCCTGCATCCGGTCGGCCATTTTAGAAATAAGGCATGTCAACCCCCCAGAGGAAGGATCCTCAGATGATGGAAACAGACAAAAAGGACAAGACAAGACACATTCATAAGCAGTATCTACACAGTACCAAGCCCTGCACTTAGCCTCGTGGGGGATGCAAAGATGAAATGGATGAGAATGTGGAATCTTTAATACCAGATGAACAGTGACAAACGCTCTACAGGTGACGAAATGCTAAAGGAGGGGTTACAGGTGGCAGGAACCACAGAGATTTCAGCGAGGAGACTGCATTTGTGCTAGTCTTGGCAGGAGGGTAGGAATCCGGCAGGCTGAGATGCGAGCATGGACACTGCAGACAGAGAAAAGCCGGGAGCCCCCAGATCAGGTCACTTCCCTGCTTAGCACACTTCAGTGTTTTCCCAGCTCACGTAGAATAAAATCCGAACTCCTCTTCATGTTCTGCCCAGACCTCGATCCAGGCCCTGCATCCCTCTCTTTCCCCTTGCTCAATTCAGGCACTCTGGGAACCTTTCCACTTGCTATTCTCTATTACTCGGCTTCACGCTAGAGTAACTCCTAGTCAGTCCTCGGGTCTCCGCTGACTTGCAATGCCTCGGAGAGGCCTTCCCAGTCCGCCTGCCATGGAAGCTCGGGGACCTGCCTTTTTTCCTCTGTCAGCAGACTGATTCCCTCTAAGCGCACATAGCAATGTGTACCGGGCTTTCTCTGTTTTGCGTGTGTAATGTCTGTCTTCCTCTCTAGAAGTAGTTCCAAGATCCGGGCTTTGCCCATCGTGTTCTCCGGCCAAGGCAGATGGAGGGGCTCGATAAAAATTGTGGAATGAATGAATGGAGTGAGTCAGTGATTGGCTGTGAGTTGAGGCCCTGGCGAGGACAGGACTGAGTGTGCTTGGAAATAGTTTATCGTGGCGAGAGCTTCGAAATCACCGCAGGCAGGTAGAGAGGAGGTGGGTACAGGGCGGGAGGACCTTGAAGGGAGCCTCGGGTTCTGATTCATTCCCCCAGTAGGCACTGCATTGCAGGCGCCAGGCCAGGTGCTGGGGGCCGGGGACAAGCTAACCTCAGTGAGGCTGTGTCGCCGCGCCACCGTGGCTTCCCTGTGTCCAGAGCCAAAGCAACGAGCAGGGGCTAGAGGAAAGGAGACTGTGCCGACATCAGCCCCTGCGCTTCCCCAGCGGTCCCGGTACCCGCGACCGAGGGTCGGGTTCGGGCGTCGCCTAGGCATCCAGGCTCCCAGGGCCGGGAACGCGACCCGAGAGACCGCCGGGGACGGCCCCGCCGCCGCTGCGCCCCTGCCTCAGGGTAACAGGTCCCGACCGGCCGCGCCCACACTCACCCTGCGCCGCCTGGCGAGCTGAGCGTGGCCTCCACAGCCGCCGGGTCGCCTTCCACGGCCGCCGCAAGGAAAACAGCTTCCGGCTCTTCTGGCCTCCCTTCTCAGTGGCGCCCATCGGTGCGCCGCGCCCTCCCCCGCCGCGGTCGCCCGAGCCGAGCGCCACCGCTCGCCGCCGCCGCCGCGCGTCTGCCAGGTGCCGGGCCGCTGCTGGGAGATGCGCGCCGGGGGCGGAGCTTGGGGCCGGGAGCCGTGGCTGGCGCCGACAGGGGAGGCTGCCCGGCTCCGCCCACACGGCGGCGCCTGGCGCCCGAGGCGTGCGGGTGCGCGCGGGCCCGCGCCGCTCACTCGGGGGGCACCGTTAGCACCCTTTATTAACACAGGAGTCCTAGGGGGCTCTCACCCGTTTTATCTCCCTGTTACAAACCATACACTCCACACTCCGAGAGGGTAAGGCATCTGCCCACAATCACACAGCGCTAAAGAAATTCCAGAGCCCTAGACTCTGACGATGTTTACTCACACCGTGCTACCGCCTCAAAATGAAACATCACGTTAGAACGTGGTTTTAGTTCTGACAGATATTCCTGTTTTCCTAATACAAGAGATTACTAGTCACCCACATGATTTTTTAAGAACTTGTTCTATGTCCAGTTACTTTTACACACATTTCATGAAACCTCATTGCAACCCCGTGGTGTGGGAGGCGTTTCCCATTTTCCAGATGAGGAAACTGAGATGGCAGAAGTGAGGCTCCCTCACCCCATCCCCATGCCATCACTGGTCTCTGTTGAGATTTTGCTTGGAATTGGGAGAGACTGAGAGGAAGATCAAAACCAATGCCCTTGAACACGACCTGGCTGCAATAATAATAGCTAATATTTATAGAATGCTTTTTATGTGGCAGATTTTACATACATCATCTTATTTAACCCCTCCAGTAATACTCGTGGGGCAGAAACAATCTCCAAACTCAACAGATAGGGAAACCGAGCGTCAGAGAGTACAGGTTAGATATCTAAAACCTCAGTAAAAAGGTTTTATGTTAGGTCAAATTATGAAATTGCCATTTTTGTAGGCCCAAATAATATCAGACAAGAGCTTCTATCGGTGACCAAAATTAAAATCACCAGTGGAGATCGGACACGGTGTCTCACGCCTGTAGTCCCAGCACTTCAGGCGGCTGAGGCAGTCGGATCACTTGAGCCCAGGAGTTCAAGAGCAGCCTGCACAACAAAGCAAAAACCCGTCTCTACCAAAAATGCATACACACACACACACACACACACACACACACACAGACACAAATTAGCCAGGCATGGTGGCACACACCTTCAGTCCCAGCTACTCAGGAGGCTGAGGTGGGAGAATCACCTGTGCCCAGCGAGTTAGAGGCCGCAGTGAGCCGAGAAGGTGCCACTGCACTCCAGCCTGGCTGACAGAGTCACGTTATCTAAAAAAAAAAAAAAAAAAAAAAAAAAAAAAATCACCAGTGGAGACAGGTGAAAATCGAATGCCTGCAGATGTGATATGCTGAGAAAGACACATCATCTATGGAGTATTCTGGCCAAACATGCACAGCATGAAGCTAATCATGGGGAAACATCAGATAAACCCAAAATGAGGAATCCACTATTAAAAGGAGCAGGGAAGTGCTGTATTCTTCAAAAGTATCAATGTCATAAAATAAGAAGAAAAGCTATGGAGATATTCTAGATTCAAGGTGACTGGGCTGGATGCAGTGGCTCACACCTGTAATCCCAGCACTTTGGAAGGCCGAGGCAGATGAATCACCTGAGGTCAGGAGTTCCAGACCCAACATGGCGAAACCCCGTCTCTACTAAAAATACAAAAATTAGCTGGGCATGGTGGCGTGCACCTGTAATCCCAGCTACTCGGGAGGCTGAGGCAGGAGAATCACTTGGACCTGGGAGGCGGAGGTTACAGTGAGCCAAGATTGCGCCATTGCACTCCAGCCTGGGAGACAGACCAAGACTCCATCTCAAAAAAAAAAAAAAAAAAAGGTGACAGAAGAGACATTGCAGCTAAATACAATACCACCTGACTCTAGACTGGACACTGTTTTGTAGTTTTTTGTTTTTGTTTTTTAAGGCTCTAAAGCACATTACTGAGTTAATTTTACAAAAATGTGTATATATATATATATATATGTAGCAGATTAGAGAAAAATGTTTATCAATAAAAAACTTGCTGACATTAATAACTACACTGCGATTATGTAAGAAAATATCCCTATTTTAAGAAAACACACACTGAAGCCCCACACGGTGGCTTCGCCTGTAATCCCAGCACTTTTGGAGGCTGAGGTGGGCAGGTGGCTTGAGCTCAGGAGTTCAAGACCAGCCTGGGCAATGTGGTGAAACCTTTTGTCTCTCTTATTAAAAATTGAAAAATATAAAAAAAAATTTAAAAAGAAAATACACACGAAGGCATTTAGGAATAAAGAGCCACGATGCATTTAACATGCCTTCAAATGATTGGGGGTTGGGGAGGAAAGGTGTGTGTATATAAAATAAAATGGGAGGAATCACTCCACCCAAACTTGAAGCCTACTGTAAAGGTACAATTTCAAAAACCGTGCAGTGTTGGCAGAAAAATAGACACATATCAACGGAACAGAATAAAGACCCAGAAATAGAATGGACCCACGTAAATCTGTCCAACTAATTTTTGACAAAGGATCAAAAGCAATTCAGTGGAAGAAATGTGCTTTTTCAACAAATGATGTTGGAGCAATTGGACATCCATAGGAAAAAAAAAAAAGAGAGAAAATCCAGGACCCAAACTTCATACCTTATACAAAAATCAAGTCAAAATGGATTCTAGACTTAAATGTAAAACTATAAAACTTAGAAAGAAATAGGAGAAAATTTTCTAGTACCCAGAGCTATACAAAGAGTTCTGTGGCTTGTTACCAAAAGCACAATAAGAGGAAAAATTGATATGTTGGACCTTATCAAGATTATTTTTGCTCTGTGAAAGACCCTGTTAAGAAGATGAAAAGACATACTACCAACTGGGCAAAATACTTGAAACCACATAGCCAACAAAGGAGTATTTAGAATATGTAAAGAATTCTCAAAACTCAGCATTAAAAAACAAACAAACTGGCGGGTGCAGTGGCTCACACCTGTAATCTCAGTACTTTGGGAGGCCAAGGCAGGTGGATCACCTGAGGTCAGGAGTTCAAGACCAGGCTGACCAACATGGTGAAACCCTGTCTGTACTAAAAATACAACATTAGCCGGGCATAGTGGTGCATGCCTGTAATCCCAGGGACTTGGGAGGCTGAGGCAGGAGAACTGTTTGAATCCAGGAGGTAGAGGTTGCAGTAAGCCAAGATCACGCCATTGCACTCCAACGTAGGCAATATAGTAAGATTCTGTCTCAAAAAAAAAAAAAATTAAAATGTGCAAAAGACATAAACGCATATTTCCCTGAAACAGATACATAGATAACAAGCATATGAAAAGAAATTCAACATTGTTAGCCATTAGGGAAATACAAATTAAAACCACAATGAGATATCACTACACACCTGACAGAATGAGGATGTAGCCGAGAAACTGAATCACTCCTACATCACTGGCAGGAATGTAAACTGGTACAACCACCCTGGAAGAGTTTAGCAGTTTCTTATAAAACTAAACACAGAACTACCATATGACCCAGCAGTTGCACTCTTGTGTACTTATCCCAGAAAAAATGAAAACACACAAAAACCTATAAAAGGAATGTTCAGTAGCTTTACTTTGTAACAACCCAAAACTGGAAACAACCCAGGCATCTTTTAATGGGTCAATGGTTAAACAAGCTGTGGTACATGCATACCATGGAATACTAGTGAGCAATAAAAAGTAACAAACTATTGACACATATAACAAGCTCAGTGAATCTCCAAGGAATTACCATAAGTGAAAAAAGCTAATCCCAAAATGTTACATACTTTACATTTTCATTTATGTAACATTCTTAAAATGGTAAAATTATACAAATGGAGGACAAAATCGTAGCTGCCAGGGAGGGGCAGGGTGGATGTGGCTATAGAAGAGATTCTGTGGTGATGAAATTGTTCTGTGGTGATGAAACTGTTCTGTATGTATCTTTACTGTATCAATATCAACTTATTGGTTACTATATTAGATTATAGTTTTGCACAATGTTACTATTAGGAGAAAATGGGCAAAAGAGTACATGGGGTCTCTCTGTATTATTCCTTACAACTACATATCAATCTACAATTATCTCAAAACAAAACATTTTAATGTTTTTAGATTGCATATCAACAATTTCGTATAGTTCACTTCAATACTTAAAATTCAGCTGAGTCAGCCAGGCGCAGTGGCTCACACCTGTAATCCTAGCACTTTGGGATGCCAAGATGGGTGGATCACAAGGTCAGGAGATCGAGGCCATCCTGGCCAACATGGTGAAACCCTGTCTCTACTAAAAATACAAAAATTAGCCGGGCATGGTGGCGCACACCTGTAATCTCAGCTACTGGGGAGGATGAAGCAGGAGAATCACTTGAACCCAGGAAGCAGAAGTTGCAGTGAGCCGAGATTGAGCCACTGCACTCCAGCCTGGCGACAGAGCAAGACTCCGTCTCAAAAAAAAAAAAATTCAGCTGAATCACAATTCAACCTAGGCTCATGACTTCATGACTGCACTGGACTTCCTCACTACCTCTTGCTCACTCAAGGAGGCCAAAGACCATTTGCTAAGTCCCAGGGTGGAGGTATGGAGGACTCAAAGAGGTTACAGTAGCATGGAGGCCCAGGTCTGTCAGGAAGAGTTAAGTTACCCTCCCAGTTCAGAGTGAGGCCCTTAGTGGTCTAGAAAAGTAACACTCTATAATAAATTTTAGATGCAGTGGCTCATGACTATAATCCCAGCACTTTGGGAGGCCAAGGTGGGAGGATTGCTTGAGCCCAGGAGTTCAAGACCAGTCTGGGCAACATAGTGAGCCCTTGTCTCTACAAAAAAAATCAAAAGATTAGCCCAGTGCAGTGGCATGCATCTGTACTCCCGGCTACTTGGGAGGATTGCTTGAACCTGTGAGGTTGAGGCTGCAGGGGGCCATGATCATGCCACTGCACTCCAGCCTGGGAGTTTTTGAGACAGAGCAAGACCCTGTCTCAAAAAAACAACAACAAAAGAGAGAGAGACAGAGAGAGAGAGAAATTTGGGAAAAACCCATTTTATTCTTTCTCTAATTCAGAAGAATAGGAAGCTGGCCCAATGTGGTGGCTCACACCTGTAATCCCAGCACTTTGGGAGGCCAAGGCCAGCAGATTGCCTGAGGTCAGGAGTTTGAGACCAGCCTAGTCAGCATGGTGAAACCTCATCTCTAATATTAGCTGGCCATGGTGGCACGCGTCTGTAGTCCTGGCTACTTGGGTAGCTGAGACAGGAGAATCACTTGATCCTGGGAGAGGGAGGTTGCAGTGAGCCCAGATTGCGCCACTGCACTCCAGCCTGGGTGACAGAGCAAGATTCTGTCTCAAAAAAAAAAAAGAAGAAGAAGAAGAATAGGAAGCTCTAAATATGAAATGAAGAAGGAAACTGGGGAGAAGGTAGAAATTGAGAGATGTTCTCTGTCTATCAGCAATAAGCTGCTTTCTTCTACAGCAGCTCACTCTCCCTGGCATCCGGACTGAAGAAATAGGCCTTTAGAAGAGTGACCTTGGCTGGGCGCGGTGGCTCACACCTGTAATCCCAACACTTTGGGAGGCTGAGGCAGGTGGATCACTTGAGGTCAGGAGTTCAAGACCAGCCTGGCCAATAGGATGAAACCTCCTCTCTACTAAAACTACAAAAATAGTCAGGTGTGGTAGTATGCGCCTATAATCCCAGCTACTCAGGAGTCTGAGGCAGGAGAATCACTTGAAGGCAGAGGTTGCAGTGAGCCAAGGTCATGCCATTGCACTCCAGCCTGGGCGACAGAGGGAGACCCTGTCTCAAAAAAAAAAAAAAAAGTGATCTAATTAGCAAAGCTACTCAGGAATGGTGACCACGTGCCACCAATTAGGGTTGCCCTCTGTCCTGGGACCTTTCACCTGGCCTCAGGGTTAAGACACCTAGAAATCTAGTCCTGGTTAACCAAACCATCTGTAAAAGACTAGTTATGTCCTTTCTCCTCCTAGCTTACTACTTGACCACCAACACTGCTACTCACTCCTGTTAGTGGAGGAAACTTAACCAGATGACCTAGAAGTTCCCTTCCAGGGTCTCCCACTCTCCTTCCCTGTGCATCCTGACTCTCACTGGCTGGTCTGAAGTAGTGCTAAGTGTTAATAGCCCCATTGGGCCTGGCTTAGAGACTAACCTTTTATTCCTGGTGAGTCCTGGCACATCCAGTGGATTGAAACAGCTCCTTGGAGAGGCCTCCTTGCTCACTGCTTCGACTTCACTGGTCAGAGAAAGATGCAAGGGACATTCTTTGGCTTGCCCTTTTAGTCCAAACATCACATGATTTTATGGCACTCTTCCAACTGGAGCTGAAAAAAGACCAGAAGCCTCTGACTCCCACAATCACTGCTCGCTCCAGGCAGATCCAGTGGCAGGCTTTTGCCACAGTCTCTGGAGTCCATGGGAAAAGAATGTGGTCTGAGAGAAGATCTTCCACCAAGTGGAAACACCCAAGTGCCTGAGGCACATTCATGAGCATGAGCAACATGGAATTTCTTTTCAAATGTCAAAAATGCAAACCAAGTAAGCCCACTTATTTGTACATCTGGTTCACTGGGCTTGGAGAAAAACAAAATGGGAAAAAAAAAATCCTGAATTCCATGCATGTCATTGTGTTTACAAAGCTAGGTCCAGAAATATGATTATGACAGTACTCAAAGTCAACAGGATACAAGATCCGTGTGTGTGCATGCATGTATATGCACACATGTGTGTGGTGTGAGTGGAGGAGAGCTAGTAGAAAGGACCTAGACTTCCCAGCTAAGCACAACTGTATGAATCCTGGCTCGGCCACTGACTGACTTTACAGCCTTGGCCAACTTGCCTAACTTCTCTAAGTCTCTGTTTCCCAATCTGTAAAATGGAAATAATACCTAGCACCTAATTCACAGTTGTGATAAGTTTTGCTGTTACATGTAAATGATGAAATAGTCTCAGTAAATGATAGCTTACTATAATACTTTGTCCATTGAGAGAGACAGTGACAGACAAAAAGGATGGCTTTTTTTTTTTTTTTTTTTTTTTTTGAGACAAGGTTTCACTCTGTCACCCAGGCTGGAGTACAGTGACATGATCTCAGTTCACTGTAGCCTCAACCTCCCAGGCTCAGACATTCCTCCCACCTCAGCCTCCAGAGTAGCTGGGACTATAGGCACACACCATCACACCCAGCTAATTGTTTTATTTTCTGTAGAGACGGGGTCTCACTCTATTGCCCAGTCTGGTTTGAATTCCTGGGCTCAAGCGATCCTCCCACCTCAGCCTACCAAAGTGCTGGGATTACAGGCATGAGCCACCATACCTGACAGAATGGCTTTTTTTTTTTTTGCAATGAATAAATAAATGTGTGGTATATGCATGTGTGTGGCTAAAGAGAGAGAAATAAGAAGGTCTTGGTTTTTGGAGAAGATCACATCCTTGAAACTTCATTATTTAAATGTCTTTCTTTTATTATGCTTGAGGAACCCTGTTGCCCGTCCTCTTTTACAGAAAGTTCCAGAATATAACCTAAACTATATAACCTAATATAAACTTATATTCCAGAATATAAGCTAAACTATATAACCTAACCCAAATGCCTCTGGAGCCACTGGAACCAATAGTGTTGTTTCACATTTCTGTTTCCCCAGTGGCAATGACAATAGGACTGTCATTAGCACAGAAAACAATTAAGGGTAGTCTCCACTTTAAATTTATTTTTTAATCTAAAGCTTACAAGATTAAGGAGTGATACCTACATGTGGCTAGTAGCTATCTATTGTATGTCATAGTCATGAAACATTTCTATCATTCCAGAATATTCTGTTGGACAATCACTGCTCTAGAAACATGCTTCATGTACTTTGGGCTTGTTTCAAGATCTATATCCACAAGCAAAGCATTTTATTCCAAAGCCCTTCTTATTTCGCTATGGTTTACTCCTATTCCTTTCTCCTTCGACTAGTGTACACTGAACATCCACAAGTATCAAAACTTACAGTGGATTGTCAAATAGGCTGCACTCTCATTTTGCTAAAAAGTTCACAAGATGAAAGAGTGAGACCTACATGTGGCCAGTGGCTATCTATTGTATGTCACAGTCATGGAACATTTCTATCATTACACAATGTTCTATTGGACAAGGGCTGCTCTAGAAACATGATTCACGTACCTTGGGCTCATTTCAAGATCATTTCAAGATCTGCACAAGCAGAGCATTTTATTCCAAAGTCCTTCTTACTTCACTATGGCTTACTCCTTTTCAGAGATTATAATTTTTTTTTTTTTTTTTTTGGAGCAGGGGATGGAGTCTTGCTCTGTTGCCCAGGCTGGAGTGCAGTGGCGAGATCTTGGCTTACTGCAACCTCCACCTCCTGGGTTCAAGAGATTCTCCTGCCTCAGCCTCCAGAGTAGCTGGGATTACAAGCACTCACCACCATGCCTGGCTAATTTTTGTATTTTTAGTAGAGACGGGGTTTCACCATGTTGGCCAGGGTGGTCTCGAACTCCTGACCTCAAGCAATCTGCCCACCTCGGCCTCCCAAAGTGCTGGGATTACAGATGTGAGCCACCACATCTGGCCATAGATTATTGTTTCTCCTTCAACTAATGTACACTGAACATCCCCTGTGTATCAAACCTTACGATGGATTGTCAAATAGGCTGTACCCTCATTTTGCAAAAAGTGCATGAAATATAGACATACTGGACTATCCCCTTTGCAATGGTCTGAATGTTTCTGTCTCCCAAAATGTGTACATTAAAACCTAATCACTAGGGTGATGGTATTAGGAGATGGGGCCTTTGAGAGGTAATTAGGTCATGAGGGCAGAGCCCTTATGAATGGATTAGTGACCTTATAAAAGAGGCCCAGAGAGCTGCCTTTCCCCTTCCACCATGTGAGGACACAGCAAGAAGACATTATCTATGAGGCAGAAAGCATGCCTTCACTAGAGACCACATCTGTCTTTATCTTGGACTTCCCAGCCTCTACAACTATGAGAAAGAAATTTCTGGGCTGGACATGGTGGCTCATGCCTGTAATAACAACACTTTGGGAGGCTGAGGTGGGAGGATCACTTGAGCCTAAGAAGTCAAAGGTGTAAAGAAAGAAAAGAAAAAGAAAGAAAGAGATTTCTGTTCTTTGTAACTACCCAACTCAATTTATAGTATTTTGTTACAGTAGCCCAAACAGACCAACATACCCCCTTTTGTGGGGTTGTGGGTGGACACTCAACCCTTGGGCAAGTTATTTAATCTCTCTGACCTTCATAGCATTGTAGGGAGGATTAAACAAGATAGTGAAAAACACTTAGTAAACACTCACTAAATGGTAAGCATTATTGTTCATAACATCATCATCATCCCAGTTGGCAGGGGACGCAAAGGAAAGGAAACTCAGTCTTATCCATAACAGGATAATTTGAGCATTGCAGGCCTTCCTTGAATTGAACACAGAACTGTCTTCTTATGGCATTTTGTTGCTGGTCTTTGTTCTGCCTTGGGCTACTCATTACAGCTGAAGAATACAAACAGTTGCCCCCTCCCCTGTCACACCCTCCTTCTGCTCCTTCTATATCCTTTCCCTGTCCTTTGAATATTTTCTCCTTTCACAATATCTTTCTAAAAAATAGAACCTAGAGCCCTCCTAAGTTCTTCATATATTGCCCAACTTCTATGTTCAATGTCTACCAAGATGCATGGCCATGAGAAAGGATTTAAAGCATTTTAAAAATTTTATGAAGATTATACTTCTGCAACTGAATGTTGAAACCTAAATGTAGAACGTTGTTCATATCTATTCCACACAGACAAGCACGTACATACACATACATGATATTATTTACACAAATGGTGTCATAATGTACACATTGTTCATATTTTTTATTTATAATAAATATATCTGGCAATATTTCCAGTGTCGAGTTCAATTATATGACCACTTTCATGAATCTGAATACAATGCTACATTTCCATTATAGAAACCAAGATTTTATCAGATGTTTTTGAGGGTGTGGAAGATTTTTTAACATTAGGTTGAGCTAATTTAGAGTCATCTAACATCTTAGAATTTTTTTCATATAAATTGTTATCAAACCAAGTTTCTCCTATCCTATATACTTTTGTAACTGAATTTTAAAACATAAATATAGAACTTAGCATTTAATTGCATTTTGTTGTTTTGATCTAGACTCAAGGTCTTTTGAAATCTTTGCTTTTTATCCAAATAGTGATCTCTCCCAGCTGTAAATCTAATCAGCATGATTTTACTTGCATCTAAGTCACTGAACCATCCAAGGCTAAGAAGGAAGCCTTGTACATGATGAAACAAGTGTGACCTTGCTTTAAATACATGGATCTACTTCCCCTCCCACTGATCTTTGCAGGAGTCTTGCTCTAGGACTACTGGATCCTGTCCCTCTGATTTTCCTCCTCCCCCATTTTAGGTCTCCCTGATGAGACGTGAGATAAAGATAGTCAAGTGTGGTGAAGGAGGGAATGCATAGTCTACTTTCCTTCTCCCTAACAGCTTTGGTGACAAAATCAAAACTCAACATAAGAGGAGTTTGAAACAATAGAGATAAAGTAGGATTTGGGGTTCTACCGAAGAGCCTGGTTGGAAGTTAAATAAGATCAGAAACTCATTTGAGGAATCCATTAGTCATGAGTATATCCCCAGTCAGGAGGAAATGAAACACAACCAATCTGTTTGTAAAATATCAGCAAACAAGAAGGAGAAACCGGGGTATCCCTTGTACATGTCACCTCTTCTTTTGCTGCTGAATCTCTAGTTTGGAGTGTGTTGAGTCATATCAATGGGTCACAAATGTCAGTTCATTGGGTTGGCAGTGCCTGGCCACTAGAGACGGTGCCAGAGTCAGCCCCCAGTTTAAGAGAACTAGACAACCACTTGGGCTGGCCTCAGGATCTGTCACCAGAGGGAAGCTACAGAACCATTGCCAACAAGGGCAATCCCAGACAAGCCCCCAAATTTGTAACTGCCCAACAGGTTCACCTTGCCCACTGCCTAGACAGAACCAATGTATCAAGAGAAGGGAATTGAAATAGAGAAAGAGTAATTCATGCAGAGCCAGCTGTGCAGAAGACCAGAGTTTTATTATTACTCAAATAAGTCTCTAAGAGCATTCAGGGATCAGAGTTTTTAAGAAAAATTTGGTGGGCGGGTGGGGGGGGGCCTTTGAGTGGGGAGTGCTGATTGGTTGGGTCCCAGTGCAACACTTAATGAAACTAATAATTGAACTTTTTCACAGTCCATGACTTAAATGCAGATATGCAGTGAGAGAGGAACACACCTTCTTTTTAAGCACTCATGGAGAGTCACAAAATTTGACCAAAAAAAATCTTCAGAAGTTCCCTAAAGTAGGCATAATACAAAAAAAATTATTTGGTCACAATGCAGTAAAGCTAGAAATTAATATCAAAACTAAAAAGCTCTTCTACCTAGAAATCTAAAAGAAAAACTATTGAGCAACCATTGTGTGAAAGAGAATATACAAAACAACATTGGAGAATTTCTGGAAAAATATTATAATGAAAAATGTTACATTTCTGAATTTGTGAGCTATTATGACAAATATCAGAAAAAATCCACAACCTTAAATACATATAAAAAATAACAAATATAAATTAATTAAATTATCAAGGGCTAGAAAACAACAAACTGAACTAAAAGAAAGCACCAGGAAGGGGATTTTAAAAGATAAAAGCATAAATTAAATGGATTGTAACATATACCCATAATTAAAACTTCAGAAAAAAAAATCAATAACAGGGATGTGGCAAACTTTTAAAACAGGAAGTTTAAGAATTCTTATTTAATGGAGAAACATGAGAGTTGTTTCTTCTAAGGTCAGGAACAAGTCAAAGATGACATTATCTCCATCACTACTTAACAGTGTATTGGAAATATTAACTAGTGTAATTGGACAAGATAAAACAATTAAAATTAAGAAGTGGAAAATACCCTTCACCACTAAAAGAAACCAAGGCTCTTTGGAAAAATAGTTAATTCCAGGTCTTGAAAGGGAAAGTATTGGATGACTGTGAGATCTTATGCCAAAACTCACAGAAGCACTCAAACACTGATGGTGCCACATTAAAAAGAAACAAGAACAATTTGAAGAGGGTCTCACCAAATTCGGGACAATTTGAGTAAGAGAAAAAATAATAATTAGAGCTAATAAAGGAGTTTGACAAGGTGTCAGAATATAAGATCAATATACAAAAATCACTGTATTTCTACGTACGAGCAATAAATAATCTCAAAATGAGTGTGAAAATTCCATTCACAACTGCATCAAAAAAATAAAGTACTTAAGAATAAACGTTTTCAAAATAAATTTTAAGACTTGTACACTGAAAATTATAAAACATCATTGAAATAAATCAAAGAGCTAAATAAATGGAAAGACATCACAAATTCATATATTGGAAGACTTAATATTGTTAAGATGGCAATACTCCCCAGATGGATCTACAGATTTAACAAAATCCCTATCAAAATCCTAGCTATTTTTCTGAAATCAACAATCTGATCCCAAAATTCGTATAGAAATGCAAGGGATCCGGAAGAGTCAAAACATGCTTAAAAGAAAACAACGAAGTTAGAGAGCTCACACTTTCTATCTTAAAATGTACTACAAAGCGGCTGGGCGCGACGGCTCACGCCTGTAATCCCAGCACTTTGGGAGGCCGAGACAGGCGGATCACGAGGTCAGCAGATTGAGACCATCCTGGCTAACACGGTGAAACCCCGTCTCTACTAAAAATACAAAAAAAATTTAGCCGGGCGTGGTGGCGGGCGCCTGTAGTCCCAGCTACTCGGGAGGCTGAGGCAGGAGAATGGCGTGAACCCGGGAGGCAGAGCTTGCAGTGAGAGGAGATCGCGTCACTGCACTCCAGCCTGGGCGACAGAGCAAGACTCCATCTCCAAAAAAAAAAAAAAAGAAAAATAAAAAGAAAAAAAAATGTTCTACAAAGCTACAGCCATAAAGACTGTGTGGTACTAGCATAAAGATAGACATTGATCAATGGAATAGAATTGAGAGTCCAGAAATAAAATCATACACTTACGGTCAATTTTTTCAATAAGGGTGGGAAGACAATTCAATAAGGAAAGAAAGGCCATTCTAGTAAATGGTGCTGGGACGACTGCACGTTCACATGTAAAAGAATTGTTGGATCTCTACCTCATACCATAAGCAAAAATTAACGCAAAATGGGCCAGGTGCAGTGGCTCATGCCTGTAATCCTAGCACTTTGGGAGGCCAAGGCAGGTGGATCACTTGAGGTCAGGCATTTGAACCAGCCTGGCCAACATGGTGAAACCCCATCTCTACTAAAAATACAAAAATTAGCTGGGCAGGGTGGCGCACACCTGTAATTCCAGCTACTTGGGTTGCTGACGAACGAGAATCACTTGAACCCTGGAGGCGGGGGTTGCAGTGAGCTGAGACTGCACCACTGCACTCCAGCCTGGGCTACAGAGTGAGACTCTGTCTCAAAAAAACAAAAAAAAAAGGATCAAAGACCTAAGTGTAAGAACTATAAAACCTTAGAAGAAAACATAGGGATAAATCTTTGTGACCATGTATTACATAATAGGTACTTAAAAGAAAAAAAATAGGTAAATTAGATGACAAATTTAAACTTTTGTGTGTCAAAGGGCACTATCTAAAAGTAAAAAGACAATCCACAGAATAGGGAATCTAAATTAGTTCAGACACCATGGAAAGCAGTGTGGAGATTTCTCAAAGAACTTAAAACAGAACTACCATTTGACCCAGCAATCCCATTACTGGGTCTATATCCAAAAGAAAACAAATTGTTCTACCAAAAAGACACATGCATTTGCATGGTCATTGCAGCACTATTCACAGAGCAAAGACATGGAATCAACCTAGGTGCCCATTAATAGTGGATTGGATAAAGAAAATGTGGCACATATACACCATGGAATACTATGCAGCTATAAAAGAGAACAAAGTCATGTCCTCTGCAGCAAAATGGATGCAGCTGGGGGCCATTGTCCTAAGCAAATAACTGAGGAACAGAAAACAAATACTGCATGTTCTCACTTATAAGTGGCAACTAAACATTGAGTATTCAGGGACATAAGATGGCAACAACAGAAACTGGGGACTACTAGAGGGCAAGGAAGAAAGAGGGACAAGGGTTGAAAAACTGTTGGGTACCACGCTCTGTACCTGGGTGACAAAATCATTCATACCCCAGTCAATCCTCAGCATCACACAATATACCCAGGTAACAAACGTGCACATGTACCCCCTGATTCTAAAATAAAAGTTGAAAAAAGAATTGGATAGTGATATCGAATTGGATAGTGATACCAATCCTCCACGCTGCCAAAAAGACAGAGAGAAAGAGAGAGACAAAGGCAAAAGGGGAAAGCTCTTTTTTTAATAGAAGAATATAATCTAATGAATATAGAATAAATGATACGATTAGAAAATGACCATTTTAGGCCGGGCGCGGTGGCTCACTCCTGTAATCTCAGCACTTTGGGAGACCAAGGCAGGAGGATCACCTGAGGTCAGGAGTTCAAGACCAGCCTGACCAACATGGTGAAACCCCGTCTCTACTAAAAATACAAAATTAGCCAGGCGTGGTGGCACACACCTATAATCCCAGCTACTCAGGAGGCTGAGGTAGGAGAATCACTTGAACCCGGGAGGCGGAGGTTCCAGTGAGCCAAGATTGTGCCAATGTACTCCAGCCTGGGCATTAAGAGTGAAGCTCCATCTCAAATAAAAAATAAAAAAAAAAAGGAGAAAGAAAAGAAAAGAAAAATAGAAAATGACCATTTTTTAACTCAAGGTAATAATTTATTCAGGAAAGTATTATCAGCGGATATGAAAACCATTAAATGAAGGCTATTAGAGGAATAGGATATATATAACTTCTCAGAGCATGACCCCACAGATCATTTACTAATTACAAAGGGAAACCTACTTTTAGGGCAGTCATGTGCGTGTATAAGCGTAACCAGAGAACATATTTTGGGATAATTAGGCAAGTATAAATGACTTGATTAGATGAGAATATATAATTATTTTAATGTTCATTTTCTTATGAAAATGGCATTGTGATTGTGTAGGAAATTTTTAAAGAAATGGATACTAAAATATTTAGGGGTAGGTTGGCCAACAGTCTTGGTTTGCCTGGGACTGGGGGATTTCCTTGAACTCAGGGCTTTCATTGCTAAAACTGGGCAGTCTTGGCCAAAACCAAGATCATGGGTCACCCTAGATGAAGTGTCATGTTGTCTATAACTTTCTTTAGAAAGTTTTGGCAAAAAAGAAAAAAAAGAAAGTGGGAGGACAGTGGAGAGAGAAAGCAAATGTAAAAAATTTTAGTTGCTGACGCTGGGTAAAGAGCCCAGGTTCAGAATTCCTTTAACTTTACTGTAGATCGGAAAATTCTAAATAAGAAGTTGGGGGAAATATTTAATAAGTATTGATTGTTTATTTTGAATCTTTGTTACCCTCTTAGGAACTTATTTATAATTTCTGTATCTAGATAAATATAATGCATACATTTGTTAAAAAAAAAAAAAAAAGTCTATATACTTCTGGGTTTGCCCAGATTTTTCTGGACAGATTTTTGTATTATTTGGTGCATTTCATATCTAGTATATCTTCAGTGTGGATTGTGTGAATTGTGTGAAGTGTGCTGCTTTATCTCATTTGGCACTTTTGGGTCTGAATTCTAGTTTCTTTTATATCACAATCACAACTTCTGTTTTCTTACTGTTTGCATTTTCTTTGTACATGCTCTTTCAGAATAATTTTTAGATATGCCCATTGTATACCATAGACTTGGATTTTGTTTTGTGAGCTTCTCTGAGAAAGCTTTTTTTTAAAGTAAATGACTAAACCCATTTACATTTATGGATAGGGCTGACGTGTTTGGTCTTAGCTCATCATATTATTTTGTATTTATTTTAAGCATTAAATTTACCACATTTATGTATTCTTTTCTCTTTGTCCTTTTTCAATTTATTTTGGTATTTAGAAAAGTTTTTATTTGCTATTAATATGCTATATAATGCTGCCACAACTTTTTCTTTACTTAGTTTTCTACTAGTTGGTTTGTCAACTTTAAATGATACTGATATGGTTTGGCTGTGTTCCCACCCAAATCTCATCTTACAGTTCCCATAATCCCCACGTGTCATGGGAAGGACCCTGTGGAAGATAATTTAATCACCGGGGCGGTTACCCTCATGCTGTTCTCTTGATAGTGAGTTCTCGTGTGATCTGATGGTTTTATAGGGGGCTTTTCCCCATTTTTGCTGGGCACTTCTTACTACCGCCATGTGAAGAAGAACATGTTTGCATCCCCTTCTGTCATTATTGTAAGTGTTCTAAGGCCTCCCCAGCCATGCTGAACTGCGAGTCAATTAAACCTCTTCCCTTTATAAATTACCCAGTCCCAAGTATGTCTTTATTAACAGTGTGACAATGGACTAATATAGATACCCTCCAGTTTCTACCTATTACATATATGGCAATCAAGTAGCTTATTCTGCTCTCCTCTGTCTCCCTCTGTTCTTCTATATTTTTATTACTTTAGTTCTGTTATTTCTACTTTTGGACATAGAACATTTACATATTATCCTCACGCCTTTGTCTCTGCCTTCATTTTAGTCTCTTCAATTAAATAAAGGACATGTTCACCACAGTTACCTGCTGTATTTTCTCCAGTTATCTCTTGGTTTAATGAGGCTTGTTATCTAGTGTTAACAGATTCCTAATAAGGGCCAGGCACAGTGGCTCATGCCTGTAATCCCAGCACTTTGGGAAGCCGAGGTGGGCGGATCACTTGAGGTCAGAAGCTCAAGACCAGCCTGGCTAACATGGTGAAACCCCATCTCTACTAAAAAGAAATACAAAATTAGCTGGGTGTGGTGCCGTGCACCTGTAGTCCCAGCTACTCAGGAGACTGAGGCAGGAGAATCTCTTGAACCCAGGAGGTGGAGGTTGCAGTGAACTGAGATCATGCCATTGCACTCCAGCCTGGGCAACAGAGTGAGACTCCGTCTCATAAGAAAAGAAAAAAAAGATTCCTAGTAAGGAATATTAAAATATACAGGCATGGTGGCTCATTCTTGTAATCCCAATACTTTGAGATGTCAAGGTGGAAGGATTGCTTGAGGCCAGGAGTTCAAGACCAGCCTGGGCAACATAGTGAGATCCCATCTCTCCAAAAAATTAAAAATTAAAATTAAAATTAAAAATTAGCCAGGTATGGTGCCACACACCTACAGTCCCAGCTACTCTGGAGGCTGAGGCACTTGGGCCCAGGAATTTGAGGCTGTAGTGAGCTATGATCACGCCACTGCACTCCAGCCTGGAGGACAATATGAGACAAAGAAAAGAAAGGAAGGAAGAAAAGAAAAGAAAGGAAAGGAAGAAAGGAAAGAGAGAAGAAAATATAACTTGAATTTGCATTTTAAAACTATTTATCAATCTTGATAACTGAAGATCAGCTTAACTGGATATAAAAATCCATGGTTCACACTTTCTGTCCTTGAGAGCACTGCTCCATTGTTGTTTTGATCTGTGTATTGAATCACGTGGTCTTTTTGCTTGGAGGTTTAGAGGTATTTTCCCGGGCATACAAGAAAATATCTTACACTTGACCACTTGGGGTTAATTTTCACACAAAGCATCCTTTCAGTAAATAGATTCAGGATTTTTCAACTTAATCTTTTGGTAAGCTTTATTGGATCATAGCTTTGAATCTTAGTCTCAATTCACTGCTTTTTCTTCTTTAGAAAATTCAATTATAGGTGTGTTAGATCTTCTTTGTCTTCTATAGCTATTCTTTTCTTTTGGGGCTTTTCATTTTGTTTCAATTCTCTTGGAAATTTTCATTCCAATTTTTCATGTGTCCTTTGTGTACTTTTTTGAATTTGCACCTTCTTGCATACCTTATAATTTAGCTCTAATTTTTAGGATTAGTGTGTTCCTTCATTTTCTTTTCTGTACTCAGTCAACTCTTGTTTCACAAATCCTCGTTTTGTACCCACTTCTATTTTGCATTTGTGAGTTTCTGTTTTGTGTGTTTTCTACATGTCATTGATACTATTTGATTTATGTTGAAGTGTCGTGCTGTGGTTTTCTCCGCCTTGAAGTTGGGTCTTGAATATTTTCATCAGCTGAAGAATTTTGATTCTCATTTTCTTTTCTTTAAAAAATAATTTTGGATGTTCATTTTCAAGACTGCTGGATTTTCTGTTCATTTTCAAAACTGTTGGATTTTCTTGGGCCAGGTGTTTCTGCAAATGAGGCTGAAGGATTTGAGTAGTTTACTAGGTTTCTTAGCTCAAGAGTGCCCTCTTCAGTAGATACAGTAAAATGCAATTTCCTTAATGAACAGCATTTTTCTCTTTTCTCTTTTTTTTTTTTTTTCTTCTCTGCATGGAGTGGAGAGTGTTAGGGGGAGTTTAATATGTCATCATTTTTATGAAACTCTTCTTTCTGTAGGATTCTTAATTTCCAACTTTTTCTTCCCTCTTCATCACCAAATTTCCAAGAGATACCTTTTCTTACTTAGTTCCTCTTTTCTCTCCCAGAAGCAGTACCCTCTGAAGACTTAAATGTTTGGGCCCATGCACTTTCAAGCCCCTTCAATTCCCCAGTAGCAAGTGCTGTAATGCAGTGTGGCTATTCTTAGTATTTCTCCACTTAGTGTGAGACTCTCTGGGATCCGACTGCATTATGTTTTTCTCAAATAATTCCTGTTTTTCTCTTCTTTCTACCTGAGCTTAATAGCTGGGACTATGATTTACCCTCTTAAATAAAATGAGAGTTTCTATTAAATTTCCTAATATGTAGTAGATATGAGTTGTAATTTTATTTGCTGTCCTTGTTGAGCTGTATGTATGTATGTATGTGTGTGTGTATATATGTATTTATTTATTTATGAATGACAGGGTCTTGCTCTGCTGCCCAGGCTGGAGTGCAGCAGCATGATCTTGGCTCACTGCAGCCTGGAACTACCGGGCACAAGCAATACTCCTGTCTCAGCCTCCCAAAGTGCTGGGATTACAGGAGTGAGCCACCATGCCCAGCCTGTATGGTTTTTTGAAGATGTGTAGAAAGATTCAGATCTAGGCATCTGTCATTATCTTCTAAGAATCCTTACTATCTAGCCTCAACTTATAAATACAATATCTATAAATTTTTAGGTAAGACTTTCATGTGTATCCTAAATAATTCACCTCTTTTAAATTATCTTTATACTGAGGAAACATAACAAAGTTTTTTTAACAAAGATAAAATATAAAAGATGGTTCACCCAGGTCTCTAAGCAATTTTAGTCTGCCTCCCTTCTCCTTGACCCTGTTGGACTAATAGAAGTCTTTCATATTGTGGTGGGTGTATATGATCAATGTACCCAGAATAGTCAGGATGTCATGGTGTTCAATATGTCCAGAGTAGCCTGTCTGAGATGGTCAGTGCCCCCAGGATGGTTGACATAGTCAGTGGATCTGGAGGGGTCAGTGTATGTGAGCCACTACTTTGAAGAGAGTGGCTGGTCTGTCCTGACTGATCTAGTTATGGACTATTCATTTTTGTATTTCTGAGTCCTCCTTGTCAGGAAATGGCATCCCTCTCTCAGGTTATATGGCACTAGATTGGCAGGGATGCAAAGTGTCAACTACTAATGGGGTATGAGACATAATTTCTTCATGGGAGGCCTTCTAGACTTTTTAAAGGGACTGACCCCAGGATCCTGGCAGGAGAAAAACTGGCCACAGGAAAGACTCAGCACTGCTTAGCTCCTAGTCACTTTCAAATAGTAGAGCTCCCTGTCTCCAACTCCTTGTGGTCCTGAGCAAGGCAAAAGGTGCCTTGATTGTGGTCCCTCTGGTAGAGAGAGAGAGAGAGAGAGAGAGAGAATCACTGGATATACTTACACATATTCACTGGCTGAAATTAATATGGGAAAACATCACATCAGTTGAATTACGGAGCAGGGGAGAAACTCAAGTGATTTAAATGGGTAGTGCTCTCTTATAAAAACAGAATTCTCGATAACTCTCCATTTTGTTGTTGTTAAGGCTGGAAAGCCCTCCCCTAATTTTTTAAAATTAAAACTGCAAATATTTAAAAATAAAACTTCACATGCAACACAAATTTTTGGCTTCTTTTGACAAATTGAATGATGGTGGCAGCATTGAGCCACCATCCCTAAGATGGAAACAACTGTCCAGAACTGAGCAATGGCTCCCCTCTGATAGGGCAGTGCCCTCCAGTCCTCACAGCCCTGCCACTCCCTGCCTCACATTCACCACTATTTCACTCATTTTTGTTCCCTAGAGTCATTTAAGTTTTTCTCTTCTGCTATTATCCAACCATCCTTTTTTGTTGAACTCTGCTACCACATCTTAGTTCAGACCCTGGTACAGCTACAACGTTATCATGCAAATCTGATGGTGTCATTTTCTGGTAATATACTGCCTACTACCAACCAAATGAAGGCCAGGCCCTTCCCAGTAGAATTCAATCTTATCTTTATCTCCCCGGTCCTGCCTCACACTGCTGTGGCCTCCACCTGCCATGCATGCTCAGACTTTCTTGTGCCTACCATTTCATCTGCTTGGGTTCCCTTTTGCATGCAACACTCAGCTCAAATATTAGCTCTTCCATGGGCTCTACTTGGCCAGCCAAGAGAGTTACTACTTCTGTTGTTTCCTTTATAGCGCAGTGATCAACTCCAACAGTCATGTATAGAGCAATCTAATAATATGGCCATCTCCTCCAGTACATTGTGAAGAAGTCTCGGGCAAAAACTGGGTCTGATTCATCTTTGCATCCCGAGAGAGTAAAAATGCATAATAAAAGAATTAAAGTTATAACTGGATAACAAGATATATTAGTCTTAGGCCCGGTTTTATCAGTCAGCTTGGGCTAAGTTATGCTGTGAAAATAAACTCTATCCAAATCTCAGTGGCTTATAAAGCAAAGGTTTATTTTTAATGCACACTACTCATCTATGATGGATTGGCTACATCTCTGGTCCACGTCTTCACTTTAGGATCCAGGTTGAAAGAGCTCTGTGAGGTCGCCAGTCTCACTGCAAAGGAAAAGAATGGTGACCATGCCCTAGCTCCTAAAACTTCTGCTCAGAAGTGGCACACGTCATTTCTGCCCACATTTCACTGGTCAAAGCAAACCATATGTCCAAGCATGAAGCCAATGGGGCCAAGTTGTAAAATCCTCCCAAAAGAAGGGAAAGTGGCCAGGCACAGTGGCTCACTCCTGTAATCCAAGCACTTTGGGAGGCCAAGGTGGAAGGACTGCTTGAGCCCAGGAGTTTGAGACCAGCCTGGGCAACTTAGTGAGACCCTGTCTCTACAAAAAAAAAAATCAGAAAAAAAAAAATTAGCCCATTGTGGCATGCACCTGTAGTCTCAGCTACTAACGAGGCTGAGGCAGGAGGATCACATGAACCCAGGAGGTTGAGGGTGCACAGTGAGCCATGATTGCATCACTGCACTCCAGCCTGGGTGACAAAGCAAGACCCTGTCTCCAAAAAAAAAAAAAAAAAAAAAGGAGGGGACTGGACGGATGTCATTAAATTTAATACAATCTACTACATTCCATCCTCTTCAGTTCCCCTTTCCTCTGCCTTTTCAGCGGCATGGACAAGCCTTTAGAACATGTTTCTCAGGCTCCTATGTCAGCTGGCTTCTGGCTGGGTTCAGCTAAGGGAAGCCGCCCCAGAGACAGGAGAGTGTGAGGCTGGGAAATGCCAGAGTATTTTTCCCCATCCCTCACTATCTCAGGGAGCTTCTCCTACAGCAGCTCTATTTTCTTTGTGGTTCTAGCTCCCATGTGATAGGCCTGCTATAGTTTCTGCTTCTGCTGAGTAATCCCAGATGCTACAACCTTAAGAGTCATATAATCTGATCCAGTTTCCTAATGTGTAAAACAGGGAGAGAATCTGCTCACATTATCTATTTCAAGAAAAAGAAAAATCCCTGGTTGTCTAGTGGTTAGGGGGAAAAAAACAAAGAATGTACATTAAAATTGTAAACAATAAAGTGCTGGACAAATAAGGAATTTAAGGGTATACGAATAAGGCAATATGGTGTAGCAGAAAAGAAAACAGGACTGGGGATAATAATTCTTGGTTCAAGATCTTGCTTTTCTGCAAATTGGAGACAACATTGTTGGTAATGTAGTGGTTGCAGAGACGCATCAATGAAAGTATTTGTGAAACTTTATATTATCAAGTATAAAAAGCTATACAAACAAATGAATTCGCTAGCTATAAGCAGAAAAAAACTTTATTTCTATCAAATTGAAAAGTATGAACCTTCAAGCAAGATAATCAACATAATCAATAATACAATTAACAGTTAGGATAGCATATACAGATCAGACTGGAGGTTTAGATACTTGGAAGCACATACACCAAAATTAAGAGGGCCAGCAACTGTCCCACCGAGGAAAAGCACTCTGACTCATCATAAACACACGACTTCTGGGAAACTTGAGCTGACATTTCACAGGACAGTAAACCAAAGAGACAGGTTGTCATTGGGTTATAGAACTGATCTGAGCTTGAGAGGGATCACAGTGAAATGCCATTGTAACTCAACAATTTCCCCAGAGATCTGTTCATCTCAAAAACAGGAATATATAAAAATCAGTAGTACAAATTCTCATAAAACTAGAAAAGCCCTTTAAGCCCTAATATCCTTGGAGCTTACATAAAGACTGAGTTTTCATTTTTCTTCCCTTTAGTCTTCCCTAAATTAAATACAAAATAGTTTGTTATTTAGGACATTTCTGACTATATAGCCAAAGCTTTAAAATGAAGACAAGAATAATTTTTATAAAATGAATTAGACACATATCAACCCTAGGGGGAATCTTCAAGGTGGTCTGCTCCTTTGAAAAGCTTTAAACAGGAAAGCTTTTATTTAAAGAATGACACTGTGCTTCTGGGAATAACCTAATTATTACCAGAGGAAGGAATTCATATCTATGCCATACAAGAGCTTTCATCCTTTAGAAATGTTTTACTGCAGTATCTCTCTCTCTCACACACACACCACACACACACAAAAATGATCAAATTGGGGAACTCCCTGAAACATACAGATAATGGCATTTATTCTGGCAAGAACTGTGCAAATTGTTACAAGAAAGATAAGGGATGGCAAGTATGAACAACTATATTTCAACAGATGCAGGAAGCAGATTTTTTTCACAGTTGAAATATGGCTTCTCAACCTCTGGGGCCTGCACACTTCTCATTTGGAAACCAGATTGGGTCAGTTACATGTGGAAAGAAATAACTTACTACCAGACCACATTTCCACATTAAAAGAAGTCTTTATTACTAGGTTATTTTTTTTAAAGACACCAAATAGACCAAGAGTTACTAAAAATTGAAGGAGATATTGAGAAAGCAAGTCATACTATGAACAGGACCTCACCTTATGAATTGCCTCTCTAGCAAAATCAACTGCAGAAAGGAAAGACACTGTCAAATGAAAGGTAATAAACAGAATTCTCAGGTGGACACAAATACCTACTGAAATCCTGTAACCCAGCAGAGTACAGATGAGACACGCCCTCTGTAGATACAGTGTGCAACTACCAGTGTGACTCTGAGTGCCCATTTCCTGTCTCTGCACCAAAGCACCAAAAACAGATTCCAGGCTGAAGCAAATATGTTGTTTTATCTGTTAAAGAGAACAGGGAGCTCAAACTAGGGAAAGGTATTAAAAAGGCCATTTGAGTTTCCTAATCCCTACAGGTACATGAAAACCCGTTTAAATAAACAGGATTATTTCCATTTATAATACAAGGAGGCAAGTTTAGATTATTACATATGTAATTGATGAGGATTTGATTAGCCAATGCATGTAATGTGCCTAACATGAAGTAAACAGACAGTACCTAGTGCCTATACCTGAACACACTTGGAAATATGTGGTATTTATTATTTGAGCAAAGACCTCCAGCAGGCTTCAACTCTTTGGACAAAAAGCTAATGTCAAATACTGAACTCAGGTTCCGGTGAACTAAACTTTATAAAAGCACTATTTATGGGTTTGTGCAGGTATCTTTCTAAAGTTATCCGGTCTCAACATCTTAAATAGCAGGAAAAACCACAGTGGCTCCTCGCTCCAAGAATCCTTCCTCACTGATGGCTATTCTTACCTTTCTCCTTCCCTACCAAAGAGATGGGCACACCTAGGGTAACAATGGAACTCATCTGAGTTTGGCTGCTAGAGGGCAGCAGGGGGGTGATCCCTGGGGAAGGACAAGACAGGAAGTGAATCTCCCCTGGTTACTGCCTCAACTGTTGCACGACAAGCAGATGGTGGGCAAAGGTTTGGATCTGGCATTCAGAGTCATGTTAATGTGTAATGGAATAGACAATGGTACAAAAGTCAGGAGTTAACCTGTGTTCAATGCTTCATCATTGCTTGTTTACCTACCAGCATTTTAGGAAGGATTAGTTTATCATCAAGGCCTTGTTTGGAGTGGGAGTAAGGGGGTGATTTGTTCTGATCTCAGGAAGGAAAAGTGAGCAGGATCTGGATAGCTCCAAGGAGCTCAAAAGCCTATGTGTGAGCACCATGGCTGGGGACGGCTCAAGGGTAAAGGCCACTTCGGGGCACAATCCAATGGACACCAAAAGGATAGGTAAGGAACACGAGCTTGCTTCCTTCATAGATTAGCCTGGGCCCAAGCCCAGCCTACTTTGACAGTCTTTTATTCTATTCATAAAGGAGGTCTTATGCAGGAAAACTAAGACTCTCATCTAGCAGCTTTCTTTTCTTAAGCTAAGAAAAAGGAATGTCATAAAAAGGTGAACATCACTTTGGTGAGCTCTGCTATTTTTTTTTTTTAAGAGAGAGGGTCTCGCTGTGTCGCCCAGGCTTGGGTGCAGAGGTGCAATCATAGCTCACTGCAGCCTCGAATTCCTAGGATCAAGCAATCCTCCTGCCTAAGTCTCCTGAGTAACTAGGACCATAAGTGTACACCACCATGACTGGCTAATTTTTTACTTTTCCGTAGAGATGGAGTCTTGTGATATTGCCCAGCCTGGTCTTGAACTTTTGGCCTCCGACAACCTTCCCATCATGGCTTCCCAAAGCATTGGGACTACAGACATGGACTAGCTCCATTTCTTGATGTGAGGCCATAAGCAGAACCAAGCAGACTCAAGGCCCTTGGTTGCTTGGACACAATTAGCTATTAATAACATCCAGGAAAAAGCTCAGTCTTCTGAGTCAGGAAAACCTGGGCTGGAGTCCTGGCTACACTGGTCACCAGCAGCAGAAGCCTGGGCAAGATGCTTCACATCCCTGGGACCCCTGTCTTCTTTGTTTATCAACGTGAAATCATGGCTGTTTCACAGGATGCTAGAAAGATTAAATGAGATGTTTATGAAGGTCCTAAAACCGCACATTTCACTCAGTAGGTTTTCAATAAACAGTACCTATCTTAAGTCTGCGTTAGTGTTGGAGGGTATTAAATACAGCAGCCTTTCCAAGTTCTAAGTAAGAAAGAAGCCTGTTAGGATAATGGAAGCAAATTGAATTAAGAGCTGGGTAGAATGACAGAATGCGAGGTCAGGTTGGCATCTTAGAAACCATCTGAACCACTCTCTTTGCTTAAAGGTGAAGGAACGGTCATGTGTGGCAATAGAAAAAAAAAAAACAAAACAAGAAAAGATGTCCCTTTAATTTTACTTTTGTCAAAACATTTTCAAGATTACTTTAATTTTTACAATATCATTTAAGGGAAAACTAGTGAGTTTGTTGAAGAAAACAAGAAACAGATTTTTTTAAAGCCATTGACCACGAAATAAGCATTATGTTTCAAAGACCATGAAAAAGTTATTTGTCTCTTTTTGGTCTCAACTAGCGAGGGAGGTGAGACCAAACTGCTCAACCGCTGGACAATCTCAGCAAACACACCCACTGTTGAGACTTATTGAGTGACTCAATGTTGGCTAGAATTGTCCATTTAGCTGGAGGGGAAGAGGGAGGGAAGGATGGATGGAGGAGTGAAGTATGGAAGCAGGGATCAGGCCACTTCCCGTACCTCTCCCAAACTCCAAAGGCAATGATCACATTGGAGGGTCAGCTAAACACAAAGGGAAGTGAAGAAAGAAGTTTGAAGATTTTCCTGTTTCCAAAAATCACATACTTTCCTCTTTTGAGTATTCTATAGAATAACTCTCTACATTTCCTAGTTTGTGGAAATTTTCTCTACGGCATAACTACTCTAAATTGTGCAATTTTCCTCATATCAGACTTATTTTTCTCTATACCTGGTTCCCTAGCAAACCTGAGCTTTATTTATATATCTGATATGCACCCCATCTCCACAGCTGGCATTCAATTGCAACTCTAAATTCTAAAGTGCTCAGAGTCAATATAATGCACTGACGATTCAGACCTGACTGGGCATTTTCACTGCATAAATCTAAAAAGTAAACAATCTCATTATGTTTGAGAGGATGGATGGGGAGAAAACTGATCTATATTTCCACTAAGGTAGCCAAGAAATATTCACATGAAGGGACAATGGGAGAGGAGCTGGCAAGAGTTTGGGCAGTACTTAGAAGGAAGATGCATTCCTTATCATATAGATTACATATGGCAGTGAATTGACAGAGGATTCACTGGGACATCTTCAGAAAGTAAGTAATGTGTTTCAACACCACTAAAGTGTTAAAATAGGCTTCTTTTCTTCTCGCCAGTATGAAAAGTTAGACAGGAGTCACTCCCAAGAATAGTAAAGGACACTCACTGGGGACAGTCATGATGGGTGAAGAAGGGATACATATTTTTAAGGCAGCAGGAATAAATTTCATCATCCTTCCCAGAAGACAGCAAGAATTATTCAAGGTGGCCACCAAGTCTGGAAACCAGGCAAATCTTTTAACAAATGGTTTATTGATATGTTATAATGAATGACAAAATATTAGTATCTAATTCTAGACTTTATGGCCACCCCATAGGATGAATCTTTGGAACAGAAAAAAAAAATAAAGAATTTGTTTTCTCATAATCATAAAGCTGTTATACTCAGTCCAGGCACAGCTAGTACAACATTCTGCTCAACCCCACAGGCTCCATTCCCTTTACCACATATTTATAATATGTTTGGGTCACTCATAGGAGTGAAACACTGTCAGCATCAATAGTTAGCAGCACTTTCAAAATACATTTTATTGTCCCGAATAGAAACCTTAACTATTCAATTAGTCCAGTAATTCCAAATGGTCTTATTACTTCTATACATAAGATATGATCTTACAACATTTATGTAGCTAAATACTTAACTTCCCATGCTTTTTGAGGATTCCCAAAAGACTTTAGGGGGTTCCCAAGACTTTCAGGGTTTTTTTTTTTTTTCACAATAAAAGAAAGGAACAGTGTCAATCCATAAAGTCAGACCAGCAGTTTAATAAGATCCTCTTCATAGCTCAGTTCTCAGTGCATACAGAGATTCAATATAGCCCCATCGCTCTCAGTTATTAGAATCTGAGAGGGATAAAAGCAATAACTATTGTTTAAAAGCCTAAGAGTGAAAACAGATGTCCAAAAAAAAAAAGAAAAAAAAAAGCCAAATTCTTTCATCCCAGGATGTCTGAAAAGGAGAGACTCTATGGAGCGTGGATGTAGAAAAGGAGTTATTCCTACCGGAAAAAAATGAACTGTGGACACAGTCACTCAAGACCAGAGAAACAACCACTATGAGTAAGTAGCTTCAATTTCACTGTTACCAGGAGGGCACACACCAGAAAGCCTGGGACAAAGCCTGGGCTAGAGCCCTCAGGATTCATTCTCAGGCTTCCTGGTGCTGTGGTTCAACAGCCTTTGTGGGGATGGGGAGAACCAGAGACTATCACCATCACATGTCAAAAATATTACCACAGCAACAGCTGTCAAAAACCAGCTGGAGCTGAAGTTACACACCATTTGAAATCCACACTGTACTTGCTTTCTTGTGATGGGCTTGAGACATGTGCAGAGACACCTTAAACATGTGTAGGTGACCAGCCTTTTGAAAGGCAGAGGAGGGCCTCTTCATGAACTCTTTCTACTCATTTGTTTTCCTATCAGTTCACCATTTCAACTAGAAAAGATGCTGCAAGCTACCTCAGCTAGCTTCTAATTTGGACACAGCACCAATACTACACACACTATTGAATGAATGACCACATCTTCCTGGTTCTTCCATTGGGCAGGGTCAATATGCTTCTTTGGACTGAATAGGTGTGATCTTGTTTGAGAAAAGTGTGTAAACGTAGGGCCAGATTTTGTTCGTCTCCGTTCCGGAAAATTGGTGGAGCACTCCTCGGCTCCTGAAAAACAAAGCCCAACATACAATGGCTTTTTAGGTTTCTTTTCCACGTATTAGTGCAGAAGATCCTAGATATAAAACAAGCATGATCTCATGGTCTATATCATATACCACACTAAGTGCTAAAACAGCCCCTTTCAAAGGTATCAACACCTCCACTGGGTGTACATAAATAAGGTCATAGCTTTTGCAATTCTGGTATGCTTGTCATGATGCCACCTTTTTTCTCCCCCTTTAAAACATATCAAAGAATAGCATTATAGGGGCCATTCCAAATGTGCCCCAATATATAATTTTCAAAAGCGAACCACTGAAAAGCTTTACTAAAACCTATATTACTTAGTCAATCATGGAATACATAATTGATGTATCATAATAATATGATCATAAAACTCTGATCTTAAGGTTTGCTAAATTTTGGGGGGGACTACAAGGCCAGAAAGTGATTGTAACAGAGTATAAACTGCTGTTTTGAATGCACTCAGCATAAAGTTTTGTTTGACTTGCATGTTATTTAAAAAATTTAAATATGTTGCCAATATGAAAACTGAGATTCCCCCTCACACACATACACACAGAAAACCAGATTTCTGCTATTCCTGAAAAATGGGAATCATTGGCCTGCGTGCCCTAGAATGATAACTGGCCGGAACAGCCCAAGACCTGTCACTCAACTGTCTAGCTTGACACATCCCCCACCATGTTTGAGACTCATTTCCAATACCTGCCCTAGCCCCTGCAGCCATTTGAATTTTTAATCTCTGGTTTACGGTTTTAGCCTTTTTTTGTTAAACTCCTTACAGACACTTCAAGAAGGGACACACCAAGTGTCTTCTAATCTTCTATCCAAACCATATATTTATATGTGGGAGTATCAACATATGTGGGACCACTATCTCAGTCACTTAAATTTTTAAGAAAATGAAAATAAATCTCAATGTTGTTTTACATCCAAAGCAGACAGAGATGATCAGGTTTGGGTCCTTATGTTCTAACAGTTTCAGGATAAAAGTATTGAACCTTATCTTTCATGTACAGCTCCAGCATTTCATCTGACTTCTGGGAAGGTTTTGGATCGCTAGTGTTTATCTGTCTTAAAGAAACACTACTCTGCCTCAGCCCCGTGTTCCTCCCAGCAGGCTCCACACCTTTCCAGTCTGTCCTTTGTCATGAAAATATTGAAGCACACTCACTTGTATAATTCAATGACTGGCTTTGCCACGTCTTTGTACTGTCTTAGCCTGGCAGCAACTGCTTCGGGTTTATCATCCTCCTGCTGGACTAACGGTTCACCAGTGACGTCATCAATACCCTACAAATACCAAATAAACCAATTAATATAGACAACAGTTGGGCCATTTCATAGGTTAAAAACTTTTCTGTGCAAAACCATGTATTCATCTTTAACTCCTACCACATGATGAATTAGGCCTTGGTGACAGTGGTAATTTTAAGAGTAGTAGAAAAAGAAATAGCACACTTAACAGTATGTTAACCTTATTTCCTGGGAGCTGACATTAAATCTTTATTAACAGTTCAGATCTTTTCAAACATGTTCCAGTGCTGTTGATAAATGGTACTTTCAATTCAGCCTAAAATTGCATGCAACCTCTCCTAACAACAAACCTTGTCATCTTGGTTCTCTAAATATCCCTAAAACTACCTTGTCTTCTAAAATAAAGCCTGAGTTCTTAATGCGGAAAACAAAATCTCAAAAAAACAACTTGGCTTACTTAGGAAAAATACTAATCTAGGAGAATACGGTTCAGTACCATCTCTGCCAGCTTTCCAATTCTATTCTGGAGCTTCTATGAAATTTCTCTTATTCAGGTTATTTTACTAGATCAAATAATGACATACACTGTAGGAACATACAGAAGGGAAAAAAAACTGAAGTGACTGTGTCCTCACCTAAATTATATTACTCAAAAGGTAAGCTGGTGTTGGATTTGTTAAATCCTTTATTTTAGCTTTTCCTATGTGTTGCTTCTTTCTCAATGTAAAACAAAAAATATACCTTAACTGCTAGTTCTGATTAATACAGGTTTTATTTTATTTATTTATTTATTTTAAGACGGAGTCTCACTCTGTTGCCCAGGCTGGAGTGCAATGGCTCGATCTCGGCTCACTGCAACCTCCGCCTCCCGGGTTCAAGTGATTCTCCTGCCTCAGCCGAACAGGTGGGATTACAGGTGCCTGCCACCATGCCCAGCTAATTTTTGTATTTTTAGTAGAGACAGTGTGGTTCACCACGTTGGTCAGGCTGGTCTCGAACTCCTGACCTGAGGTGATCCACCTGCCTTGGCCTCCCAAAGTGCTGGTATTACAGGCATAAGCCACTGCGCCTGGCTGGTTTTATGTATTTGATTTGAAAATGTATATGATTTTCTGCAGTATGTTTGTCTAATTATTTTGCTAGCTTTCTATTCCCCCCCAAAATCTCATGAAGGACATTATAATAAAGTTATAGCTGATATCATACATAAGGTTAAATATTGAATACACTTACTATAAGTTTGGGGAAAAAGGCAAGAACCCCCCCACTCTCATCATACGTGATAACATTTATCAGTTGGTTGGGGCGCAGTGGCTCATGCCTATAATCTCAGCACTTTGGGAGGCCAAGGCGGGCGGATCACTTAAGGTCAGGAGTTTGAGACCAGCCTGGCCAACATGGCAAAACCCCGTCTCTACTAAAAATACAAAAATTAGCCGGGTGTGGTGGCGGGTGCCTGTATTCTCAACTACTCGAGAGTCTGAGGCAGGAGAATCACTTGAACCCAGGGGCAAAGGTTGCAGTGAAATCGTGTCACTGCACTCCAGCCTGGGTGACAGAGCGAGACACTGTCTCAAAAAAATTTAAATAAAAATAATAAAAAATAAAAAATAACATTTATTTTAGTGAAACTCTTAACCACTAAAATTAAGGAAAAGAGAAACAGAAGGCATGAATTAGAATATTTAAAAAATGACATATTTAAAGGTGTATTAAAATAGAAATTATTAAATTACCCATGACAATCAGGGACAAACATTCTGAGAACTGAAAAATTATAATTAAAAAAAAAACACCTTGATTTTCAATTTGTTTTAATCTCCCCAGGAATCATGCCTCCTTAAAATTGCAAAATGGACACGTTTTGAATTTTGCCTCCCACATCCATGACTATTACTCACCAGGGGAGATAGTCACAAGAAATAAACCTGTCAAAAGGTAGGCCAGAACAGAACTGAGAGGCACAGGCAACTCAACTGGATAATCAGAAACTGGCTATAAATTTGAAATGCACTAAAATTCCATTACAGCTCAGGGCCTTGGGTATATGACTTATTCTTATGATTTATGAGTAAGCCATGTAATTATCACATGTGTATTCTATGGTTGTTAACCCAACATGACAAGAGAGATGGGGATGGGAGAATATATTACCTCTATTGCCACCTTCTTTATTTTACTTACAGCCACAAGGCTCAGAAAGTCATTTCCAGAATTTCAGAGCATCAGCAAATACAACCCTGTTTCCAAAAAGCAGAATGATGCTAGAGCAACAGCGTCCCTCCTTCCCAGGGAATCCGGCTACCACTGACACAGGAGTTAAGAAGAAATCACTTAGGCAGATGGTAAGGGCATGGGAATCCTCAGTAAGGCTTTTCTCTTTAATGAAAAGCAGCCCCAAATCATTTTCTAACAAAGATCAGCCTGTAAAGTCGAGCTGCAGACATAGACAAGCAAGCTGGGAGCTTGCACGGGGGAATGCTGGCAGGAACTAGGGACTAGACATGTTCAAGATGGCGGCTCCATCTTCCCTTCTCTTTGTCAGCCACGTGTACTATCAGAAGCAGGACAGGGAGAGTTCATTTGTATAATAAGGTTAGGGTGGGGCCACCAGCCTTTCTCCAGCACTGTGTAAACATCATGCCTGATCCAAACAATCTGTGAGCCCTATGTAAATCAGACACCATCTCCTCACCCTGGACTATAAAATCCGGGGCATCCACCACCAGCTGGTCTTTTCCACTTGGAGCCCCTTCTATCTCTGTAGAGAGGGCTGTTTCTCTTTCTCTTCTCTTCTCTTCTGCCTATTAAACCTCCGCTCCTAAACTCCTTGCGTCCGTGTCCTAAATTTTCCTGGCATGAGATGACGAACCCCAGGGTATATATCCCAGACAACATAGCCACTTCACCACAGCTGGTAGAGCTGGTCTAGGTTAGCACTTTCACTATGGTCTTCAAAAGCAGCATGGTAATTGCAGATGTTCTTTGAGGGAAACCCAGGCTTTGAAAAGCAACTCAGTGGTAAGGCTTTTCAAATTTTATGAGAATCTCTGCGTCAGCAGGTCTGGACAAATGCAAAATATAAAGCGTCTGTGTTGGACTTCAGTTTTCCCATCTGTATTGTCAGAACTCCTTTTTTATTCCCACCCATTTTTCCCCCATCATAGCTTCTTGAGACAGATATCAGGAAGGGATCTAATACAAGAATTAGAAAATTTTTATGTTTTTTGGAGGTGGGAGGGAGGCCAGGTCTTACTCTGTCGCCCAGGCTGAAGTGCAGTGGCACAATCACAGCTCACTACAGCCTTGACCTCCCAGGCCAACAAGCCTGGCCTGCTTTTACATTTTTAAAAGAAGACTTCAAAAGGAGTGCTTAGTGAAAAAGTCTCACTGGGACTTTACTGACACAATGGCACCCAGGAGTTGGGAAGCCATTCTTAGCCCCTCGAAGAAATTTTCTATAGTAATTACTGACTCCATCTATATCCAAGTGTAATGTTTCCATAAAGACTAACCTAGTAAGGCATGTATTCCACATTTGAATAACAAGTAATACTATCTACCACCCAAAACTGGCGTTCACTATTATATGATAAAGACAGCTCAATCTGTCTTTATCAGATAGTCTTTATCATAAACCAAATAGTCTTTATCAAAAAAACAATAATTCTTTAAGAAAATTTGTTAAAATATCTTTACACATATACCTTTACACATGTCTAATTTTAGGTAACTGTATCAATGTTATACTTTGAACTGTTTAAGGGTAATCTTTTTATTCCTTTAGCCTTCCCTAGTCACTTAACTACCCACTCTGCACATCAACTATGATTCCTTTCCCTCATCCAGTTCCAGCCCAGGATACAGCCCTCATGACTTTCTCCCTGATCTTATAAAGCTATAGATCACACACTCACACACACAAACAGATATACATAAAGAGGTGTAGTCCCTGTTTTACAAAAATGGGATCATTCTGCTGTTTGCACTTCTCATTGAAAAATACTTTCAGGGCCATGCGCAGTGGCTCGTACCTGTCATCTCAGCACTTTGGGAGGCCAAGGCAGGTGGATCACTTGAGATCAGGGGTTCGAGACCAGCCTGGCTAGCATAGTGAAACCCTGTCTTTACTAAAAATACAAAAACTAGCCAGGCATGCTGGCACATGCCTGTAATCCCAGCTACTCAGGAGGCTGAGGCAGAAAAATCACTTGAACCCAGGAGGCGGACGTTGCAGTGAGCTGAGATCACGCCACTGCACTCCAGCCTGGGTGATGGAGCGAGACTCCATCTCAGAAAAGAAAATAAAAAAGAAAAACACTTTCAGAAGATTTCTCCATGTCAAAAAACTATAATGCTCACCTAGCAGAACGGCTGAAATCTAAAACACTTACTACACTAAATACTGGTGATGATATGGAGAAATAGAAACATTTATTGCTGGTGGAAATGCAAAATCAAATAACCAGTTTGGAAGACAATTTGCCAGTTACTCACAAAGCTAAAATATACACTTACAATCCAGCAATTACACTCCTTGGTCTTTACCCAAAATAGTTGAAAACTTACATTTTGCACAAAACTCTGCACGTGAATATTTGGAGCAGCTTTATTCATAAATGCCAAGACATGGAACCAAGATGTTCTTCAAAACGAATAAACTGTGGTACATCCATACAATGGAACATTATTCACTTACAAAAATAAATGAGCTACCAAGCCTCCAAAAAACACAGAATGTGTAGTGCATATCACTAAGTGAAAGGAGCCAAGTCTGATAAGTAGATATACTATATGATTCCAACGATATGACATTCTATAGAAGGCAAAATTATAAGGACAGTAAAAAGATCTGTAGTTTTCAGAAGTTTGGCGAAAATCAGGGAGGAATTAATAGGTAGAGCACAGGAAATATAAATTATAAGACCATGAAACTATTCTGTATAATGCAGTAATGATGGAAAAATGTCATGTCATTGTGCATTTGTGAAAATCCATAGACTATAAAAAACGAAAACGTCAATGCAAACTATGAATTTTAGTTAATAACTTTTCTATATTAGTTTATTAACTGTAACAAATGTACTACACTAATGCAAAATGCTAATAATGAAGAAGCTAGGGTGAGGGAGGGGATTTTCCATTTAATTTTTATGTAAACCTAAAGCTTATCTAAAAATCAAGTATATTAATTTTTAAGTAGTGCTAATTCATTCTTTTTACTGACTATATTATATTCCAAGATGGTATAAATATTCTCCAATGTATTTAACCATTCCACTACAGATGGACATTCATTTGCTTTTTTGAGATTTTTTTGGTTTTGTTTTTTGCCCACTACAGCAACATTGAAACAAGCATCAACCTATACATGACCTAACCTGCTAATGCTTCCATTTCCACAGCTATTCTCTTAAAAGTAGCCTGAATTAAATTATTTACTTAAAATTCTGAATGTACATTGTTATGTTGCTTTAAAAAGAGGCTAGTAATACTTCAGCTAACAAAAAAAGGGAGTATTATTTTCCCCAGATCCCACCAGCAATAGACTTTTAGTTTTATTTTTTAAATAAAATAAATATAATTATATACATTGTATACATATATTTATCAGTAATAAATATAAAATTAAAAATTTTTATATTTTGATTTTGCCAGTCCAATAGATCCAAAGTGATATCCTATTTAAATACTTAAATGTCCCTTCCCTGACAACTACATTTGAACATTTAAAAAATGTTTTTTGGTCATGTAGATTTGTTCTTTTTTGAATGGTCTACTCATATCCTTTTCTCCACTTTTCAATGGAAATTGTTTGTCTTTTTCTTGTCAGGTTGTGAAAGCACTTTGTATATTCTTACATGTACATGAGGTGGATTGAAGTCCAGGTTATATACCCTTCCGCTAGGAGGGTGAATCCAACGGCGGCTGAGACGATCTTTAAGTGTTTCAAATGGAATATTCAAACTGATCACTAGATCCACTTCACAGATTTTGTCCAGGGCTTCGGCTTGTCCTAATGTCCTAGGAAAACCTAAATGCAAAGAACAAAACAAGTGAAATGCAAGCTATTGCCCAGTTCCAATTAGTTCTTGAAACATTTTCAGTGACAGAATTAAATCTGCATATACCATTCTAAAAGGAGCTTTACACTATCTGGGTGATGGGATCATTTGCATCCCAAACCTTAGCACCACATAATAAATCCATGTCACAAACCTGCACATGTATCCTCTGAATCTAAAAGTTGAAATTATTTTTTAAAAATGAGCTTTAACCAAGAATATCTACCTCCATAAATGTAATATTAAAATAAAATATGCTATTCTATAACCTAGCTTCTGCATTTGGAAGACTCAAAGATTAAGGAATCATATGATAAAAATTTAAAATGCGCTAAACTAAAAATCACTAAACCAGTCCTGGCTCTAGTCCTTTCTCTGCTCTTAACTACCTGTGTCACCTCAGGCAAGTTACATCACCTCCATTTCCACTTCTGTTAAAAAAGTGAAGGGAAAGCATTTTATCTTACATCATTTTAACACTAGCCATTTATGAGTAGGTTCTTAGGTTAGCAAAAATAACTATATACATTTATTTTAGAGTCTAAATCAATTAAAGTATGATCCTCCATCCAGACCTTCACCTGAGTCTGCACTTTAACCAAGGTAGGCAATCTGATTAACAGCATGGTGACTATCATAAATACTGTATTGTACACTTGAAATGTGCTCAGAGTTGATTTTCAGGATTCTCGCCACACACATAAGAAATCATACCTATGTGAGATGATGGATATGTTAATTATTAAACCTAACTGTGGTAATCATTTCACACTGTATGTATCAAAGCATCACATTGTACACCTTAAATATATACACTTACTTGTCAAGTATACCGCGATAAAGCTGGAAAAAATTTGAAATTGTTTTAAGTCTATTTAAAGATTTTAAAAGGAACTAGAGTTTTTAAATCTATTGGGATAATGCAAAACTTATTCTTCCTACTTTTCTAAATGTGTGGAAATAACAAAATTAAAATTTGGGCTCATGGGCATCTCTTCCTTTTCTGATTTAAGTATAAGCTCTGGGTGACCTCAGGAGTTAGGTCATATGACCCCAAATTACACTTTTCTTCAGAGATTGACCTGTTTAAATGTAACTCCAGGTTTGGCTCTGGTGGGGCTACACAGTGGTAACTTTTTCCTAAACAAATCACTCCAGTTTATCTGCTCTGACAAAAATCTTGCTGGATCTACTATCATTTTCTAAAAAAATGTCTTTATATCCTAGTTAAAGAACCAGGTAGATGAAGAGCTGAAAGTATAATAAAAGATGCAACATCCAGAAGAGAAACTTTAAATCCATTCAGATAAGGATACCAGCCCATCTCTACCCTTTCAAAATTGGAAGTATCAAGATGACAACTTAAAAATGGGTATTCATGGCCCTGTAGCACTTACAATTCAAAGAATTCCTTTCCTTACTGCAGGAAGTTGGTGGCTCAAACATGAATATGCAGCACTGCATTGAAACCCCTAAGTCTGTGTGAATGCCAAGCTGATTTGAGTGCTCACTGAGTTGAATGTGACAAAATCCACCCACGCCACTGCTTCAGGTACCTATTGCTTGCTAACTCTCCAATGCTTCCTCCAAAGCCTTCCTTACTGCCTGTGAGCCATCCACATAAAGTCCCCTCTCAATGACTGTCAGGTTCTGCCTTTCCCTGGACAACTCACTCTTCACTACAATGTCAAGATGGCAATTGGAATAAAAAGTTGCCTGCAAGGCCAGGCACAGTCGCTCACACCTGTAATCTCAACACTTTAGGAGGCCGAGGCAGTGGGATCACTTGAGGCCAGGAATTCAAGGCCAGCCTGGGCAATGTAGAGAGAACCCATCTCTACCAAAAATAAAAATTAAAAAATTGCTTTTACTGGTGATGCATGCCTGTAGTTACAGGTACTTGGGAAGCTGAGGTGGGAGGATTACTTGAGCCCAAGGAGTTCAAGGCTGCAGTGAGCTACAATCACACTACTGCACTCCAGCCTGGGTGACAGAGTGAGATAGTGAGCTCCTGTCTCAAAAAGAAAAAAAAAAGAAGAAAAGAAAGAAAAGGAAGACAGAGAGAAAGAGAAAGAAAGAAAAAAGAAAAAAAAAGAAAGGTACCTACAGCCCAAACAACCTCAAGATCATCTATAAACTCTTTCCCCGCAAACCTCTGCCACATCAATGAAAAGCATTTTCTAAAGCAGTGGCTTCCAAAGTTATCTTCACTGAAGTACAGAAAGAAAATATTTGAACTTTGGGGAAGCGGGAGGCAGGGAGGGCTTGGCTCATTCTTTTAAAAGAATGTCGTATTAGTGGCCGGGCATGATGGCTCATGCCTGTAATCCCAGCACTTTGGGAAGCCCAGGCCGGTGGATCACTTGAGGCTAGGAGTTCGAGACCAGCCTGGCAAAACTCCATGTCTACTAAAAATACAAAAATTAGCTGGGCCTGGTGGCGCATGCCTGTAATCCCAGCCACTAGGGAGGCTGAGGTACGAGAATTGCTTGAACCTGGGAGGCAGAGGTTACAGTGAGCTGAGATTGTACCACTGCACTCCAGCCTGGGTGACAGAGTAAGACTGTCTAAAAAAAAAAAAGCACTGCAATCACATTAGTGAAACTGCATGGGTAAATAAATAATTTATACATAATTATCCATATATTGAAGATGTAAATTCAACCTTCTCACTGATAAATGTAAACAAAGAATTTTAGAGATCCCTCTTCTAAGACCTGAAAGCTTAGCCACAGTCTCTGCCTTGTGTTCTAGCATCACTAACTGTGACCTTGACAAGAAAACAGTCTTTATATCGGATAGAGGTTGAGAGCTGGGAGCGGGGGAAGCACTAGAAAAGAAAAGAACAGGAAGCTCTAAAAGATAACATAACATTAGTTCCTCCAACAAATAAAAGCTCAAATCTTATTGGCTAGTTTCTTTGTCTAATGAGGGTAACAAGCCAGTCTGCTCAGCTGAGCTCTAGAGCCCTCTGGAGGAGTAAAATGCAAAGTGTACAAAATAGGCTGAACTCAGCAAGAAAAATTTCAAAAACATGTTGGATAGCACCTGCTACCTACTGGACTCTCACATTCAGACCTGCTAAAGACCACAGATGATAATTAATTCCAGTGATTTAGACTACAAGCAACAGGTACCTAAAGCTGGTTTAGAAGGAACAACTATAGAAATAAACCATTCCACAACTTCAAGGGTTCTCCATTTGATGAGCACATCAAAATCACCAAGGAAGACTCAAAAGAAAAAATCAGGGTCGGACATGGTGGCTCACGCCTGTAATCCCAGCACTTTGGGAGGCCGAGGCGGGTGAATGACCTGAGATCAAGAGATCAAGACCATCCTGGCCAACTTGGTGAAACCCCATCTCTACTAAAAATATAAAAATTAGCCGGGCATGGTGGCAGGCGCCTGTAATCCCAGCTAATCAGGAGGCTAAGGCAGGAGAATCAATGAAACCCGGGAGGCGGAGATTGCAGTGAGTAGAGATCGTGCCACTGCACTCCAGCCTGGTGACAGAGCAAGACTCCGCCTCAAACAAAAAAAAAAGAAAGAAAGAAAGAAAAGAAAAGAAAAGAAAAAAAATCAATGATGATGGATGCTCAGATCCTGTCCCAGACTTTCCTAGAGTAGAACATCTAGGAGTGAGAGCAGGACTTGGGTATTTCTAATATTTACCCCGATTCATGACGAACCACCAAACTTCTCAGTGACAGCAACAGTGCAAGTATGACACTAAACACTTATCTGCCCCATTTTTCTGTCAGGCTTAACTCTACTTCTAAGTAGGTAACAAACCACTTTGAAGAACAAGTCGCCTCTATCTCACTTCATCAGAAGTGAGCTGGGAAGGAAAGTCCCAAACACATGCAAATCTTTCCAGATTTACGAACTCCCTAACTTAGTCACCTGTTTGTGACATTCTTCTCCAGAGGCTCTCATGTACTTGTGCAGTATCTTACCTCTAAGGAAAGTGGTGGCAGGGGAGGCAAGCATGGTATATTAGTAAGAACAATGGACCAGAAATAAGTCAAAGATCTGGGTGCCACTCACTATTTCAAAAGTGAGGAGAAATAGCCTTAAGGTAGACACATTCAGGACTCAATAACACATTAGGTATAAGCACAAGCTTTGGGAACAGACACACCTGGATTTAATGCCTAGATTTATCTCTACCTGTAATCAGACGCACCTGGATTTAATCCCGGGACTTTACCTAGCCGTAACTGTGAGAACTTTGGCAAGTTTCATATACTCTCAGATCCTTAGTTTCATCTACTCTCAGATCCTTAGTTTCATCAGATATGAAACAAGGGGCCGGGCACAGTGGCTCACGCCTGTAATCCTAGCACTCTGGGAGGCCAAGACGGGTGGATCACTTGCGGTCAGGAGTTCAAGACCAGCCTGGCCAACATGGCAAAACCCCATCTCTACTAAAAATACAAAAATAAGCCAGGCATGGTGGCCCACGCCTGTAATCTCAGCTACTCAGGAGGCTGAGGCAGGAGAATCACTTGAACCCGGAGGTGGAAGTTGTAGTGAGCCGAGATCGTGCCACTACACTCCAGCCTGGGCAACAGAGAGGGACTCCATCTCAAAACAAACAAACAAACAAACAACAACAACAACAAAAATGAGGGCACATTAGTTTGCTAGGGCTGCCACAGACTGGGTGGCTTAAACAATCCTGGAAGCTATAAGTCCAAGACCAAGGTATCAGCAGGGTTTGCTCCTTCAGAGGCCTCTAATTGATTCATAGATGGCTGTCTCTCCTGCTGCCTTCACATGGTCTTCACTCTATGTATCCACGTCCAAATGTCCTTTTCTTATAAGGACGCCAGTCAGATTGGATTGGGGCCCACCCTAATGACCTCATTTGAAGTTAATCACCTCTTTACAGACCTTCTCTCTAAATATAGTCACAATCTGAGGTACTGGGGGGGCAGTTAGGGCTTCAACACAGGAATTCGGGGTCAGAGGACACACCCACAACTCAGCCCATGACAAAGGGTAATGCCTACTGCACAGGGCAGTTTGAGGATTAAAAGTGACAATCCCTGTCAAATGTATAAGATGCAAAGTGCTGGGCACATGGAGAGTGTGCTGATTAATAAACGGTTGCTGCTGCTCTTGGTAGAGCTCACCTAGGAGCTCAGCTCATTTCCCAATTCAATAAAAACGCAGCAGCAGGAAAGAAAGGCCCTCATCCACCCACATTTAATTCCTTTTCTGGGTTTTTTCTAAGAGCTTGGGGAGTCCCTGGTGCTCTCTGTGGCAGTTACAGCTCAGCACAGGTAGTCATGAGTCACAGGGAGCTCAACCCCAGCACAGCACAGAACCTGGGCACAACACAGCCACTACTTCCATAAGCCTCCTTCCACTGGTTTTCAGTTTGCCCCTTTCATCACCTACCTGACTCTTTAATAGTAAAGCTCCTTAATCTACTTTCCTGATCTGGTTCAATACCTTATCACGGTGAGGTTTCATTTGGGTTACAGATGGATAAATTCAACACAAAGACTCACTCTTAAGCTGTTGATAATACAAGTGTACCTTGAGGTAGCAACATGGTATAACTTCCAAGGAACTAGTGCACGTGCAGGCTGTGTTAACTGTAACTAAGGATCCAAATCAAGAAAAGTGGCAGCTTTGTGGTATTTTCTGTAGTGAGTGCCCTTTTCTAGAAGCATTCACAAAGACAAGACAACTGTGCCTTGGAAGGAGCTGGACTACATGGCTTCCAAGTCTGCAACTCAGCAAACATAGCCTTTATGCTTCACATATACTAAACTGTTCACAAAGCATTTCTATAAATTTACTTACCTCTTACTCTTCTCATTAACCCTATGAGGTGGATAGAGAAGTTATTAGCCTCAGTTTAATTAAGCTTGGATTCAGTGAAAGCCAACAGCACAATGCATATGACATCTGGTCCTTAGATTTCTGCTAAAGTGTTCTCTCTTTCTATGCAACGATGCTGCTGTATCAGGCATATAAAAAGTAATTGTTAAAAAGAATCCTCCAGCCTGGGCAACATAGTGAGACCTCATCTCTACAAAAAGTACAAAAATTAGGTGGGCGTGGTAGTGCCCGTCTGTAGTCCCAGCTACTTGGGAGGCTGAGGTAGAAGGATTGCATAAGCCCAGCAGGTTGAGGCTGCAGTGAGCTGTGACTGTGCCACTGCACTACAGCCTAGGTGACAGACCAAGATCCTGTCTCAAAATAAAATAAAATAAAATAAAAAGTTGGGTGGGTGAGCATGGGTGGATCCTAGGCTGAGCACAGTGGCTCATCCCAGCACTTTGGGAGATTAAGGTGGGAAGATCACCTGAGCCCAGGAGGCAGAGGTTGCAGTGCACTGAGATCGCGCCACTGAATTCCAGCCTGGGAGACACAGGGAAACCCTGTCTCAAAAAAAAAAAAGAATCCTAAAATGTTACCCTGTCTATCTTTCTTCTACCTACCTAAAAAGCAGGGCATCATGGTGGCATCCTTATAACACAGTTACCATTTGTAGAGCATCCCTTATGTGCCAGATATATTACATGCAGAGGAAAAGCCAAAATTGTACAGGCTTGCAAAGGCCTACCCATCTGGGCCCCTGTCCTGCCACCTCTCTCACCTCATTTCTCTGTCCACGTCTCCGTGCCAGCCATACCGGCATCCTTGCAGCTCTCAAGCAGGTGCCCACCCTGGACATTCACAGTTCATATTCCCTCTGCTTTTGCTCCAGATACCCATGTGTATCCTCAGCTCTTCCAAATCTTGGCTCCAGTGGTGCCTTGTTAAGACTTTTCTAACTGTCCTGTTAAACTGCACCTCTACCACACGCCAACACTCCTATTCACCCTTTATTTTCTTTTTGTTTTCCTTCAGAATATTCATCACCATTTGCCATATATGATTTACCTTATTTTTTAAGTGTTTCTATTCCTACCAGAAGTAAACTAAATTAGAGTAGAACATTTTAAGTTCTTGTTTACTGCTATAACCTTAGTGCTGTAAGCGTGCTTTGCACACAGTAAGTGCCGAATGAAAATATTTGTTGAATGAGTAAATATTATCTCAAAAGTAACAATAATTCTGTCAGGTAGGCCTTATCCCCATTTTAAAACTGTAAAAACCAATGCTGGGAAAAGTGAAGTGACTTGCTCAAGATCACATGATAAGTGACTAATCTAGCTTTAAATCAAGTGCTATTTGTCTCTACAATCACACGCCATGTACCACACCATGCTGTCTTCCTCCTGAACAGAAAACTGCAGACTGTGAGAAGCAAATTCTCAGACAGGGAGAAATGCCTGATCCTGATGTCTCTGACAGGCAGCTTACAAAACGACTTGAGAAATCTAAATCTTGTATGGCTTCAGGAACCGCCTGATCCAGTGCTACACGCACAGACCAGATTTTCTCCCCACATACACACAACAAATGTTCTGCATCTTGCTTTTTCTCTTTGGAGATTTTTTTCTTCATATTACATATTACTGTCTCATTCTCTTCTGCAGAGACAGGGTCTTGGTTTGTGCCCTAGGCTGGTCTTGAACTCCTGGCCTCAAACAATCCTGTTGCCTCAGCTTCCCAAAGTGCTGGGAATCATTCTCTTTAATAACTGCAGAGTACAGCATGGTTTAGATAGAGCATAATTTAACCAATCCCCTAATGGTGGACATCCAAGTTGTTTCCAGTCATACTGCAATGAGCATCTTTGCACATGACCTGAAACACATGACTAAGGAAAAGTTGATTCACAGGAATATAGATCCAGAGGCAAGCTGCCTATGTTTGAGGTCCAGCTAAGCCACTTACTTGTGACCCTGGTTGCTTAACCTCTCTGTGCCTATGAAAATAGTAATACCTAATTCATAAAGTCATTGTGAGAAATAAGCAAATTACTATATGTAAATTCCAGAATAGTGGCTGGCTCAGGATAAATTGCATGGCAGGGGGCGGACGGTACTGGGAAAAAATGAAGGCAATGTGGGACTGGAGGTAAAAAGACAAACAGCAGGTTTGAGAAGAAAGATATGAAGGATAAAGATAGATTTGAGCTTTTAGAAAAGGATGAAAGACACACTAGGAGACAGAATAATAATACCACCACCACCATCACCCAACATGAGATTTTCACATAGGAGAAAGTCCTCGGTAACAGAAAAGACAAGAAAGAAAGTAGCATCCTAAGGGGAAATCTAGGTTTTCTTTAATACAGAAAGTGGAGACTTCTGCAAATAGCATGTGTATGTGGCGAGGAGGGTGGGGGAAACTGTTAAGGAAAAAGGATTCCAGAGGGTACGGTGAGGAGGGGAATCAATAATAAAGAAACCGAAGCGGATATAAAAGAAAGGAGAACAGGAGGATGGCTTACCTTCCTCTCAGAAATGAAAGGCAGAGTTGGAAGTGACTGGCCTCAAAGAGTGCCACTTTCAGGGCGAGTGTGGTGTCCTAGACCCAGCAATGGTCACAGAGGCCCTGGGGATAGGCTAAGGCTGCCTCCAAAGTTTGGGGTGCTGTGTCACAGGTCCTGAAAAGGGGCTCTCTCTCACTCTGGTTAGACATAAGGGCAAGTGCTCTACCAAGTAAGTAGTAGTATTTATTCATCTACAAGACTTTTAAAATATGGATACTCAGCCGAGAAGAATGGTCAACACCTACAGTCCCAGCATTTTGAGAGGATTTCACTTGAGCCCAGGATTTTGAGACCAGCCTGGGCAACAAAGTGAGATCCTGTCTCTACAAAATAATTTAAAATTAGCCAGGCATGGTGGTATATGCCTTTAGTCCCAGCTACTCAGGAGGCTGAGGCAGGAGGATCGCTTGAGTCCAGGAGGCCAAGGCTGCAGTGAGCCATGTTCATGCCACTGCACTCCAGCCTGGGTGACAGAGCAAGACTCTTATCTCAAAAAAAGAAAAAAAAGAAAAAGAAAAACATACTTTTCAGCCACAGATCCACTTTAAGGCTTCAGGGCATACAATATGAAATGGTGTCTTAAATGATGGATTCTATAAGGTAGCATGGGAGCTTCAGCATTCTTTAAATTGATCTACATCTGTGTCTCAAGTTGGGCTAAACAAATCAAAGCAATTCAGGTGTACTTCTCACACCAATCAGCCGCCAAGAACAGAATGTCAGATAAGGTACAGTCAGACCAGCACATTTTAAAGCATTTTTAGCTGAGGGTCATTATCCAGCCAGTAAGATCCCCTGTCGGCAGGGATCACTGACCAACTGGAGTAGAATGCACCCTCAAATTTTGTCAACAGGTGGCAGCATTTATAATTTTTCCATTTAGAGAGAATTACAAGTTGAAGTATGCTTTTACATTTACTAAAAGTAACACTCCAAGAAAGGCTTTCTAAATGACTGACTAGCGTTATTCTAGGTTCCTTAATTAGCCCATTCCAAATGTGAATATATTCCATTAATTGTTGAAGAAGTAGAAATGCCAAGAGCTAACGTAAAATAAAGATCATGTTTAAGCATGGACTGCTTGCTTTCCTCCCTTTAGCTCCTCAGAGGGTCTGTTCCACCGCATGCTTTATCATGCTTCCACACCAGACTATCGCTATCCCTCATCCCCTAACCAAGCCTAGAAAAGCTGCTCACTCTTTTCATTCAAACAGCCAATCCAGATTGAAAGCTGAAATTTTATATTTTTAAATTTCTTCCAGAATCTGTCTTGTTATATCACTAATTATGACATCTACAGGTTGTTTTTTTTAAGACCCCCCCCACAAAATATTTACTAAGTGCAGTGAGATATCATTAAATTCCTGACTGGTATTGTGTTCCCAGCAGTGCTGGCCACTGGGCCTTGGCACCTGCTCCTCCCAGCCATGCCAAGAACCCAAGGAAGGGCAGCTGAAGCAGGAGGTGCTGCGGCAACAAGCTGAGGCAGTGGTGGGGAATAGAAAGTAGGACACTTCTGTTTTTCTAATTTGGAGCGCATTCACTCTGCAGGAAGGGTGCAGAGCCAGAGTCCACCACCACGTTCCCAGGCAGCAAAGCAAGCCCTCCGCCTGATGGAAATGAAAGGGCAGTTCAGAAGGGCAACTTCCAACATCCGCCTGGGTTTGGCAGCTTGTGAAAAGGCTATGCGACATCAGCCCCCTTCCTACCTCCATTAAGATCTGGAGCTAACATAGTTGCTTCGGACCGCCCATCTCTTCCCAGTTGTTGAATAAGTAAGAACCAAGTTACAAATGCAAGCCATTGTTCATGACAATCAATCACTGATGATTAGCTTAAAGTTGAAAGCAGGTGGTTGGTTATTCTTCCACAGCCTTCCCTAGCCCAGGAGTTCAAATCACTCACATCACCAACTGGAAGCCTTAGTAGCAAATTAATTACCACCAAAACCTGCTTCATAAAGGCCTTTTCTCTCTCCTATCGTATACTTTCCTTATCTGTTTACACAATGTTTATTTGTACATGTATCAAAGACCTCCATATTCCATGTCATCCAGTTATTATTAACAGATGGTGAAAAGAAGCAGCAGCTGTCCTACTACGAAAAAGTAAAAAAACAACAAATGCCAGCAAGGTTGCAGAGAAACAGGAACACTTACACACTGCTAGTGGGAATGTAAATTAGTGCAGCCACTGTGGAAAGCACTGTGGAGATTTCCCAAAGAACTTACGACTATCAGCAAAACTATTATTGGGTATACACCCAAAGGAAAATAAATTGTTCTACCAAAAAGACACATGTACTTGTATGTTCATCACAGTACTATTCACCATAGCAAAAACATGGAATCATCCAAGATACCCATCAATGATGGACTGGATAAAGAAATGTGGTATATATTCCATATACCATGGAATACTATGCAGCCGTAATAAGAATGAGATCATGTCCCTTGTAGCAACATGGATGCAGCTGGAGGCCATTAGCCTAAGAGAACTAACTCAAGACCAGAAAACCAAATACCATGTGTTCTCACTTATAAGGGGTAGCTAATCATTGAATACACATGGGCACAAAGGTGGGCACAGCAGACAACAGGGACTGCTTGAACCAGGACCAGGGTGCAGGTTGGAAAGCTACCTATCAGGTACTACGCTACCTTGGTGACAGGATCATCTGTACACGAAATTTACCCGTGTAACGAACCTGCACATGTATCCCCTAAACCTAAAATGAAAGTAGAAGGAAAAAAAAAAAAAAAACAGCAGCTGTGCTCCAGATGTCAGCAACTGAAGTTTATGCTTCCTCCTACCACTCTGTGAGCCCCACACTCCCCACAGTGCTGAGAGCTCTAGAACCCACTTCCTGCTCATGGCAGCTTCCTGGGACACTAGTTATAGATCCCAGGGTTTAAGAGATTTGAAATAAGTGGGTCCTGCCCTCAGGAAGCTTATAGGTTAATAGAAAAAGACCCCAAAGCTGAGATGGGAGGACTTCTTGTGCCCAAGGGACTGAGGATGCAGTGAGCTGTGATCGTGCCACTGCACTCCAGCGTGGGTGACAGGGCAAGATAGAGGCAAGAAGGGAGGTAGGGAGGAAGGGAGGAGGAAGGAAAAGAAAGAAAAAGAAAAAGACTTTAAAAACCTAGATATGCTACAATCACTACTTGGTGATCCACTGATAAGCAGAAGATAAGTACTCCAGAAAATTTGGTTTTAAACCACAAGTGTGCATCTTCAAAGAGGCTTAGGGAAATAAAAGATAAATTCCTTTCAGGTAGGAATTCTTGGGGAAATTCCCAAATGGCTTCACTGAGATCCTCTGGGATCATCGCGAGGATTTTTCCTGAATAAAGACACAGATAAAACTGTTACCTTATAACCCTTGTTCTTAAGTAAGTTATACTAAAATCACTGAGCCCTTTTCCCATAAGGGAAAATGCATATTCCATTGAGGAAGGAGCTGTCATCTACAAACCCCTTGCTTAAAGCCTCTTCTGTTTAAGAATTCTGCGTGGTTTGTTTCTTTTGTTTTGTTTGAGACAGGGTCTCGCTGTCACCCAGGAAGGAGGGCAGTGATGCGATCATAGCTCACTGCAATCTCTAACTCCTGGGCTTAAGGGTTCCTCTTGCCTCAGCCACCCCCCACCCAAGTAGCTGGACTACAAGCAAACATCGCCACACCTGGACATTGGTTTTGTGTGTGTGTGTTTGTGTGTGTGCGCACGCACGTGCACACACGCACACGCAGATGGGGTCTGGCTTTGTTAACCAGGCTGGACTCAAGTGATTCTCCTCTTTGGCCTCTCAAAGTGCTGGGATTATAGGCACAAGCCACCGCGTCCGGCCTGCTTGCTTGTTCTTTGAATATAAGTCCCCATACACAAATTAGGGGAAAACCGGTCCCACTGTATCTCAATTAAGACTAAAGAAATTTGTAAATGATTTCACCATAGGCCCATATTTTTATCCCCAGAAAAGTAACAGAATTCAAGTATACCTTCTAAAGGCTCAGCTACAGATTGCAGGCATGACCTGTCTGCAACTGGATGTACAAGTCTTTACTATATGCCAAGCACTGTTATAGGTACTGGCAATATAGCCATGAACAAAATGGATATAACCTGTGCTTTCTGGGGCCTGCACTGGGGGTGGAGGGATAGGGGAGGAATGGAAAATCGAATATGCTCATAAATACATAATGTCACATTATAATAATGTAAGGAGAGTGACGTAGGTAGACAGAATGGTACAAGACAGACCTTCTGAGGAAGGGTTATCTGTGTAGGGATCTGTATCCAGCGATCCACACGGATATCTGGAGACAGGGCACTGCCGGTAGAGGGAACAGTAAGTGCAAGGGCCCACAGCACAGGTGCATGGCACATACAGGTTGAAAAATAATCAAACAGTTATGGAATATAAACAAAGTTTCATTCTCTCCTGCCCTCAAAATAAAAGATATGAGTGTGCCTGAAAGTAGAAGGAAACACAGAAGCAAGAAAAATTTAAAGTATAAAGACAAAAAATAGTCAATAGAATATCCAATATAACTAGTATTATTGAAATAGAAATCTGAACAAATGACAAAAAGGATATAACACAGGAAAACTTCCCTGAAAGGAAAGAACTGAATTGCAGATCAGGAGGATACACTCTATATAGGACATAAATAAATAACAACAACATCAAGTTATTCTACTGACTTCAAGTATGAAGAAATAACTCTTTAGAAAGTCTATACGGGGTGAAAAAAAATCACCTTGAAACAGGTGGAAAAGGGCTGTGCATAGTGGCTCACGCCTGTAAATCCAAGTACTTTGGAGAGCTGAGGCAGGAAGATTGCTTGAGCCTAAGAGTTCAAGACCAGCCTGGGCAACATAGCAAGACCCTGTCTAAACAAAAAATAAAAAACTAGCTGGGCACAGCAGCATACACCTGTAGTCCTAGCTACTTGGGAGGCTGAGGCGGGAGGATCCAGGAGTTTGAGAGTGCAGCAAGCTATTAACACGACTGCACCATCGCACTCTTGCCTGGGTGCCAGAGCAAGACCTGTCTCTATTTAACAAATAAAAATAAAATAAAATGGGGAACCAGGCCAGAAGAAAATGTAACAATGGTTGCAATGTTTTGAAAGACACAAGAACAACTCAAAAATATCAGTTAGCTAATTTTAAAAAATTAGACATTCTCAAACATATTATGAGCTCTTCTGCAGGGAGGGGAGAGGAGGGAGGGACGAAAAAAATATCCAGCAAAATCCAGTCAACCCAGTGTTGAATGAAAAAGCTGTGTTAAACAGCAGTGCACCTTTACTCAGATACAGTTCACGTACCATACAATTAATTCATTTAAAGTGTACATTTCAATGATTTCTAGTATATTCACAGAGATATAACCAAGAGATTAATCAAAATAAAATGAGTAGAGGTGGGTAAAAGAACCAGTGCACAGAATTCACCTAAATTTTTTTAATGTAAGAAACTGAGGAATTACATTTGCAGAAGAAAACTGTAATAAATTTTTAATGACAAAAGCCAACAAAAACTGGGAGAGATGAAGGGTAAGAGGAGGTTAAAGGAAGTATAAGTTCCCTCAGGGTTCACTGTGGAGACAATGCCTCCTGTCTAAATTTGAAATGTGAATTTAAAACAAAAGAAAACAAATATGTCAGTCTCCCAGTGGCTTTTATAATGTTGAAGAGCTCTCACAGGAATTAATATCCTTGGTGATGAACAAAGATTTATCTGAAGCTCCGTAATAACTCCTTCAGGTTCACTTTAGTTTTGTTACTGTTAAATTTGAGTAAAATTAAGGCTAGGTATGGTGGCTCACGCCTGGAATTCCAGCACTTTGGGAGGCCAAAGCGGGTGGGTCACTTGAGGTCAGTAGTTTGAGACCAGCCTGCCCAATATGGTGAAACCCTGTCTCTATCAAAAATGTAAAAAATTAGCCAGTCACGGTGGTGCGTGCCTGTAATCCCACTACTTGGGAGGCTGAGGCAGGAGAATCGCTTGAACCCAGGAGGTGGAGGTTGCAGTTAGCAGAGATTGTGCCACTGCACTCCAGCCTGGGCGACACAGCGAGACTCCATGTCAAAAAAAAAAAAAAATTCAGTAAGATTAAATACTTTTTTAAAGCATATAAAGTCTGATGCCTTCTTACACATTTCCATCTACATATGCGCACAGAGAGGTATCTAGAATGATGCTTTTCAACTGTTCACCCTGGTTGTTTCTGGCTGGTGGAATTTCAGGTGATTTGTTGCTTTCCGTTGCATTTTTCCATATGGCTTGGATGTTTTATAGTGATCATGTATTACAGAAAAAGATAAAATTAAATTCTCTGCAGTTTTCCACATCTCATTCTCCCTTTAGCCCTAATCAACCTGTCCATCTCTCCAAAATCTGGGTTCTCTTACTGGTGACAGGACAATCAAGAGTTTTACATTGTTTTGTTTTACATTACTACACAAGGTTTAATGGAGGAGGGGTGATTTTTTTTTTCTTTGAGATGGAATTTCACTCTCATTGCCCAGGCTGGAGTGCAATGGCACGGTCTCAGCTCACTGCAACCTCCGCCTCCCAGGTTCAAGCAATTCTCCTGCCTCAGCCCTCCCAAGTAGCTGGGATTACAGGTGCACACCACCACGCCTGGCTAATTTTTGTATTTTTAGTAGAGATGGGGTTTCACCATATTGGTCAGGCTGGTCTTGAACTCCTGATCTCAAGTGATCCACCCACCTCGTCCTCCAAAAGTGCTGGGATTACAGATGTGAGCCATCGCGCCAGGCCAAGAGGGGTGGTTTTATGCTTTGCCCAAATGTGCTTTATGAGGGGTGAATATGTTGATCCTTATTCATTAGAATGACAGTATTTTTTGTGAAGTTTCTCAGTAAGTTATTATTGAAATGTTAAGTCCTAACATCTATGTAAGTATCAAGGTATTTCTATTGGAGCTTAAAATCAATTATAATAAATAATAATATCAAATGTCTACCATTTGATGACCTATTTTCCAGAACTCCACTAAGAGTTTTACATTTGTTAGTCAATCCTCACAAACCTATGCCATGAACGTGCTAATTTCATGGATGAAGAAAAAGAATCCAAGAAAGAAAACTTTGCTTGCTCAAGACTATACAACTCGGCACAGTGGCTCATGACTGTAATCTCAGCACTCTGAGGGGCTGAGACAGGAGGATTGCTTGAGGATAGGAGTTCAAGACTAGCCTGGGCAACATAGCAAAATCCCATTTCTACAACAAGTTTTAAAATTGGCCAGGCGTAGTGGCCTGCATCTGTAGTCTCAGCTACTCAGGGAGCTGAGATGGGAGGATCAATCACTTGAACCCAGTTTGAGGCTGCAGTGAGCTATGATGGTGCCACTACACTCCAGTCTGGGTGACAGAGCACAACCCCATCTTAAAAAAAAAAAAAAAAAAAAAAAGACTACACAGCAGCTTGTAAGTTACAGACTGATATTCAGGTCTGATTCATAAACCCATGCTTTTTCTATCATGTTAATGTCTTCTTAGCATCATGGTTTGTGCATTGTAAGTGCACAATAATTATTATTAAATTAGCAATTAGCAAAGTATGCCCTCAAATGCCTTGAATGATGCTTTGTAATGAATTTTCTTAATTCATCCAATTCCCAGGAACTGGATGAATTACCTGTTTCATAAATTAGGGAAGCAGGTTCTCCTAACACCTAAACTTAGGAGTTGAAGTATTTCATCCTGTACCTTACTTTATCAACTTCTAATTAAGCAGCAATGGCAAATGGGCTAGGTGCATCTGAACATGTAAGTCAAGACACACCCAAATACAGAGAAACCACAGTTTAATGTCAAATGTAGATCTAAATTTAAAAGGTTAATAATCCAGTTAATTTTTATTTTATTTTATTTTATTTTTGAGACGGAGTCTCACTCAGTTGCCCAGGCTGGAGTGCAGTGGCGCGATCTCAGCTCACTGCAAGCTCTGCCTCCTGGGTTTGTGCTATTCTCCTGCCTCAGTCTCCTGAGTAGCTGGAACTACAGGCGCCTGCAACCACGCCCGGCTAATTTTTCGTATTTTTAGTAGAGGTGGGGTCTCACCGTGTTAGCCAGGACGGTCTCAATCTCCTGACCTTGTGATCCACCCATCTCAGCCTCCTAAATTGCTAGGATTACAAGCGTGAGCCACCACGCCCGGCCAATCCAGTTAATTTTTAAATGTTGGAAGTAGAGTTTAAAAATATGTTGTTCACACTTTTAAACTCAAAGTTTTAAATTTTACTTTTAACTCCCCCTCATTTTTAATATTAACTTTGATGCTTACTCAACTCCCTGTTTCTAAATTTCATGAAAGGTTAACTTTTGCCCCTGTCCACTTGTCCAGCCTCATCTGCTCATATTTTTAGCTCCAGGGTTACCCAACTACTTGTGGTTTCCAGAATACACCATGTTGTTTCATACCTCTAGAGCTTTTCCATGTGATCTTCCCTCCCTCTAAAATGTGCTTCATTCCCACCTTCCAATTATGGTTCTGGGTGTCAGCTTCTCCAGGAAGCCTTCCTAATACCTGCCTCCCTCACCTTCAAAAGAGGGTCAGTTACTTCCCTCTCTGCGCCAGCCATCACCTTTCACTCTCTCTTCACTGGTGCTCCCAAGACCCTACCTATTCTGCAACCATTTGTGCGGCACTCCTGGACTATGAGGTCAGGAAGCATGCTACTCCCTCTTGGGAATGACGGATGCCTAGCTTATCAAGACACAAAAAATGTATACTCAATTTGTTTATTGATCCATGAACCAAGCTTTGCTAGGGTCCAGTCAAATATGTGTATACATATGTTTTCCATATTGTCCCCTTAATGTTCCTTAATGTTAAAATCTAGTCAATCTCTGAGACACACATAAGATAAGCCACCATTGTCTACTATACTGTGGTACAACTGTTCCTCACCCCAAAGCAGCAGTCAGTTCAATCAGAAGAAAAACACTGGAAATGGACATGGAGGACACGAACGCAGGACAGAATCTATAACAAATGAGAAAGAGAAGAGATCCAAGGCTTTATCATGTTTTTCAGTCAGCTACTCTGAGCTCATATTGACAGCAAGGGTGCAGAACGTAGGAAAAGTCACTAAGAGAAAAAGTGAGTTATCAGGGTTTTGATTTAAATTAAAGAAATTAAAGATAACCCTCACTGCCTAGGGTAGCAAAAAAGCTGAAAACTGGCTGGGCCTGGTGGCTCACACCTGTAATCCCAGCACTTTGGGAGGCCGAGGTGGGCAGATCACGAGGTCAAGAGATGGAGACTATCCTGGCCAACATGGCGAAACCCCGTCTCTACTAAACATACAAAAATTAGCTGGGCGTGGTGGCACTGCCTGTAGTCCCAGCTACTTGGGAGGCTGAGGCAGGAGAATCGCTTGAACCCAAGAGGTGGAGGTTGCAGTGAGCCAAGATCGCGCCATTGCACTCAGCCTGGGACAGAGCGAGACTCCGTCTCAAAAAAAAAAAACAAAACCCAGCTGAAAACACCACTGGATTCTGAGTATCAGGAGAGCCAGGCCCCACCTAGTCTCTTTGTTGCTCTACTGTGGTGTCTGGCACACAGCTGCTGATCAATAAATACTTATCGAAAATTATGAATGCTTAGCACCAGAAGAAATGCATGCGATCACCTGGGAGCATTAACAAAGGAGTTGCAATAGCTTCAGTGCAATCAGCAGCTAGATACAAAGTCTGATCAGGCTGTGTACTTTGGATAAAGTGTGTAAGAAGATGGCAGTGTGCTAAAATTTCAGGTCACATGTCACCCAAATGTCTCTTCATAACTTAACCCCACTGAATAGTGGTATTTCCTGTGTAATTCAACCAGTATTACTCTGTTTAGAAAACTGTTACCTAGACCGGGCACGGTGGCTCACGCCTGTAATCACAGCACTTTGGGAGGCTGAGGTGGGCAGATCACCTGAGGTCAGGAGTTTGAGACCAGCCTGGCCAACAGAGTGAAACCCCGTCTCTACTAAAAATACAAAAAATTAGCCAGGCATAGTGGCAGGCACCTATAATCCCAGCTACTCAGGAGGCTGAAGCAGGAGAATCACCGGAGCCCGTGACGCAGAGGTTGCAGTGAGCCAAGATCGCACCATTGCACTCCAGCCTGGGCAGCAAAAACAAAATTCTGACAAAACAAAACAAAACAAAACAAAACAAAAACCTGTTACCTAGTCTTATGTGAAGTAGATACACTTTCTTCTTATTGCCCATCTTCTTCTAGCAGTCATGTGGTCTCTCTTAGTGCACTATTTAACTTGAAATTAATTATATGTCTACAAATTATTTTATTTGAGAATATCCAAATACTTATCATGTTAGAAAGTACGAGTATCTCTAATAGGAAAATCTGAAATCTGAAATGCTCCAAAATCCAAAATTTTGAGTGCCAACTTGATCCTCAAAGAAAATGCCTATTGGAGCATCTCAGATTTTGCATTTTTTTGGATTAGAGATACCCAACCAGTAAGTATAAGGCAGACATTCTAAAATCCAAAAAATCTGAAATCCAAAATACTTCTGGTCCCGAGCATTCTGGATAAGAGATACTCAAGCTATATAATCAAACATAGGTCTTGGGTTTTACAATTCTTTCTTCTAACATGATAAAAATTGTCAAACCTACTTTACAACACAAACTTAAAGACACAGCATTCAGGGGAACACTGTTACAGTTATCTGGTTACAAATTTTTTTTTTCTTTTTTGAGATGGAGTCGCCTGGGCTACTGCACTGTCACCTGGGCTAAAGTACAGTAGCACGATCTCGGCTCACTGCAACCTCCGCCTCCCAGGTTCAAGCGATTCTCCTGCCTTAGCCTCCCGAGTAGCTGGGACTACAAGCGCCCACCACCACGCACAGCTAATTTTTTGTATTTTTAATAAAGATGGGGTTTCACCATGTTGGCCAGGCTGGTCTCGAACTCCTGACCTCGTGACTCGCCCACCTCGGCCTCCCAAAGTGCTGGGATTACAGGCGTGAGCCACCGCACCCAGCCCAAAAATAATTTTTTTATGCAAACCAAACTCAACAAATAACTGCTGATCCTTCATGCAAACACACAGTAAAGAAATGCCTTGATCAAACTCTACCTTCAAAGTCCAGGGGGGAAAATGCCAACAAAGAAAATAACATTCATCTAAGGGTCACTGCCCAAATTCTTTTTTTTTTTTTTTTTTGAGGCGGAGTCTCGCTCTGTTGCCCAGGCTGGAGTGCAGTGGCACAATCTCGGCTCACTGCAGCTTTGACCTCCCCAGGTTCAGGCTCAGGTGATCCTCCCACCTCAGCCTCTGACAAGCTGTGAGTATAGACAGGCATGCACCACCATGCCCAGGTAATTTTTCTATATTTTTGTAGAGAGGGCTTTCATCGTGTTGCCCAGGCTGGTCTCAAACTCCTGGGCTCAAGTGATCCTCCTGCCTCTGTCTCCCAAACTGCTGGGATTACAAGCATAAGCTACCACACCCAACTGTCTCCTCAAATCAGAATTTTGGATGATGAAAAAAAAAAAACTGTCAGGCATATTTACATTGTCTTGGGGCATGGATAGAGTTTCCAAAAATGTAGCGCTAAGACTAATCTAAACACACACCCATCTTTTTTCATGCAATCATTTTGACCAAAAATGCCACTCCTTACTTGCAAAAATCATTCCACTTACCTCTTGGAACACCTCACCTGTACCATGTGTGGCTGAATATATGTCTCTGAACCCTCCTATGTCAGGAGCTCCCTGACAAGCTTAGTCTACCTCTAATCCTTCTTTTCCACACATTCTTCTTCACTGTCACCAGCCTAGTGCAAAGTTAGTCATACTTGCACTTTATTCACTTTAGAAATATTCAGGACCCATTAGATATAATAATGCTTACTGAATGAACAGAGCTACAATGAGAGGGGCAAATCATGGTTATGTCAAGAAGAACAATCCCAGTGAGGAACCAAACATTTTAATTGTGCAATCCACATTTGGCAGGCATAGATGGCCACAGCACCCTAGTAGAGCTCCACAAATTTTACAACTATTCTTCATTCTTTAGAAATCACCACAATTGCTTTAAACTTTCCATTCAAGATACCAGAATATACATCACTGCCTTAGTAACAACCTGAGATAGAAGGGTTATGTGGCTATGATTTTTCACGGCTAAATATTTAAAGATAAATGACTAAGATAAACTACTGCCCTCCTACACATAAACACATACACACAGGAAGAAAAAGCTGTTTTTTTAATTATGAAAGCAGAATTCTTCAGTAACCTTCTAAACAAATCTATTATACACTTTATTCTTGAAAGATACCCTAGACTCACAAGGGCAACAGAAGAAAAAAAATTACCCTTGGCATTTCCTAAAAGATGTGATTCAGAAGATACTGTTGGCTTTTTTCTATAGACATATGTCGCCCAGTGGGATGTGACACTCCTCAGAGGTCTGAATCAGAAGGAAAAATGTGGAGAGGATAAGGTCAGAGTTGTTATGTACTAGCCTCGTATGGTAAAACACATTCGCAAAATCAAGGCAAAATACTCTGGCTCCAGCATCTATAGTTTAGTTTCTGATCATACACCTACACCAAGGGCTCTAAGTGAGTGCGTAGCCAGGAACATCTCAAGTCTGAAATCATTTAGCTCTCAGGGAAAATAGACACAAACACTGCACACATTCAAACAACTCTGACTTATGCTAAAAACAGAATTACCTTCAGAAAGCACTTGTTAGTGTTCAACATTGCACAGAATGAAACAAACAAACCAGGTTCTAAATACAACTATGGACAAAATGATGACTCTCGTGCTAAAGGTTATCATTATTACCAATGAAAAGGATTAAATTACATTTCATTTACAATTCCAAAATTTAAGGTTGTTTTCTACAAAACCAAACTTTGAAATACCAGTTTAAAATATTTTGATAGTTACCCCTAAAATCATATGGCAGATAATTCTACTACATCTTGGTACATAAAGATAAATTAGAACCGATTTGGGGAACTTCTAGATTACTATTTCAAGGCACAAGTAAGCAGGCAAGTTTAGAAACGAAAAAAAACAGTTACTAATACATCTCTCTCTATGGCTATACCTCACTGCTGGCCTGATGTGGTTTGGCTGTGTCCCCACCCAAGTCTCATCTTTGAACTGTAGCTCCCACAATTCCCACGTGTCATGGGATGAACCTGGTAGGAGGTAACTGAATTATGGGGGCTGGTCTTTTCCGTGCTGTTCTCATGATAGTCAGTAAGTTTCATGAGATCTGATAGTTTTAAAAATGGGAGTTTCCCTGCCAAGCTGTCTCTCTTTGCCTGCTGCCATCCAGGTACGATGTGATTTGCTCCTCCTTGCCTTCTGCCACGATTGTGAGGCCTCCCAAGCCACGTGGAACTGTAAGTCCATTAAACCCTTTTTCTTGTATAAATTACCCAGTCTCGGGTATGTCTTTATCAGCAGTGTGAAAACGGTCTAATATGTGACCCTTTTTTAAAAAAGTGAAAAATTAGCCAGGTGCAGTGGCTCATGCCTGTAATCCCAGCACTTTGGGCAGCCGAGGCAGGCAGATCACTTGAGGCCAGTAGTTCAAGACAAGCCTGGCAAACATGGTGCAACCCCATCTCTACTAAAAATACAAAAAATTAGCCAGGCATGGTGGTGTGCACCTGTAATCCCAGCTACTCAGGAGGCTGAGGAAGGAGAATCGCTTGAACCCAGGAGGCAGAGGTTGCAGTGAACCAAGATATGCCACTGCACTCCAGCCTGGGTGACAGAGAGAGACTCCATCTCTAACAAAACAAAACAAAACAAGAATATTTCTTACCCAACTGGAAAGCACAGTGAAGGGAAGGTAGTGCTGAACTTTTTTTTTAGCAAGAGCAAAGCTGACCAAACCACAGAACACTCACCCTCCCTCCCCTCCCCACATCCCCACTTGGGGTTCCCTTGGCTTGGATCCACTCTACTCATTTCCACCCACCATTTGCAGGATGCCTCTCTACAGCCATATGGACCAAGATGATGAGTCATCTGTCATCAGAATGCCTTTTTCGACCTTTCCACATTCAATCACCTTTAGCACGCTCAACAGGCACGTCCTCCGCAGAGCATGTGCCTGTGTAACATAAGGAGTCTAAAGCTGAACATAGGAACCAGGCATCCCTCGCACTCCACACCTTGCCAAATGGATTTATTCCAGAGCTTTAAAGAAAAATCGCAACTGAAAAAGTGACCAGATGGGTTTTCAAGGAGAAAAATACTAACCAAATCACTTGGGAGGATGACGTACTTCACTAAAACAGGCCTATGATGTCAAAGAACTTCAGTTATTCAACCCTGAGAGGAAGTCATGGCAAAAGCAAGCACTGAAAAGATAGAGAAAACATTCCATAACTGAAACTGACTTTTATTCTGCCTGGCTAAATACTTTTAGAGCTATTTTTGAAGTGAACACTTCAAATAGTCACCCCCACCCAAAAAACTTCAGGACCTGTACACTAGTCACAAAATAATGACAAACACTCATACAGCACTTATATAAGGCAAGCACTCTTTTAAGCACTTTACATATATTTGCTCACTTTGCCCCTCTTTGCTAATTTGTGTTTCATGAGCAACCAGAGGCCCAGGGTCACACAGGCTGCCAGAAAGTGGCAGAGCGGGGATTCAAGTCAGGCAGTCTGGCAGCACCCGGGTCCATGCTCTCAATTATCACACTAACCCTCTTTCCAGGGGAGTTTAACACAGATGATCCTTTTTAAACACAGATTTTTAAGTTCCCTAAAACTATACAAATTCATTTTGCAAGATGAGAAGACTCACAATTTAAAAATGTAAACTAGAGAAATTACTGTTACGTGGTGGCAAAGTCAAAGTTTATCAGTCATGATGAATACCCAGACAAAAAGCACTGGGGGGTGCTATAGTTTGAATGTTCTCTCCAAAACTCATGTTGAAATTTAATTGCCAATTTAAAGGTATTGGGAGGTGGGGCCTTTAAGAGATGATCAGGTCATGAGAGCTCTGCCCTCATGGATGAATTAATGGGTTGGTTATCTCAGGAGTGGGCTCCTGATAAAAGCGTAAGTTTAACCCCTTATTCCCTCTCTTGTGTGAGCCTTCTCATCATGTGTTGCCTTCCAACACACAGCAAGAAGGCTCCCAACAAATGTGAGAACCATCGTCTTACTCTTCCCTGCCTCCAGAACTGTGAGAAATAAATTTATTTTCTTTATAAATTACCCAACCTGAGGTGTTCTGTTATAGCAGCACAAAACAGACTAAGACAAAAAATGGATACCAAGGAGTGGGGCTGTTTCCATAACAAATACCTAAAAATGCGGTCATAGCTTTGGAACCAAGTAATGGGTAGAGGCTGAAGAATTTGGAGGAAGCGGCTAGTAACACCCTAGATTGCCATGAATGATGCATCAAGGGCAATTCTGATGAGGACTCAGAAGAAGAGGGGAGCTGTAGGGAAGGTCTGAATCTTCTTAGAAATTACTCAGTGGGCCAGGCATGGTGTGGCTCACGCCTGTAATCCCAACACTTTGGGAGGCCGAGGTGGGCGGATCATCTGAGGTCATGAGTTCAAGACCAGCCTGGCCACCATGGTGAAACCCTGTCTCTTCTAAAAATACAAAAATTAGCTGGGCATGGTGGCACATGCCTATAGTCCCAGCTACTTGGGAGGCTGAGGCAAGAGAATTGCTTGAACCTGGGAGGTGGAGGTTGCAGTGAGCTGAGATCAGGCCATGGCACTCTGGCCTGGGCGACAGAGACTTCATCTCAAAAAAAAAAAGAAATTACTCAAGTGGTCATGACTGGCATATTAGCAGCAATTGGACAGTAAAGTCCATTCTGATGAGATCTCAGACAGAAATGGAAAAGAACATATTAGAAACTGGAGTAAAGGTTATTCTTGTTATACGGTTACAAAGACCTTGACAAATTTTGTCTGTGCCCTAGGGCTTTATGGACTGCAAAACTTAAGAGCAATGAACTAGGATATGTGGTGGAAGAAGTATCTTAAGCAGTAAAGCTTTCAAGCTGCTGTGTGGTTACTTTTAATTGCATAAAATGCAATGTGAGAGCAAAGAGACAATCAAATACAGTTGACCATTGAAGATACGGGTTTGAACTCTGAGGGCACACTTTATACAAACATTTTTTTCTTTTCTTTTGAAACAGGGTCTCACTCTGTCATCCAGGCTGGAGTGCAATGGTGTGATCATGCCTCACTGCTGCCTCAACCTCTCAGGCTAAAGTGATCCTCTCACCTCAGCTCCCAAGTAGCTGGGATTATAGGCACATGCCACCACACCCGGCTAATTTTTGTCGAGATGAGGTTTTGCAATGTTGCCCACGCTGGTCTCCTGGCCTCAAGTGATCTGCCCACCTCAGCTTCCCAAAGTGTTGGGATTACAGGTGTGAGCCACAACATGGGCCAAGGATTTTTTCAATAAATACAGTCGGGCCTCCATATCACTGGGTTCCACATTCGCAACCAAATGCATACAGTATTTGCAGGATGCAAAACCCTTGCACATGGAGGACTGACTTTTCATACCCATGGGTTCCACAGGGCCGACCGTGGGGCTTGAGTAAGCATGGATTTTGGTATGAGGGAGTGGTCCTGGAACCAATCCCTTCCCACACCCCTTACTGTCAGCAGATACTGAGGGATAACCATATAGTTAAAAGAGAAGCAAAACAGAAGAATTTGGAAAATTCTCGGCATGGCCATGTAAAGAGTGGAAAAGCATGTTCCAGAGGGAATATTAAGTGTGTGGTCAAACAACCTATTGCTAAAGAGATTAGCATGGCTAGAAGGAAGCCAGGTGCTATCAATCAAGACAATGGACAACAGACCTAAAAGGCATTTCGGAGATCTTCCAGACTGCCCCTCCCATCACAGACCCAGAGATCTAGGAGGGTAGAATGGTTTCAGAAGATGGATAGCATTCCTTGGCCTCCTCAACCATAACTCAAACAGCTTCAGGCGTGGCTCCACCTGCTCAGAAAGGGATAAGCCTTGGTGGCATCTCACAGAATGCAAGACCTACAGAGCATGGCTTCCTCCACCTAGATTTCAATGAATGCCCCTGGTAGGCCCAGGCAGAAATCTATTGCAGAACAGAGCCACTGCAGACAGCCCCCATTAGGACAATGCCCAGTGGAACTGTAGGGTCAAGGCTGCCCCAGAGTCCCCACTAGGGCAATGCCTAATGGAGCCATGGGAGTGGGCCACTGTCAACACCCCAGAACTGTAAATCCACCAGTATACAACTCCAACCCATGAGAGCTGCTGAGTGGATTGAACCCAGCAAAGCCACAGAGGGTGGGGCTTCTGAGGCCCTGGAAGCCCAACTCCCATCCCAGTGTGCCCAGGAGGCAGAATATGGAGTCCACAGAGATTATTCCCCATCTTTAAGACTTAATGTCTCCCCTGTTGGATTTTGGACTTATCGGTGACCACCTGCCCCTTTCTTCTTGCCTATTTCTTCCTTTGGAATGGGAATGTCCATCATACACCTTCCTACCATAGCATTTTGGAAGTAGATGACTTGCTTTGATTTCACAGGCTCACAGCTGAAGGGAATTTGTCTCAGGATGAATTGTACTTTATAAGTCTCACCCATGTCTGATTTAGCTTGGACTTTTGAGTTGATGCTAAGTTAAGACTTTGGGGGCTAATAGGATAGAATGAATATATTTTGCATGTGAGAAGGACACGAGTTGTTTTGGAGGGGGAGGTGGGTAGGGGCAGAATGCTAAGGTTTGAATGTCCCCTCCAAAACTCATGTTGAAATTTAATTGGCAATGAAATGTTATGGGAGATGGAGCCTTTAAGAGGTAATTAGGTCACAAAGGCTCTGCCCTCATGAATGAGTTAATGCTCTTATCACAGAAGTGGGTTCTAGATAAAACAATAGGCTCCTGATAAAAGGATAAGTTCGGCTCCCATTCCCTCTCAGAGGCATGCACTTCTTCCCCATTTGATGCCTTCTGCCATGGGATGATGCAGCAAGAAGGCCCTCATCAGATGCTGACACCATGCTCCTGGACTTTCCAGCCTCTAGAACCATGAGAAATAAATTTCTTTTCTTTATAAATTGCCCAGTCCAAAGTACTCTGTTGTAGCAGCAGAAAACAGACTAAGAAAAGGGCTAACTTCTGTGAGTTAAAAGTAGAGTCTAGAGAAATTAACATGCCTAGGTAAGGGCAGAGAGGGTGATGAAAGCTGAGAAACTCAAAAAGCCTGAAAGGCAATAAAAGAAAACCCTGGGGCTGTAGTACCTAACATCAGCCACAACTCCTATCAATTCTTTTTCCTCAATCCACTCTCTTATGAATGGTGCCTCCTTTCCATCCCACTGCTATTATTGCTTAAATTCAGGCCTTCGACATCCCTTAGTCCAGTTATTCCAATGATCTCTGGTTTGTAGTCACAACTCTCCTCCATGCCCCAGCACCTAATCTCTCCTGTGCTGCTAACAGAATAGTCTTTCTGAGAGAAATATGATCATATTATACCCCTACTTAACAACTCTTCAGTGCTCCCTAAAGCCAACAAAATCCAGTTCCACCATCTTTATGGCAAAATCAAAGGCTATCCACCCCAGGATTTCCTCTGCCAACCTCTGCTTGCAGGCTCAGAAAAAATACTAAGATAACTCATTCCCCTTTCACCCTGTTCACATTGTCCCTCTGCTGAAAAAAAAAAACCTACCTTCCCTATCCCCACTCATCTATCTGAGGACCATCTATCTATTCATCACTTTCCATACAGTTGTTCCAACCCCTCCTCCTACCAACAGAATAATTTTCTTCTTTGTGTCCTCAGAATACCACATATATAATGATTCTTTTATAGTGTCAGTAATAATGTCCTCTTATTTACCAATAATGCTGAAATAAACCTCCTTGCATCTTTAGGCAGAAATCCAGAATGGAACTGCTGGATCAGAAAGTATATATAATGCTAACTGCTCTACAAAGGTTGCTCATTTTATACTTTCAACAGTATTTGTTTCCTACATACTCAATAAAGGATTTTCCGATCTTCTATCTCTGTTAATCTGACAGGTGAAAAATAATAACTCATAATTGTATTTTGTGTGCCCTGTGGTGAATGAAAGAACCTCTGATTGAAGAGGAGTTATACTCAGGATGGCTTACGGAAACAAAAGGGCTGAAGCAATAACAGAAATTTAGTGAATATTTGCTTCAAGTCAGTGGTTCTCATGATGGTGATCTGGAGACAGAAGAAATAAGAGGCTTCACCACAATGGGTTCCTATCATGTTGCCAAATTGCAATATTAAATAAATGACAGAAAGTTTAGAAAATAAGGCATTTTCCATTCGGTAAGAAGTTAAGGGAGTGTGCAAGACCTTAACTGACTATTCCCAGAAATTCGGTTTACCCACAGTTTCAACTCACCATCAAGGAGCCAGTGCTGGCCACGCCTGTTCTCCAACTCGGACATCATTAGGCGTGTGATCACATGGTCTGGAACCAAAAGACTTTTCTCTATATACTGCTTTGCCATCTCACCAACTTCTATTAAAAAGACAAGAAAAAAAGAGGTATTCAAGAAAATTTCCCAAACACAAAGCTTACCAACTCTTAGTTTTGCCTTCTCTCCATCCTTCCTGATGTGGGAAGAAATTCCTAGGAAGTTGTAGACATGTTTTAAGTTTTTAAAATATTCACGTCAATAAGGTGGGACTGTTGCTTATTTAACACATTTATCTCCCAAAAAATTATAAAAGCAGCTCTTTGAGATAGCATAGCACCACCCCTCCTCCCGCCCCCCCCCCAAAAAAAGGAAGAAAGAAACAGTGGCCACGTGTGTGGCTCGTGCCTGTACTTCTGGTACTTTGGGAGGATGAGGTGGGAGGATCACTTAAGCCCAGGAGTTTGCACTTGCAGGGAGCTCAAGCTCATTGACTGCACTACTGAATGCCAGCCTGGGCAACAGGAGGAGACCCTGTCTCAAAAAAAAAAAAGAAAGAAAGAAACCAAGAAAGCAGGAAAGAAAGAAAGAAAGATAAATTGGTCAAGAAAAAAATAAGAGTAGAAAATAAAGTCAAGAAGCAGGATGGTACATAAAAAAGCTGATAAAGAGAAGCCCTGGATAATTCCTAGAGGTAGGCCACAAATTGGGCACTGAGCCTCTCAACAGTTTATGGTAACAAGGAACATGATCAACCACACAATGTACAGAAGACTAAAGGAAGATGAGAAGCACAACCATTTCTTACAGAGACCAAAGGAAAAAAAGTTCCAGTGATCTAAAAAGAATGCCACATAATACAAACAACAACAGCTTTACTTCTTTTCATCAACCTCAATATAAGCAGATGGAACCTTGCTGACACAATTGTAAAAGCAGCTGAGTGTTGTTAGTGGAATGCCAAGTTCATAAAAGGATGTGAAGTTTTAACAAAACCACATAAATACTTTCAGGAGAAAACTGCTTCTATCTTCATTTAAAACATTAATTTCCTATATGTAGAAATTGTGAGTTAGGTTCAGCAGAACAAACTATCAGTTTAAATCTGTACATTTCTAAGAACTAAATGTGTGGGGTGTGTGTGTGTGTGTGTGTGTGCACGCGTATGTGTTTTACCACAAATGAAATCCTCTGCTCTCTGGGGAACTTATAATGAATGCTAAGAATCACATTCTCAGCTGGGCGCAGTGGCTCATGCCTGTAATCCCAACACTTTGGGAAGCCGAGGCAGGCAGATCACCTGAGATCGGGAGTATGAGACCAGCCTGACCAACATGGAGAAACCCTGTCTCTACTAAAAATACAAAACTAGCCAGGCATGGTGGTGCATGCCTGTAATCCCAGCTACTCGGGAGGCTGAGGCATGAGAATCACTTGAACCCAGGAGGCGCAGGTTGCAGTGAGCCGAGATTGAGCCATTGCACTCCAGTCTGGGCAACAACTCCATCTCAAAAAAAAAAAAAAAAGAGAGAGAATCACATTCTCAACAGACCAATTCAGTTTTTTAAAAAACACAAAGAGCCAGGTGTGGTGGCTCACGCCTGTAATCCCAGCACTTTGGGAGGTCGAGGCAGGCGGATCACCTGAGGTCAAGAGTTCGAGACCAGCCTGGCTAACATGGTGAAATACCATCTCTACTAAAAAATACAAAAATTAGCTGAGTGTGGTGGTGGGTGCCTCTAATCCCAGCTACTTGGGAGGCTGAGACAGGAGAATCGCTTGAATCCAGTAGGCAGAGGTTGCAGTGAGCCAAGACTGCGCCACTGCACTGGGTGACAGAGCAAGACTCTATCGCAAAAAAAATAAAAATAAAAAAATAAATTAGGTGGCGGGCACCTATAATCCCAGCTACTCAGGAGGCTGAGGCAGGAGAATCACTTGAACCTGGGAGGCGGAGGTTGCAGTGAGCCAAGATCGTGCCACTGCATTTCAGCCCAGGCGACAGCGAGACTCCATCTCAAAAAAATATATAAGTAGGTCAGGCGCGGTGGCTCACGCCTGTAATCCCAGCACTTTGGGAGGCTGAGGTGGGTGGATCACGAGGTCAGGAGATCAAGACCATCCTGGCTAACACGGTGAAACCCCGTCTCTACTAAAAATACAAAAAATTAGCCAGGTGTGGTGATAGGCGCCTGTAGTCCCAGCTACTCGGGAGACTGAGGCAGGAGAATGGTGTGAACCCAGGAGGCGGAGCTTGCAGTGAGCCAAGATCACGCCACTGCACTCCAACCTGGGCGACAGAGCAAGACTCCATCTCAAACAAAAAATAAAAATAAAAATAAAAACACAAAGCGGAATTATATTACTAGAAAAAGGCTCAAGAATCATTTGACCCCACTTTCTTTTATTTTTATTTTTTTTGCTATGGAGTCTCACTGTCACCCAGGCTGGAATGCAGTAGTGTGATCTCTGCTCATCGCAACCTCTGCCTCCCGGGTTCAAGCGATTCTCCTGCCCCAGCCTCCCAAGTAGCTGGGATTATAGATGTGCGCCACCATGCCCAACTAATTTCTGTATTTTTAGTAGAGACAGGGTTTCACCATGTTGGCCAGGCTGGTCACCAATTCCTGACCTCAAGTGATCCGCCCACATCTGCCTCCCAAAGTGCTGGGATTACAGGCATGAGACACCATGCCTGGCCTCCCCACTTTCACCTTTAATTTAGGTAGAAGCCTTGCCTCCCCAGACTGAGTCTGTACCCCCAACCCCAACTTAAGCACTGAAAGATGGGCTGTGAAGGGCTCCATATCTCTTGAGTACTACCACTAGACAAGTAGCTCAAAACACAGGCCCAGTTGATGCAGATTCACTAACATGCTGCAAAAGGCGGAACAAGAAAGACAGCCACATTGGTGAATGTGACTGAACATGAATGTGAACAAGCCACATTCATTTGACTAGTATTATATTTATTGGCTACATACTCCATAACAGGTCATATTCTGGAGATGTAGCAGTGAATAAATAAAAGTTCCAGCTTACAGATATTTAAACCGTATTACTTCAAGAGCAACAACCACCACCATTAATTAAGTGCATACTATGTCCCAGGCACTGGGCTTTAAGTGCTTTATGTTATTTCATTTCATTTAATCTTCATAAGATCCTCACCTTCAGATAGAAGGTAATCCCAGCATTTTTTTATGACAGCTTTATTGTGATAATTCACACACTATAACATCTGCCATTTTTAAATGTAGGACTCAGCAGCTTTCAGTATAGTCTCAATGTTGTACAACCATCACCACTCCCTAATTTCAGAACACTTTCACTACTTCAGAAAGAAACCCTGACCCATTAGCAGTCACTCCTTCTTCTCATCTCCCTCTCGCCCCCAGCAACTACCAATCTTTCTGTCTGTAGATTTGCCTACCCTGGACACTTCTTTTTTTTTTTTTTTTTTTTTGAGACGGAGTCTCGCTCTGTCACCCACGCTGGAGTGCAGTGGCGCGATCTCGGCTCACTGCAAGCTCTGCCTCCTGGGTTCACACCATTCTCCTGCCTCAGCCTCTCCGAGTAGCTGGGACTACAGGCGCCCGCCACCATGCCCAGCTAATTTTTAGTATTTTTAGTAGAAACAGGGTTTCACCGTGGTCTCGATCTCCTGACCTCATGATCCGCCCGCCTCAGCCTCCCAAAGTGCTGGGATTACAAGCGTGAGCCACCGCGCCCGGCCTCCCTGGACACTTCTTATAAATGGAATCATAGTTTTCTGTGACTGTTTTCTTTCACTTAGCTTAATGTTTTCAATGTACCACGTATCCATATTTCACTCCTATTTATGGCTAAATAACATTTCATTGTATGGTTATGCCACATTTTATTCATACATATAATGGATATTTGGGTTGTTTCTACTTTTTGGCTATTATGAATAATGCTGTAGTGAATGTTCATATACATTGTGTGAGTGTATGTTTTCAGTTCTCTTGGGTAATACCTGTGTGGTATCTATGTTCTAGGTCTAAACAATCACTATCAGAAAAGATGCAAGGAGCAACTGACAACCTGGGTGCTGTCCCACTCTGCAATAGTCACGCCAGGCCCAGAGCCCCATTCTTAGTCTCATCCACCAAACTTTAAGGTAGATAAACAACAAATACACATCTTCCAAGGTGAAAGACCAAAATGTGTATTTTGCATTGTTTTCTAGAACTCCAGATCTAATTATATATTGAGGTATTTGTTCATTCACTTTCTGCCCCCTCTACTAGAAATTATTAGCTCAAAGAAGGAAAAGTTAAAACAGTTGGTTCAATGCCACATCCTCAGTGCTTAAAATATAGTCTGGCATATATTAGATGACCCATAAAAATGTGTTGCATGGGCCAGGCTGATGGTTCGTGCCTGTAATCCCAGTGCTTTGGGAGGCCAAGGTGGGTGGATCACTTATGGCCAGGAGTTTGAGACCAGCCTGGGCAACTCGTTGCCCTACTAAAAATACAAAAAAATTAGCTTGGTATGGTGATGCATGCCTGTAATCCCAGCTACTTGGGAGGCTAAGGCACAAGAATAGTTTGAACCCAAGAGGCAGAGGTTGCAGTGAGCCGAGATTGCACCACTGCACTACAGCCTGGGCGACAGAGCGAGACTCTGTCTCAAAAAATTAAGTTAAATTAAATTAAAATTTAAAAATTTAAAAAATATGTTGCATGAATGAACACCCTGAAGATAGGAGAATTTTCTTTTACCTTGCAAAAATCAATATGATCATCTTGGAGAGTTATTATAGAACCATTATCCCAAAATCAAATATGGCCCAACCTCACCAGATAGCAACCTTTTGAAAAGAGGTATGATACAAGCAAAGTGTGATCATGAGTTAAGATGGTCATATTAGGCCAGACACAGTAGCTCACGCCTGTAATCCCAGCACTTTGGGAGGCCAAGGTGGGCAGATCACCTGAGGTCAGGAGTTTGAGACCAGCCTGACCAACATGGAGAAACCCCGTCTCTACTAAAAATATAAAAATTTACCGGGTGTGGTGGCATGTGCCTATCTGTAATCCCAGCTACTGGGGAGGCTGAGGCAGAAGAGCTTGAGCCCAAGAGGCGGAGGTTACAGTGAGCCAAGATCACGCCAGCCTAGGTGACAGAGCAAGACTCCATCTCAAAAAAAAAAAAAAAAAGATGGTCATATTCGGTTTCACAGCCCAACCTTATTTCTTCAGCATTTCAAAACATGAATAGAAGTGAACCAGGTTGGGTAGGGGAAATGAGAAGAAGGAAACAGCAACAGCAAATGTTGCAGAGATGTGGGGCCCTTTGGTATACCTGGAAGAACTTCTTCAAGCACTGACAGTCAAAGAAAAGCCCACCACTAAGAGATGGTGCTAGATGGGCAGGATATGGAGCGTGAACTTTGAGGAATTTTAAATAGATAGTTTTAGAAATGCTATTCCTAGAGCCAAGACCAGCTACTGAAATCGTAGGGACTAGTACAAATTGAAGGTGTTCCTCTTGTTGGAAAATGAAGAATTTCAAGATGACAACAGCAGAGCACTAAACTACGCACGGGGCCTTACGTGCCTACATGGGTCGCAGGCCCTTGGAAATGTGACATTTGGATGTGGCATGGTGGAAGCAAAGGAGGCTGCGATAATAATCCAAGCACAAGATGAAGGCCTGAACTAAGCAGAAGCAGTGGAGGAAGACCTTCATGTGCCCCTTGAGAGAGAACCTTGAGTTAATTCAACACAAGCAGTACGACCCCAAGTTTAAAATAACTCTGTGGAAGACTTCCAGAGGCATCTTACTCTAATTTACTAATTGAAAGATCTAAGTGCAGCATACTTTTGCAGCTATTCCTGCCAGCTTTGGCTCTTCTCTGAAGCAGGGCAAGCAACATGTCCTCTAACCTGATACAAGATCAAACTTGTCCCACATATCTCAATCTCTACCATGAAAACCCAGAAAGATCCTCAGACAAAGCAAAATGACCTTAATATATCCGCATCTGAATGAAGACCTCATGACAACAGCAAACTACAATAAAACACCCTGTCAGAAGACTGAGGCCCATTTCGGAAAACTGGACCTTCATCTACCCTTGTCAGTTTGCTTGGAAGAGAAAGCAGCATCATTAAATGCTGATGATAGCATGCATGGACTTACCTGCTCTAATTTCTGAAGCAGTATTCCAAAGAAAGGCTGTGGACACACATACATGGTCCCACACAGCTTCTGAATCCTGAGTGTGTTCACACACACACATCACACACACAAATAATTCAGAAAACACTAGGAAGGTTTCAAATAAATGTAATAAATATAGGGTGCCCCAAAGAGGCCACTATCTTTGCCTTTTTCTTAAGTTTCACAACAAACCAACAAATAAATCCATCATGTGTTTATAAGATTAAACAAAACACCAATGATTAAGGCGACATATAAAAAATCTTTCTTCAGAAAAGGAAAGATGAAGTGTCAGATTCCAAACATTATATATAACAAAATTATGTGTTCATATAGAGAGAAAGATAGATGGATGGTATCATCCACAATGTTAAGTATATTAGAAGAAAATCAATGTTCTACATATCTTACAACAATATAAATTTTGTGGCAATTCATCTTAACAACCTATTCCATTCAATCACTACTAAATTCAAATAGATATAATCTTGGTAACCTTGAGAAATATATATTTTCAATTTCTAACTAGATCAGATAATATACAAATTTTCAGGATTTAAGACTATTAAACTGTGCATTAAGATAATACCGCATTTAAAATTATACGATAACACAAAACTTAAGACTATCTATTAAGTTGGTCATCTCTCCAAAATTCATGCTTCCAGGATATGGAAAGATATTTTGTTAGCCTCAATTCCTACACATTAAAGCTGTCCACATTTATATCAACAGACTGAAATAGATCACTGTATTCAGGGCAGCACATATGCCAAAACACTGTCAACTGCTGAAGGAGTAGGATGTTGGACTCACATTCTGCATCATCTTAAGGCTGGTTAAAAAGAAAAGACCTGTAAGTAGAAGAGCCAATAAGCAGATGACATTTCTTTAGAAAAACCATGAGAACACAGACACATACATACACACACACACACACACACACACACACACACACACACACACACGGATATTTATATAGCACAAAATCCATTCTACAGCAACCCTAAATATGCAGGACAGTCAGCATAAACACTGCAGGGACTGAATGACTCTCAAAAAGAAAGAAATATTGGCCGGGAACAGTGGCTCACGCCTGTAATCCCAGCGCTTTGGGAGGCCAAGGTTGGGTGGGTTGCCCAAGCTCAGGAGTTCAAGACCAGACTGGCCAACATGGCAAAACCCCCAAAAATACAAAAAATTAGCTGGGCGTGATGGTGTGCACCTGCAGTCCCAGCTACCCTGGAGGCTGAGGCATGAGAATCACTTGAACCCAGGAGGCAGAGGTTGCAATGAGCCAAGATAACGCCACTTCACTCCAGCTTGGGCGACAGAGCAAGACTCTGACTCAAAACAAAATAAAACAAAGGAAAGAAAAAATAAATAAATATGTAAAGATCCAAAATACAAAAGGCTGATTTTGGTCCTGAAATGGGAAGAAAAAAAAAGGTACACTGTTCCCTCTGACAATATAGGGTATGGTTAGTTTTGTGGTTTGAATACTCTTTAAATCCACAAAATACTCATTCAGCTAATATTTATTAAGCATCTATGTGCCAGGCCCTATATCAATCTAGCATGAGGCCTGTTCCAGAGCTCAGAGTCTTAAACACTGGGATTGGGTACTAATCCACCAAAAGCTTTCAATAGCAAAAGTTCATGGAATTTTACTCTGTGTCAGGCAGAAAATTAAACAGTCAGTAGTTATCACAATTAAGATATAGAGGCTCTTACACTGCCAATAAAGTTCTACATAAATACACTATGAAAGAGGAATAGGCTATAGGTCACAAGCTAAATGAAAGCGTTTAGTCAAACAATGAATCTGCCAGCCAATCCACCTTTCACTATTGAAGAGATTATCTCTAAAATACTAGTCCAGGGTTACAGAAAGCCAACCAGGTTACCTTAGTTTCTTGACGCTGGAGACAAAAAGATTTGTTTTAATAAAAGTGGTGATTAACACCTCAAAATAATTGACTTTAGTTAGGTAAAATCCATCAACTGGAATGAAAGTCTCTCAGGATCAAATCTCAACTACTAATACTTTAAGCAAAGGCAAATGAGGTCTTTTTTTTTTTATCTGAATGTCTTATTTCTGTCTGTCATATACTTTTTTCAATAAGTAACGCAGGTGGGGCCAGCATAAGGACAATGAAAAGTGTGTTTTGTGACACAGGAAAGGAAAAGTACATGCCAGAAGTCAGCTGTGCAGTAACCTATGAGAGAGCTACTCCTGTTTCACCCCAGATCATCACCTCGATTCCAAAGCCACTCCAATCACTCAGAACCACAGCTGAAAATTCTCTGAACACACCACTTCTCCAACCAAAATTTTCTGCAAGTCTATGTACCAGGTACCACACAAGGCACTAAAGATACAAACATCGTACCCTTGAACTGAGTGTTGTAGCTCACACCAGTAATCCCAACACTTTGAGAGGTCAAGATGGGATGATCCCTTGAGGCCAGGAGTTTGAGACCAACTGGGGCAACATATTAATAACAAGACCCCATCTCTATAAAAAATGTAAAATTAGTCAGGCGTGGTGGCACACACCTGTAGTCCCAGCGACTCTGGAGATTGAAGTGGGAGGATCACTTGAGCCCAGGAGTTCCAGGGTGCAGCAAGCTATGACTGCGCCACTGCACTCCAGCCTGGGCAACAGAGAGAGGCACTCCTGCCTCTAAAAAATAAAAAATTTACTGAGCAACTACTCTGTGCCAGGCTGTGGCACATTTCCCTAAGTGTCAGAGAAACCACAAAGGGAGGGGGCATCAGAAGTCATCTGTGATCTTCTTCAGATTGCTTGGCCAGGTGACATCAAACAGATGACAACTTGGCCTATCAAAACAACGTCAAGTTATAAGAATGGCTTCCTATCATTTACTGGCACAACCCAAAAATAAAAATAATAAAAGCTTAATTCTGGCCGGGCACTGTGACTCACACTTGTAATCCCAGCACTTTGGGAGGCCAAGACAGGCAGATCACTTGAGGTCAGGAGTTTGAGACCAGCCTGGCCAACAATGGCGAATCCCCGTCTCTGCTAAAAATACCAAAATTAGCCAGGCATGGTGGCACATGCCTGTAGTCCCAGCTACTTGGGAGGCTGAGGCCTTGAACCTGGGAGGCGGAGGTAGCAGTGAGCTGAGATAGCGCCATTGCATTCCAGTCTGGGCAACAGAGCGAGACTCTGTCTCAAAAAAAAAAAAAAGGCTTAATTCTACAGCTTAGGAGCCTGCTGGTTTATGAAAAAGTCTAACACAGACACAATTATACAATATAATGTTGATGGCTACATGCATATACAAAAGTATATGGTAAAGCAAGAGAATCATTACAAGATGCAGGATAGTGCTGGAGGAGAGAGATGGAAAAAGGAGCTATGGGGTACTGATAACACTCTGTTTCTTAGGCTGGGTGGGAGATACAAAATTGTTATTGTTTCTAGCACCCACACACCCACACATCTGTATCCTCTTTTTGTTGTGACTGTCTATAAAGTGAAGGCAAACTAGATATACAAGACAGAGCTGAACGAATGTTCACAAAACAGCAAATTCCCAAGATGCCTGGCTAAGTCACCAGAAAGAGATAATTACTCAATGTTCTTTTCATTGTTCTACAGAAAATGCTGAGAGTAAGATTCCTGTAAATGAGCTCAATTCCCTTGTAAGACCACTCTACCCTGAAGTATCAGACTGCATGTATGGGACAGAACTAGGAGAAGCCTTGCTCACCCTGGTATCATCCCTTCGCCAAAACATCACTAATAATGGCAGTGCACACGTGTGTGCGCACCTGCGCACACACATACACGCATCTCAAGGGGCCTGGTCAAAGATGAACTGTAGAGCTTTATAATTCTTCAAGCTGCAAGTTCTTTATCTCCCCACTTGTAAGAATATTTTGGCACTGAAGTAGAAATAACTACTTTGGGGGAAAAAATACAGTGAAGAAAGACTTCATTCTATAAGTTATCCCTAATATCACTCTGCTGAATCTCTTCCAGTAAGAAAATAAGCTTTAAAAAATAAAAAACCTTGGTTAAAAAAATAGATGTCAAAGTCCTTTAGAGGCAGAAATCATGGAAGAAACTCTTAAATTTAAGGCATTTTGGCACTTAAGTGACTCATTTCAGACATCCAGTATCCACCTTTCAATTGGTATTTGTTCAAAGCTTGACTTTCTTTTCCTTCATACCAAAAATACAGTTTTAAATCACTCTCTGACACTTGCTATGGGTAACTATGAAGAAAACACCTCAGCCTCCTAAGTAGCTGGGAACACAGGTGCATGCCACCATGCCCAGCTAATTGTTGCATTTTTAGTAGACACGGGGTTTTACCATGTTGCCCAGGCTGGTCTCGAACTTCTGACCTCAAGTGATCCTCCTTCCTCAGCCTCCCAAAGTGGTGGGATTACAGACATGAGCCCCAGCACCTGGCCCAAAGAAAATTCTGAATCCAGTATAATTGGTCAAGTACATACGCTTTAGAGCCAGACTGCCTGAGTTCAAATCCTGGCACCACTTAAAGGCTATAAGACTTTTGTCACGTATGTCTTTGCCTCAGTCAAGTTTGTGCCTCCGTTTCCTCACCAATAAAATGGGAATAATATCACTTAGGGTTGTTTTGAAAGTTGCATGTGATTAACATATGTATAAAGGTCTTGGAATGATGCTGCTTTGCAAATTTCATTCAAGAACATGGAGATACTAAGTATTTGTGTCTATGTGCCAAGGGTTGTTCTAGACCATTTCTTTTTTCTTTTTGTTTTGGAGACAGGGTCTCACTTTGTCACCGAGGCTGAAGTGCAGTGGTGTGATCACAGCTCACTGCACACTTGACCTCCCAGACTCAAGCGATTCTCCCGCCTCAGCCTCCAGAGTAGCTGAGACTACAGGCACATGCCACCATGCCTGGCTAATTTTTCTTTGTAGAGATGGGGGTCTCATCATGTTACCCACGTTGGTCTCAAACTCTTGAGTTCAAGGGATCCTCCTGCCCGGGCCTCCCAAAGTGCCGGGATTACAGGCATGAGCCACCACACCTGGCCGATTCTAGAAAGTTTATATACATGAACTCATCAAATGCTCACAAATATCTATGAAGTCTAGGGTATAATATTCCCTATTTCTTAGATAAGGAAATTGAAACACAGAGAGATTAAGTAACTTGCCCAAAGTAACTGAGTTAATAAGTCATACAGCCCAGACTCAACTTCAAGCAAGTTGGCCCCAGTCCATTTTCTTAACCACTACACACTGCCTCTCAATGTTTGTGAGCATTTTCTTGAACAGAAACAACTTTGCATGTTAGCATACATGCTGCTGAAATATGACACTAGCACCTGTATAAAAGGGACAGGTTCTTACTAAAGAACCGAGCTGCTGACTGTAAGGAAATACCTGGTCCTGCTCTGTATAACCAGTGCTTCCTTTAGGTACTGTATCTAACTAACTAAAAACTCAGTTTCTATGTGGCTGTTTCCTACCAAATTATAAGCATCCTTTAATTCCATATCTCCTCACCAGTCAGCTTCCTTTCCTCTCTCCCAGACCCTCTCCCTCCCCCAATCCATCCTAGACACAACTCCAAGATAGACCTTCCAAAAACACAAGGTGGCACAAGTCGCTCCCTTGCTGACACCACAGTGTGTTCCTTGGCTTGTAGGATGGCATGGATGAATACTCCTTAGGATAGCATTCAAGGTCTCTCTGATCTAGCTGGAAACTACTTCTCAACCTCACCTCCCACCCTCATTTCCTTATCATTCATCCTTTGACCCCTTGTCTGTGCCAGGCACAGAGTCAAGTGCGACTGTGGTTCCTACCCTCCCGCAATCTACAGACTCGTGGAGGAAAGACGGAACAGAAGACAGAGGTGGACACCCCAATCTGACCTCAGGTCCAAAAGAAGCTTCCCACACTGGAGTTGGGCTTCTGAAGGGCTAGCAAATGTTGGCTGGAAGAAACACCCTTCAGTTTGTGTGTTCCTCTAAGAAGCTTTCCCTGATCATTTTTCTCCTATCTTACCTTGAGAGTTAATCCCCCCTTCTGTAATCTACCAGCACATGGGCTAAAGTTAGTTCATTCGGTGTCTGTACTACAGAGGTGTTCCCTTTGGGAAGAGGCAGCCCTGTGGGCCCCCAGCTGAGTAAACACATTGTGGCTATGCACACATTTCAAGATGCTCATTTCTCCAGGCAGACTCAGCCGTGTGCCGGAGAACACAGCTCGGTGGGCAGAACCAGGGTTGGACTACAGGCCTCACACACCCCTTAGCCAGGTTCCCCTCAACAGGCCACGATTTGTACAATCATATGCAGTGGCCTTGTACCTTTACCTGACATTTCACTCCTCCAGTGGAACAGACATTGTTTACAAATCCTCCAGAGCAGATTATAATCCCCTTGAGGCCAGAGGCTATCTTAACAGTCAAGCAAGAGCCACTCTACTTGAGATGAAGAATTATCATACCTTTGAACTCTTCCACCTTCCCATCCACAGGACCCTACAAATTATTAGATGAACTTCTCATTACACCCTTTACCATACCTTACTTTTTGTATCGTTCACCCCTGACAGCCACGGTCATGACTTTCAGGCAATTAAGACTCAGAAAACCCTTCTCAACAAATGAAACATCATGTGCAGCAATGTTTTTTTTTTTTAAATGCTATCTTATAGTCTGATTCTTTGGCAAGCCTTGAATAACTGAGGAAAATTACTGAATTAAGCAAAGCATTCTCTTACCTGATTAGACTACATAAGTGGACATTTGGTGCATGTTGCCCTTGGTTCTCACAACCGTTGCTTCAGTCTACACAAATTGGTGCAGAAAGATCATTACCACAGGTTGTGTTTGGATCCCAAGCCTGATCTCTTAACAAGGAAGGGTCTGTTCCCAACAAGTGGATGCTTGCTCCTCCTGAAGCTATCTGACATTCTTAAACACCCACAAAATGCATGAGTCAACTCTGAAAGATTTCTGAGATTAGGATTCCAAAGTATTCTCTGACAGAAGCAGCAGGAAGTTTAGCATTAAGGAAACAATTTACCGTTTTTAACATATAGGTACGCGGAAGTCACCTCAAGGAAGGTTGTACAAGGCTTCACCAACAAAACTCAACTGCTTCTCTTTGTGCCATCTCCTCTGGGTGTCTGTGTGACACAGATAAATTTTACCCTAAAAGTGTCCTAATAAATCCCAAGCCAGCAGGGATTTGTAAGCTATTCCTAAAGAAGACAACAAAGACAGGTTTATAACTTATTTAATATAATTTTTAAAACTTTGAAACTGTAAAGACTATAATCCTACTCATTTTTGTTCCTTTGGATATTAGACTAATATGCTCGTGGCATATTAGTCACTGGTCTCTGAGGGAAAAAGAGACCTCATATGGAATACACCCGTCTTCAATACCTTTCCTTTGTCATTTAGTCTGCAATATTTAGCTCATGATAGCGGCAATTATTGTTGGTCTTCAACCAAAGGAAGTTGTAGCCAACATTACTCAAATCTGTGATCTGCACAATCGATTATCACCTAAGTCAAAAGCAGATTAATAGTAAAATGAAAAATTATTTAACCTAGATTTGAGCTCGAAAGTACAAATATGCATCTCTTAATCACTAATTGTGAGATTAAAAATGAAAGAATTTGTAATGTGATTTATTTCCTGACATCTGCATTTTATCAAGGGACAATACCTTTTTAAAAACACTGAAATACTGGAATGGCTTCATACTGAGGCAATGGCAAATATGACACCAGGAACTACTACTGCCAGGCTGGGAATCAGGAGTCCCAGCTCTTTGTTCTGCTTTCAGCTCACTGCCCACAGGACTCTCAACACAGCAATGTATTTCACTTATCGTGGCCTCAAGTTTCCTCATCTGCAAGAGAGAGGTAGACCGTTCGACCTCTGCTATCTCTGTGGTGGCACTTCAACTCCCTGCATTTGGAGGCTTGTGTGAAGGGTAGAGGACTAGCCTCCCCACACCAGCTTTCCTTAAACCACAGAGGTTCCATCTCTGTGGTGAGGAGGGGACTTTACAGACTAAGGAGAGTCTCCCGGCATTCACGGGCAGCGAAATCAACTGATCATTATGCCCGTTCTAAACGTGAGAGGTGGAGTCGGGATGGGAACTCAGGCCTGAATCATCATTTAGTGTTCTTTCTACCATACTTTCCCTAGAACGCTTCCTGAGAATAAGGGCCAATGCTTCATGAGGCCTCTTCACTCTTTTCTCTCTAGCCAGACTGGATATTTATATTCACTTAGTCTAATTTTGTACCCAGGGTCCAGAAATGTGTTGGCAGTGGGTATGCTTCTATAATAGCCAAGATAAAAAGATGCATGGACAACAGCCATGACTTTGGGTAGGGGAGGGGCTGGCATTACTGAAAAAGAAGGTGATCCAATCTCTAAGCACAAAGGATATCCAGACAATTCTTCCTCCTTAGGCTTTCTCATTCCGCCAGCAGATCAATTATTATTTCACCCTTCATATTTATTCAAAGAATAAAACAGTACAGTAACCTTCTTTTAAAATTAAATAAGTAGTGAAAGTAAAAGATACTGGAGCTTCATAAGCCAAAAAATTTTGGACGTCCTATGTCAAGTGTATTTTCTTGGCCCGGGATAGGAACACATGCATTCATAAACACACCATGAACATCTGGTGTAATACCACACGCGGCTTTATATAAGCAGCGGAGGAGAAAAGCAGATTGGGATGAATGCAACAGAAGTTGGGCAAGGGAGCAAATAGGAAAACGGCAAGTAATCTGAAAGATTTGCCAAAATCACAGAAGAGTTTTAAACCCAGAATGTTTAACCGTCTCCTCAAGCTCATGTTCTGGAAATCTGCCTTGGTATCCACCATAGCAGGCACTTTCAGCCCTACAGAGTAGGATTACATTGGAAATCTCAGGGGCCCTCTGGATTTTCTTACTCTGTAAAAACCATAGAACAGCCTCCCTGTAACCTGAGCACAGCCCAAGTACTAGACGCATTCAGAGGATAAGGAGGAATGTCACTTTTAAAGCAACACAAATAGTAATTCCTTGCCATTGCACAAGGCCCAGAGTGTGAATCTATCCGGCTGTGCCATGCACCTTGTTGGCTGCCTCTCTGAACAGGATCTTGGCTGCAGCTCAGCAGAAGCAAGGCTGCTATTCTCCAGTGCCATCTGCTCACACAGGATGGATTGCTACTGCTGCCCATGAGAGTCTTCCCTCTCTCTCTCTGTAGTAACTCTGGCAATGCCCTGTTGGAGAACTACAGCAAGGGCTCCAAAAATGTGTGCTGCTCAGCAACCTCCGGAAGGGAAACGGGAACAGGGAGAGCTGATGCGGACACTCTTCTGACAGGACCTCCTCAGCAATCAGCAAGGACAAGCAGTCCACTGAGCGGGCCAACACACAATCATCCTTCAACAGCCAGCAAGAACAACGATACCAGTGGCAACAGTAATGAAACACTTAGGAAGTACTGGACCAGGGGTTGTCAAATGAAGGTCATGACCACTATTTTGGTTGTTTAAAATAAAAAGTGGCACACAAAAAGAGAAAATATTATACATTCTTAAAATGTGTTTCACTTAATTGCAGGATTAAGCTAATTCCTACCATGGAGCACATTAAAAATAGATATCCATAAAAATTTTAAAAAGAAAAAATAAATAAGCAAATATTGGGTCAAGTCTTTCTATACTCCCTTGTACGTATTATCTCAATTAATTCTTACAACAACCGTATGAAGTAGTACCATTATTATTCTTGGTTTGTGGTTGAAGAAATAGAAAGTGTTTGAGTAACTTGCCTGGCTGGCTTCCCAGTCAATGTGGTTCCAAAGCCTGAACTCTTAACACATGCCCTACAGCAAGTAGCTCCCTAGACCCTGTGTCCAAAGCCTTTGCTCACTTCCTCAAGCAATTTCTCTCACACCGTAATTCTTTGTTCAACCATCTGTCCCTTTCCCCTTTCCCCTTGTGAACTGAGAACACCTCAAGGGCAGGTCTTGTTGAGCTCAGTGACTTAAACAAAGGCTCAGGGAGCAAAGGATCCCAACAGTATTTTTTAAATTAAGTGAGTAAATGAGGTATGTTAAAAGAAAAAAGAAGGCAAATTGTAGCCAAGAAAAAAATAATAATAAGTCCTGACACTCGAGGATCTGTCTTTGCCAAAGGGAAATTCGGTCTCTGAATTTAAGAAAGAAAATTAAGAAAACTCAGTCTCTGAATTAAGAAAACGAGTTCCTTGTATTCTTAGAGAGACTTGGGGGAAAATAAACTTCATCTAAAAATTTAATCAGGTTAAAAAAAAAACAACTAGAGTGTCAAAACATCTGCCTATGCTTTGCTCTGGGCCCTTCATTCAGGAAAAACTAATGAGTTTTTGGATCAATAAAGGTAAGGCTAGGGTTTATTTGGGGGGTTGAGGGTGAAGAGGGAAACTATTCTGGATTAGAAAGCCAAATCCTTCTGGTATTGGAGGATTGAAAGCTGAGGAACAGAAAAAGAGCAGACTCTCCAGAAGGGAAAAGAGCAAGAAATCAGTGAGCTGAACCTAAGCCAGGGGAGGGGCAGGCAGTGGCTGAAGGGGTGTGTGGGGAATGGCTGATAGGTTTTTAGGACACCGGTGTCTAACATGCCATGTCAACTTCCTTGTGCCAGACTCTAATCCCCATCACCCCAAACCTTAATACAACCACCTCAGCTAAGTAGTCTATTTTTTTTTTTTTGAGACAGGGTCTCCCTTTGTCACCCAGACTGGAGTACAGTGGCACAATTATGCCTCACTGCATCCTCAGCTTCCCGGGTTTAGGGGATCCTGCCACCTCAGTCTCCTAAGCAGCTGTGGCTACAGGCGTGCGCTACCACGCCTGGCTAATTATTTTTGTATTTTGTAGAGATGAGGTTCCACCATGCCGCCCAGGCTCGAACTCCTGAGCACAAGCGATCTGCCCACCTTGGCCTCCCACAGTGCTGGGATTACAGGTATGAGTAGTGCTTTGGGAGAAGGAAAGAAGGAGGGTCGGGTCCAACATGGGATGAAGTCATACAGAAAGGGCAGCCTTTCCAAGGAAAGACTGAAACGCAGAAGTGAAAAATTACAGGGAAGTATGCAATCTGAGGAAGAGGTGACCAGAGAAAATACCCAGTATTAGAGATGTGGTGTGGAGTGCCGGGAAGCCACTGAGTAAAGGATGAGGGCCCAAGTCTTTCTAATTCGGTATATAAAGCTGGAGGACAGGGACAGCTGATCTGCTGTATGTTAACTCTGTGGTGCAAGCCAAGTGCCATGGACTGTTACCCAGGGTCACTAATATCCCCCACCATGAGAACACATTTACTCCAACATGGTGCAGCCACTACCATGCCACACACCATAATGATTCAATACTGACGACCAAGACTTGTGGTTCAAAAATCTCTTGCTAGGCCGGGCGCAGTGACTCACGCCTGCAATCCCAGCACTTTGGGAGGCCAAGTCAGGTGGATCACTTGAGGTCAGGCATTCAAGACCAGCCTAGCCAACGTGGTGAAACCCTGTCTCCACTAAAAATGCAGAAAATTAGCCAGGCTTGGTGGCACATGCCTGCAATCCCAGCTACCTGAGAGGTTGAGACAGGAGAATCGCTTGAACTCGGAAAGTGGAGGTTGCAGTGAGCACAGATCATGTCATTGCACTCCAGCCTGGGCAACAGAGCGAGAGTTCGTATCAAAAAAAAAAAAAAAAAAAAAAAAATCTCTTGCTGGCCAAGATGGCCCAGAAGTAGAAATAGCGAAGAAGAAGAGAAGAAAGCATCGCATTTCATCTTGCAACTCTGGAAGTCTTATTCTACTAATTAATCTAAGAACGAGCTGATAAAATTACCCAATAAGAAACCTCAAACTCTGCCAGATTTTGCTTTCTGGGTAGGACAATCTATTCCCACAGTTGTCTCTATTCCAATATATGAGTTCCTGGATATCTGAGGATGTTTCCGTCATAAATCAAACCGCCTGTAGTGCATCAGGCCCCTGATTTCCATTCGTAAGCTTATTCTATACCCAAGTCTCTGCATCTTATTTGATTCCATACTGCTATTCCAAACAGCACATTCATGAAATTGAATGCTCCACCAGATATACTAATTTTAGAGTCACTTTAAAATTGTCACACTTTCTCCACCGCCAAATAAAAGGAGGAAAACAAAGCAGGCATATATAATTCAGCAGCTGCCACAGCTGCTCTCTAAAAACTGGTACAAAGAAGGTGACATATTCGAGACAAGAATCTCCCCTCCCTTTTTTCTTTTTATTTAACACTAAACCAGAAGATACCTACAGTCTTTAAAGACGATTAACTTTTTTAACTTGGTGCAGTAGAGCTACTTCACCAAGGCAGCAACGTCTGGCATCAGTCAACAAACAAAAGTTACGTTTTAAAAAACGTAAAGCTTACGTTTTAAACTCATTCCAAATATATATATATTTGGGAAGTGTAATGAGTTTAAATATATATATATATATATATATATATATATATATATATATACTTGAGATGGAGTCTCTCTCTGTTGCTCAGGTTGGAGTGCAGTGACACAATCTTGGCTTACTTTAACCTCTGCGCCTGGGTTCAAGCAATTCTCAAGCCTCAGCCTCCCGAGTAGCGGGGATTATAGGCATGTGCCACCATGCTAATTTTTTATTTTTACTAGAGCTAGGGTTTCACCATACTGGCCAGGCTGGTCTAAAACTCCTGACCTCAAGTGATCCACCCACTTCAGCCTCCCAAAGTGCTGGGATTATAGGCATGAGCCACCATGCCTAGCCCTAAGTATATAATTAGATTCCACTTCTTTGCGACTTAAAGACATGACAATCTTCAGATAAATTTAAACCTAATAAAATCCAATGATAGCTGCTATGGTGATTATCAGTCTATTCAACCCTATATATTTTAGGCAAACGATCAACAACATTCGTTTTACCTGACCTTTTAAGAGCAACTATTGGCTGGGCACAGTGGCTCACACCTGTAATCCCATCACTTTGGGAGGCCGAGGTGGGCAGATCAGGAGGTCAGGGGTTTGAGACCAGCCCGGCCAATTTAGTGAAACCCCGTCTCTACTGAAAAAACAAAATTAGCCGGGCATGATGGCGGGCGCCTGTAGTCCCAGCTACTAGGGAGGCTGAGGCAGGAGAATCGCTTGACCAGGGAGGTGGAGGTTGCAGTGCGGAGATTGTGCCACTGCACTCACTGCAGGCTAGGCAACAGAGGGAGACTCTGTCTCAAAAAAAAAAAAAAAAAAAAAGCAACTATTTCTGAAACACAGAATAAGTCTATATCCAAAAAAAAAAAAAAGGCCTATAATTATGCCTGTAATCCCAGCACTTTGGGAGGTTGAGGCAAGCAGATTGCTCGAGCCCAGAACTTCCAGACCAGCCTGGGAAATATAGTGAGACCCTATCTGCACAAAAAAAAAAAAAAAAAAATTAGCCAAGCATGGTGGCATGTGCCTGTAGTCCGAGCTACTCGGGAGGCTGAGGTTGGAAGATCTCTTGAGTGACAGGTGGAGGCAGCAGTAAGCCATGATCGTGCCACTGCACTCCAGCCTGGATGGCAAAGCAAGACCTTGTCTCAAAAAAAAAAAAAAAAAAAAAGGAAGAAGACAAGACAAACCAATAATTACAACAGGAATGACACCCTAACAAGGAGACACCTAGCCTGAAACCCTTAACAGAGGGCTGCTTTGCCTTGCGTAACACTTGAACTATCAAGAACAAAGCTTTAAATAGCTGATTCTGCAAATTTTTTTGGCCTTTCACTAGTCACTAACCATGTGACAGATTTCCAAGATATAACTAAAGGCAAGGAACAGAACCAGTATTACAGGAAGATCCTATCATCATAATTTAACTTCTAGAAACACCACAGTGAGTTCCTGGCTCCCGTCACTTAGAACATCTCGCGCCGACTAACAGCAGTTCCAGCTAGAGCTCAGCCACCATCTGTGGCTGTCTTTCACAATCTCAGCCATAAAGGAAAAGCAAAGTTTCAAACGTGCTGTTTGGTTTGGCTAGGCTCCTCTACGCATAAGCTAAGTGCACACATTTTTCATTTTCTGGGATCTGAGCTCCAGCAGTGTTTGAAACATGACATTCAAAGCACCATTTAACAGAAGACAAGAAAGAACGACATCCTCTAATACCTTAAAACTGATTTTTTTTGTGTGTGTGTGTGTGTGTGTGAGACGGAGTCTCGCTCTGTCACCCAGACTGGGGTGCAGTGGCGCGATCTCGGCTCACTGCAAGCTCCGTCTCCCGGGTTCACGCCATTCTCCTGCCTCAGCCTCCCGAGTAGCTGGGACTACAGGCGCCCGCCACCGCACCTGGGTAATTTTCTTTTTTTGTATTTTTAGTAGACGGGGTTTCACCGTGGTCTCAATCTCCTGACCTCGTGATCCGCCCGCCTCCGCCTCCCAAAGTGCTGGGATTACAGGCGTGAGCCACCACGCCTGGCCAAAACTGATCTTAGTTATGAGATTTGGATTGGGACTCTGACGCAACCTAACAGAAAATATCCTGGAGGTGGGAGGGACTTTCCATGAGGCACTAAAATTCATTTCCTCTACAAAACTAACCCTAGAGTAATCACTAATAACAAATACCAATACACTGGCCTCACACCACCTAGAGTGAGGGAGTGAGTGAGGGGCCACACACACACACAAAACCGAACAACTAATGACCAAGAAAAAATAATACTTTAATGCAATACTTTTAAACATGCCCAAAAAATCCATGATAAAAAAACTGCAGAAAGTTCAAATAACAATAGGACCTGACCCTACATATGCCTGACTTAGTCTTACTTCACCCTCATCCTGACCAGGCCAGATCTGGAATTTATTTGAAATTTTGGTATGTTGTTCATTTTATCACATTAAACTATTATTTATCTTGATTACTGAGTGTTTTTGGTGCCCCCTTAAACTTTTCACTGGGGGACAGTGCCTCAGCTTCACTCCCCTCACCCTGGCCAGGCTGTCAATATATATGAATCTGTGTAATACTAGAAAACCCTGTGTGTTAGCTCTATCATTACTCTCATTTACAAATGAGTAAACACAAAACATTGGCTACTCTGCCCAAAGTCACAGAGCTAGGGTGGTCAAATCAGGATCGAAATCCAGAGCCTACACTCTTAAATACAACCACACTACCTCTCTGAGCTTTGCATCACTAAGTCATTTGGCATAAATCAATACAGTTCTGGAATTTAAAAAATCCAGATATGTGGAAACAATCCAAATAAACTCTAAATAAAGATAATTTGGGGAAATTCAGTCATGAGTTGTTCACCGCTGAATGATATCCTGCAATATTTAGGCTAAGTGTGTTTTTTTCTTTTCTTTTCTTTTTCTTTTTTTTTTTTTTTTTGAGACAGCGTCTCATTCTGCCAACCAGGCTGGAGTGCAGTGGTGCAATCATAGCTCACTGTATCCTTGAACTCCTAGGTTCAAGCAATCCTCCCATCTCATCCGCCCTAGTAGCTGGGACTACCGGGGTACACCACCACAGCTGGCTAATTGTTTTTATTTTTGTAGACACATGGTCTTGCTACATTGCCCAGGCTGGTCTCAGAAGTCCTGGCCTCAAGTGGTCCTCCCACCTCAGCCTGCCAAAGAGCTGGGATTACAGCCATGGGCCACTACACCTGGCCTAGGCTAAGTGTTATTTCCACCATGCTACCAGCATTTTTGTCCTGCCATTAATTTTAGATAGCCATCTTATTCTTCAGCATAAGCCAAGGGAGAAAATCTCTGGCCCAACTCAAAGGACAGGACTACAGATTTGAGTAACCTGGAGTAGCTGGTACGTTCTGAAACGGCCCTGGTATGCACCCTCAAATATGGTAGGTAGGCTTTTATGAGGCTGAGCTACAGTGTGCCCTGCAGGACAATGTTCAGAAATACTTTCCAAATAATGTGTTTATTTAGAAAGAGAATAGAATATGGAGAGCAGGCCAGATGTGGTGGCTCATGCCTATAATCCCAGTACTTTGGGAGCCTGACGGGGGAGGATCACCTGAGGCCAGGAGTTCAAGACCCACCTAGATAACATAACAGAGACCCTCATCTTTACAAAAACAAACAAAAAGAATATGCAGGGCCAGGCACAGTGGCTCACACCTGTAATCCCAGCACTTTGGGAGGCCAAGGCGGGTAAATCACCTGAGGTCAGGAGTTCAAGACCAGACTTACCAACATGGTGAAACCTCGTCTCTACTAAAAATACAAAATTAGCTGGGCATGGTGACACATGCTTGCAAGCCCAGCTACTTGGGAGGCTGAGGCAGGAGAATAGCTTGAACCCGGGAGGCGGAGTTGCAATAAGCTGAGGTCGCACCATTGCACTCCAGCCTGGGCAACAAGAGCAAAACTCTGTCTCAAAAAAAAAAAAAAAAAAAGAATATGCAGAGTAACCTACTAAAGCTACAGTGGTTCTACCACACTTAACCAGTTGTTAGTGGTGGTCATTGCAGTTTAAAAGGGTCATGGTGAAAGGCTGAAAAAGAATTAGAAATGATATGGGAAGAATGGTAGAGAGAACTGGGGCTATTTTTCTTGGGGAAAAAAAGACAACTTAAGTCAGAGAAGTGCTGCCTAGCAACTATTTTCAATTATCTGAAGAGCTAGCGGATTTAATTTATGTGACAACAAAAGACTGAAGTTGGACAAATGGATGACAGTTTATGGATGACAGTTTCAAGGGGCTGGCTTTCATCTCAGTATAAGGGGAAAAAAAATCTTCCAACAATTAGACCTGTCCAGCAATGAAAGAGCCTGTTTCCAGAGAAGGCGAGTTAGCTGTCAGCTGCTATAGAATGGATCCAGCACAGAATGGCCACTTGGATAGAATGACTAAAAATCCCTTCCAATTCTAAGACATTAAGAAATGGAACAAATCATTAAAATTAACACATTCATTGTTATGCATAGTGTTTAGTCTCTAAGAACCCTAGAAAACCAAAACAGAACTGAGCTCCACGGAAAGGAGATCTTGCATTTTTTTTGTGCTCCAAGCTAGATCCTTGATCTTTTTTTTTTTTTAAACTAAGCCACTAAAGTAATACAAGTGTAAAAAAAAAAAAATCTATCTCCCTTTTGGAAAAACTAAATTATGTCCTGAGACAGTATTTATAGTTACCATTTAAGAAAACTGGGAAACTGTACTCATATATGCAATCAATATTTTATAGCTCTCTTGTAGACTACATTGGCTGTTCTACCAGTTATGCAGAAGAAAAAATATAGAAGCAGCTGAGTTCAAAAAACAAAGCAGACCAGAAGTTGAATCAGATATATCAGCAGCCCAGCATATTAAAAGATCCTGAAAAAAAATCCATCCGATTAGACCTACAGGAAAACTTAGAAAACTGCCCCTCTTAACAATGACATAATTTGTTTCTATTTTTGTTTTTTGAGAGAGTCTTTCTCTGTCACCCAGGCTGGAGGTGCAGTGGTGTGATCTTGGCTCACTACAACTTCCGCCTTTCAGGTTCAAGTGATTTTCCTGCCTCAGCCCTCTGAGTAGCTGAGACTACAGGCACAAGCCACCACACCTAGCTAATCTTTGTATTTTTAGTAGAGACAGGGTTTCACCATGTTGGCCAGGCTGGTCTCAAACTCCTGACCTCAAGTGATCCGCCCGCCTTGGCCTTCCAAAGTGCTGGGATTACAGGAGTGAGCCACTGCACTGGCCAAGATGACACAATTCTTAAAAAGCAAGTATGGCCAGCCCCAGTGGCTCACATCTGTAATCCCAACACTGTGGGAGGCCAAAGTGGGAGAACTGCTTGAGTCCAGGAGTTCAAGACCAGCCTGGGCAACATAGTGAGACCCCCGTCTTCAAAAGAACTTTAAAATTGGTGGTGTGGTGTTGAGCACCTGTAGTCCTGGCTACATGGGAAACGGAGGTGGGAGGATTGCTAGAGTCTGGGAGGTTGAAGCTGCGGTGAGCCTTGATCACACCACTGTACTCCTCCAGCCTGGGAGATAAAGCAAGACTATTTCAAAAAAAATTTAAAAAGCAATTATGGATTCAAGGAGTCTTCCAAATGAGGAACACACATAACTTTAATGCAAATATTTTTGTTTGGACAAGACTGAACACAAGAGAAGTCCAAGGGAAAATAGAAGGACAGCACAACTAATAGGGGGTTTACAAACAGTGAGCAAGTGTAGCCTCTGCTGGGTGGTAAACACACACACACACACACACACACACACACACACACACACAGCTTAAATCCCACTGGATTGTGCTTCCATTCAAAGCACCACATTCACTAAGGAAGATTATAAATGAAATCAAAGCATTAGGACTCCAGAAAAGAAGGGAACAAACAATAGAGAAAAGCCTCCTACTTGCCAGGCATTTTACACAGACGACCCCATCTGACCCTCAGGAATCAAGTTTAATTAACTTCCCCCAAAGTTTACAAAGCCAGTAAAAGGTGGAGGCAGAGTTATGCCTGCCTCTAAAGCCCACCTATATTTTCTCTACAGCATATAGCCAACTCCCTGTGCCTACCACTTGCTGTGCCGAAGGCCACCAGATACCTCCACCTGAAACTTCTCACAGGTATGTTAAGCTCATTATCCTCTTCATGCCTGGACTGCCCTCCTTGTGTTAAATGGGACTACTTTCCTGGCACAGTCATTCAAGTTCACCCCTTCAAAGGGCAGCACTTGGCTCTGCCCCGCCCACCATTCTCCTACAGTCCTATCAGACACTGCCATCACTACCCCCACTCCTCTCACTTCCCCTTTTATCCATTACTGTTACCCTAGACCGCATCTAAACTGTTGTGGCACCATCTTGGCTGTGCTCCAGTTTTCCCCCACTACAATCCACATCATACTCTGCTACGAGTAACAGCCACCAAAAGGAGTTTGAGGAACTCAATCTGGAATTACATGTAAGCTCCAACTCTACATATAATTCCTCCAACTCTAGATTTCAATGAAGGTTCCTTTTTTTTTTTTTTTCCAGACATGGGATCTCCCTGTGTTGCCTAGACTGGAACGCAGTGGCTATTCACAGGCAGGATCATCATGCACTACAGCCTTGAACTCCTGAGCTCAAGTGATCCTCCTGCCTCAGCCTCCCAAGTAGCTGGGACAAAAGGTGTGGTGTGTGTCATCTCACCTCACAAAGTTCCCTTAATTTTAATTGTCTACTCATAGACATGATACCTACATCAAAAATACCCTGCTTTCACATGTTTCCACCTGCTACTCATCCTTCAAGGCTCGGTTCTAATGCCATCTTTCCCAAAGCCCTCTAACTCTTTTGTCCAGAGGTATAACAAACAACTATTAAGCAAGGTATGTTAGACACTAGAGATTTTTTAAATGAACTTAATAAAAGTTCATACAAGTAACTCTTCTCTCTACTGTTCTTAAAAAAGTGTTTTCATTCCTATTTTTATAGCACTCAATATAATTTGCTTTATAAAATAATTGAGTATATTTTTATCTTGTAAATTGTTGAAGGTAGAGACCATTTCTTACTCTGATTAACAAAATGCTTTTGGAATAGACTGATTTTACAAGTGCTTAATAAGTTTAAAGTCTACCCATTTGTCTGTCAATACTGACAGCCTCTTAACTGTTCTCCCTAGTTTCACTCTAGAACCTTCAACCCCAGTTTCCAAATAGCCTGAGTGATCTATTCAAAATGTGAGTCAGATGTCAGTCCCATGTTTAAAAACAATGGCTACACTGTGGATTAGGCAATGGTGTTTTAGCTATGACACCAAAAGCATAAGCAACAAAAGAAAAAATAGATCATCTGGACTTCATCAAAATCAAAAACTTGTGCTTCCAAGGGAGCCATCAAGGAAGTGAAACAGGATAGGAGAAAATATTTGTAAATCATATATCTGATAAGTGACTTGTATCCAGAATATATAAAGAATTCAACAAGAAGACAAATGAGCCAATTTTAAAATGGGCAAAGGATTTGAATGGAATTTCTCCAAAGAAGATATATGCAAATGGTCAGTAAGCATATGAAAAGAAGTTCAGCATTATTAGTCCTCAGAGAAATACAAATCAAAGCCACAATGAAACACCACTTTATACTCAATAGGGTAGCTAAAATTGAAAGAGAGAGAAAGGTAGGGAGGGAGGGGTGGTTAAAGCAAACTAAATATGACCTGAGAAGGACTCCATACTTCAGTATTTGAGTCCTTGTGAAACCGCCTTTGCAAAATTATAACTGAGGAAATTATGACAGTGAAAGAAATCAGACCTAACCGACTCCATCTTGCTTCTAACCTTGAAGCTGCCCTTGTTCATTCCTGGGTGTAGGCCAAACTAACTTTGGGAGGGAATTCAGTACATGGGTTTGACTCTGAAACAAAATTGATTAACAGCCCTTTCCCGAAAAGACCCCTTCTTGCCTGGGGACCAGTCTGCCTTTGCAGGACTAACAAATTAGCTACAAGATTAGAAATTACAGTTTAGGGGTCATGCAGCCTCTGGCTCCAAGAGTCCAAACCTCCCCAAATTGCTCCTGGGGATAACATCACTCTGTAAAATCTAAGATCAGTTCTTGAGATATTTTGCAGATCCTGCACTCACTGGATCAGCTGACACCACCCAGACCCATAATCTGGCTCAACAAGTTCTGCCATCCCACCCAAGGACAGAAGACAGCAAGAAAACCTCACTTCCACCCCCTATGATTCCATCTCCAACCTGACTAATCAGCACTCCCCACTTCCCAAGCCCCACCCACCAAATTATCTTTAAAAACTCTGATCCTTGAATGCTCAAGGAGATTGATTTGAGTAATAATAAAACGCCAGTCTCCCGTACAGCCAGCTCTACGTGGATTACTCTTTCTCCATTGCAATTCCTGTCTTGATAAATCCGCTCTGTCTAGGCAGCAGGCAAGGTGAGCCCATCGGGAGGTTACACTTGTGGACAAACTGCAACCTGGCTTAGGTAGATAAGACTAAAAACCTAATTTAGGAGTATGTGACTATAACAATAGCTGAGTCTTGGCCAATACCAGTGGCCATACTTCAACCACTCATACACTGCTGAGTGTTCAAACTGTGTTCAAATAAGGCAAATGCCGAGCTGTAACCAATCCAGCCATTCTGTATCTCACTTCCGATTTCTGTAGTCATTTCTCTTTTTTTGTCTATAAATCTTCTTCCACCATGTGGCTGTACTGGAGTCTCTGTGAATTTGCTGTGATTCTGAGGGCTGCCCGATTCGTGAATCATTCATTGCTCAATTAAACTTGGCTGAAGTTTTTCTTTTATCAGAAGGTAAAAGTTGACGATGAGAAGAAACGAACCTTCATTCATTGCTAGTGGGAAGGTAAAATGATGCAGCTGCTTTGGATAACAGGCACTTCCACAAACTATTAAACGTCGAGTTACCAAATGAACCTGTATTGCTATCCTTAGGTATATACCCAAGAGAAATGAACATTTACATCCATACAAAAACTTACATACAAATGTCCCATAGCAGGAAACAGCCCAAGTGTCCATTAAGGAATGAATGGGTAAACAAAATGTGGTATACCCATTCAATAAATTATTTGGCAATAAAAATGAATAAAGTACTGATACACACTACAATATAGATAAACCTTGAAAACATGCTAAGCAGCCAGACACAAAAAGTCACATATATTAACATACAACTATCCAGAATAGGCAAATCCATACAAACAGAACTAGAGTAGTAACTGCCTAGGGCTGGGGCAAGGGGGAAATGGGGAGTGACTGCTAATGGGTATAGGGTTTCTTTCTGGAGAAATGAAAATGTTCTGAAATTAGATAGTGGTGATCGTTTTACAACTCTGTAAAATATAGGAAAACCTCTGATTTTTACACTTTTTTTTTTTGTAGAGTTGGTGTTTCACCGTGTTAGCCGGGATGGTCTCAATATCCTGACCTTGTGATCTGCCCGCCTCAGCCTCCCAAAGTGCTGGGATTACAGGTGTGTGCCACTGCGCCCGGCCCTGAGTTGTACACTTTTAAAGAATAAATTTTACTGTATGCAAATTTTATATTCAGTATAGCTGTTACGTATAAAAAATAAAAGTAACAACCTGAAAACCTTCCATGGATTCTCATCCAGTTACAATGAAGCCCAAACTCCTGGCCATGCCTCAAGGCCCTATACCTACCTTTCCAGCCTCCGCTTCTACCATCTCCTCCCCACTTACAGTGCTCAAGATACAAGCCTCCTCCCGCATCCTCTCCACTTACTGAGAGTTCACTCCTATATTAGGCTCTTTCCACATACTGCTTCCTCTGCCTCAAATCTTCTTGTTTAAGACACTTCTCACTGTATCGCCCAGGCTAGAGTGCGGTGGTGTGACCATAGCTCACTGCAGCCTCCACCTCCTGGGCACAAGTGATCCACCTCAGCCTCCCAGTAGCTGGGACTACAGGCCTGCACCACCACGTCCAGCTAACTTTATTTTTATTTTCTATAGAGACGGGGTCTCACTCTGTTACCCAGGCTGGTCTCAAACTCCTAGCCTCAAGCAATCCTTCTGCCTCGGCCTCTCAAAGTGCTGGGATTACAGGTGTGAACCACCGTGCCCGGCCTGCTACCAAATCTTCACACGCCTGACTCCTACCCTTATTCAGAGCTCAGCTTAAATATTACCTCCTCAAAGAGGCCTCTAACGCCACAATCTCAAGTAGTCTTCCCACTCTTCCTCACTGTACTATCTCATTTTCTTTAGAGTACTTCCAGAAGATATCAGGTACAAGGCATAAGGTATATGAGGTGTCTTATTTTTTTCTGTCTCCTCTCCTCTCGTTATAGCCTATTAAAACATTAGTTGAACTGAACCGTCATGAAAAAAAATTACTATTCAAATGGCAACAGACAATAACTGAAATTATGAAATAGAACATCTTACAAGAGATAATGAATAACAAATTAAAGGTACCAATGGGTATGAGAGAATTTTAGAGAAGAAAATGACCTGTAGCTGCAACAGGTGTGGAAAGGCTTCATGGAAGCAATGAGAGTAGAAATGGACTTCGAGAGATTAAAGAAGTGTGAAAGGCATTACAGGCAAAAGGTACATGTGAACAAAGCACTCCTTGCTGCCTTGTCTATGACCCCCATGCTCTACCTGCATGCATGCGCACCGCCATGCCTCCTGGGAACGTAATGTAGAACTCAGAGCTCAAACCCTAGACTGTCGGTACCTCAAAGACAGAGAACAAGTTTTACTTTTTTGCACGCCTCCCCATACCTAATGCTGGGACATGTGACAAATGGGACAAATGAATAATAAAATAACACCAAGTTCAGGCATTATTCCTGAACTCTTACCATTATGATGAAAAGCAATTTCTACCTCCTCACAACCAAATGGCTTCTATTTTTGACCCCCTTTGGTCCTTTTGATCATGGGAGGAGGAAGTCAGTGCTTCCTTTTTTAGGTTTTTTAAAAAAAAATGTTTTAGGGACAGAACAACAACAACAAAAAGTACATCCCTCTATCCTACCCTTAAAGGGCCTTCTGAGCCTCAGCATACTTGTTCCCTGCTATCCATGGTGCTAGGGTCTGAACGTGCCCCCCAGATTCATATGCTGAAACTTAATAACCAATGTGATAGTATTAAGAGGTGGGGCCTTTAAGTGGTCATAAGGGCTCCTCCCCTGCAGTGTGGTGGCTCACACCTGTAATTCCAGCATTTTGAGAAGCCGATGCAGGCAGATCACTTGAGGCCAGAAATGCAAGACCAGCCTGGGCAATATAGTGAGACCTTGTCTCTACCAAAAATTTAAAAATTAGCCAGGTGTGGTGGCATGCGCCTGTAGTCCCTGCTACTCTGGAGGATGAGACAGGAGTACTGCTTGAGCCCAGGAGTTCCAGGCTGCAGTGAGCCAATATTGCACCACTCCACTCTAGCCTGAGCAACAGAGCAAGACCTCATCTCCAAAAAAAAACTTAATTTATTGTTTTTGTGTTTTTGTTTTAAGTCTTGTGTCTTATAAAAGAGGCTTCATCACCTTGGGAGTCTGAGGCAGGAGAACTGCTTGAGTATAGGAGCTTAAAACCAGCCTGGCCAATAAAGTGAGACCCTGTCTCTAGTGGAAAATTTTTAAAATTAGAAAAAATAAAATCAAAGAAGCTTAATGTGGCCTTTAGCCCTTTTCCTCCTCCATCCTTTCTGCCATGTGAGAATACAAAGTTCAAGGTGCAACCTTGGAAGCAGTCAACAGGCCTTATTAGACACCAAACCTGCCAGCACCTTCATCTTGGAATTCCCAGCCTCCAGAACAGTGAGAAATACATTTCTGTTGTTTATAAATTACTTGATCTCAGGTATTTTGTTATAGCCACACAAACAGACTAAGACACACTGTCCCTACATGGCATTTATAAGACATGAGTATTTCACTAGTTTCTAGAGTACTCAGATGTCAGCACGACATAATGGGAAGAAGTTTAATCCTAGCTATGGAGCCCCAGGTTTGAACGCTAGTTTCTCTTTAACTAGCTGTTTGACTTAGGACAAGTTACTCAACCTTTCTGAAGCCACATATTTGTCACTCAACTTTTTTTTTTTTTTTTTTTTTGGAGACATAGTCTCGGCGCTGTTGCCCAGGCTGGAATGCAGTGGCACGATCTTGGCTCACTACAACCTCCGCCTCCTGGGTTCAAGCGATTCTTGTACCTCAGCCTCTCGAGTAGCTGGGACTACAGGCGCACACCACCATGCCCAGCTAATTTTTGTATTTTTAGTAGAGACGGGGTTTCACCATATTGGCCAGGCTGGTCTCGAATTCCTGACCTTGTGATCCACCTGCCTGGGCCTCCCAAAGTGCTGGGATTACAGGCATGAGCCACCACGCCCGGCCAACTTTTTTTCTTTTTGAGAAGGTTTTCGCTCTGTTGCCCAGACTGGGGTGCAGTGGCTCAAACACAGCTCACTGTAGCCTCACTATAGACTCACTGTAGCCTCCTGGACTCAGGCAATCCTCCCACCTCAGTCTCCCAAGTAGCTGGGATTACAGGCATGCGCCACCACTCTGGCTAACTCTGTTTATTTTTTGTAGAGACAGGGTCTTGCCATGTTGCCCAGGCTGGTCTCTAACTCCTGGGCTCAAGTGATCCATCCGCCTTGGCCTCCCAAAGTGCTGGGTTACAGGCGTGAGCCACTGTACCTGACCAAGTTAGTTACTCAACCTTTCTGAGGCCATTTATTTATTTGTAAAGCAAATGATATAACAAAAACTGCTCTGGAGATCTGTGTGGGAATTAGAGATAATTTGCATTCATTAGTCAGTCCAGGGCCTGGCAGTTGCTTCGCCCCCTGCAAATGTTGGTTATGACCAAGTCACAAGAATTATAAAATGCCAGGGTTACAGGTTACTGCTGCCCAGACAGAAGGTGCTGAAGATCAGAAAATAGTTGATTTCTAGCTTCTTGGAAGTTAGATGATAAACAAGAATGACTCTGCATTATTTCAGTATTATCTGTCTGGCTAAGTAAGGGATGCTTGCTCCTGGATCTGTTGTTTAACTAGTACAAAAACTCTCAGAACTTAGAGGTGAGACTGTTAAAATATAACATCAGCCATTTAAATTCAACTACATGAAGCTGTACAAACAAGACCTTTTGTACTATGTCTTAAAGGCCAACCTGAGAGCTTAAACATCAAGTGGAGGGGGTAAAATACACAGAGTAATCCAAAAGCCTCTATTATCTACTCATGCTTTTTTAAAAAAAATCTAGTTTGGGCCGGGTGCAGTGGCTCACACCTGTAATCCCAGCACTTTGGGAGGCCTAGGCAGGTGGATCACCTGAGGTCAGGAGTTCAAGACCAGCCTGGCGAACATGGTGAAACCCCGTCTCCACTAAAAATGCAAAAAAAAAATTTAGCAGGTCATGGTGGCAGGAGCCTGTAGTCCCAGCTACTCGGGAGGCTGAGGCACAAGAATCGCTTGAACCCAGGAGGCAGAGGTTGCAGTGAGCCAAGATCACACCACTGCACTTCGGCCTGGGCAACAGACTGAGGCTCCGCCTCAAAGAAAAAAAAAATCTAGTTTGCTAAAGGAAAATACATGGTTGAAATATCTGATTCATTGTCCATTGTGAAAGTACATCATCTAAAAAACTTACAAAATTTCCAACTCCTTAAACCTTCTCACAATATGCACCAATACAGATTGTTAAAGAGCAGACTAGCATAATATAATACCATTTAACAATTTACTTGGTAGATTTTGAAGGGAACAGGTAATTCAACATGCCTTTCAGAATGGGTGAATTTATAGTTAACAGCTTGAAGCCCAATTTACTAGTTTTAGGATTGTTTGCCATCCTTCAGTTCCAGAAGTTAAAAGCCGAAGTTTAAATGCATATACTACAATGCCACTATGTGTATGTATATCTTAAAGGCAAGCACAAGCAATGAGGGCTGGAAAGGTGATATGGGGCAGGCATGATAACCCTTTCCTTTGACAATATCATTAGAGATGGATGCGGACTAAAATGATAATAGAAAAGGTAAGGCCAAGCCATAAAAGCAAGGACCTCTTGTGGACCATAAACAAACTCTACAAGAGGAGTTTCAGGTATGCTGTGACAATGACCATGCCATCTTTTTGTAGCTGTACTCATTTGTCAAAACTCAGCTCAGGAATCGCCTCCTCTAAAAAGCCTTCCCAAATCTCACCTCCTCCTAAATGCTGGGTTAGCTGCCTCTTCTGTAAGCATGCACATCTTGCAGCCTCAGTTAATTTTTTTTTTTCTCAGAGACAGGGTCTTGCTCTGTTGCCCAGGCTGGAGTGCAGTGGCATGATCACAGATCACTTCAACCTCAACCTCTTGGGCTCAAGTGATCCTCCCACCTCAACCTCCCGAGTAGCTGAGACTACAGGTGTGTAAAACCACACCCAGCTAATTTTCTTACATTATTTTTAGTAAAGATGAGGTCTCGCTACGTTATCCAAGCTGGTCTTGGACACTTGGTCTCTAGCAATCCTCCAGCCTCAGCCTCCCAAAGTGCTGGGATTACAAACATGAACCACCACACCCAGCCCAATTGTGTTATTTTCTTCTTGTTTGCTTGCCTGTCTGACTGCCTGCCTCCACCAAAAAACAGCAGCTCCTTCAGGAACAGACCTTGTTTCACCTCTTTGCATCCCACAAGCCAAGATTGCCTGGCACTCAAACATTTGTTGAAAGACACATTTACCAGGACATTCAGTGCAGCATGCTCTGTATATCGAATGACTATAAATAACCTGAATTCCAATCAACAGGGGACTGATTAAATTGTGGTCCCAGGACTCCTGTGAGTCCATGAGACCTTTTCAGGGGTCCATGAGTTCCCCTTTAATTACATGTGTATAAAGCCAGATGTTCTTCAAATACTTTAACCAAAACAACATAGCACCAAAGACTGAATGAAGAACCAGATATGACAATAAAGTTTTCTTCTATTAGGCCAGAAAGATTTGCAAATGTGCAAAAATAACAGTACTTTTCTCATTAGATTTCATTTTGGAAAATAGTTAATTTTCACAGAAATCTGTTAACATACAGTGGATTATTGTTATTTTGATGAATTAATATTTTTAAATTTTCTCAATTTTCTTTCTTTTTTTTTTTTTTTGAGACACAGTCTCGCCCTGTCGTCCAGGCTGGAGTGCAGTGGGGCAATCTTGGCTCACTGCAACCTCCGCCTCCCGGGTTCAAGCAATTCTCAAGTAAATCTCAGCCTCCAGAGTAGCTGAGATTACAGGCATGTGCCACCACGCCCGGCTAATTTTTGTATTTTTAGTAGAGACGGGGTTTCACCATGTTCGTCAGGCTGGTCTCAAACTCCTGACCTCATGATCTGCCCGCCTCAGCCTCCCAAAGTGCTGGGATTACAGGCATGAGCCACCGAGCCCGGCAAATTTTCTAAATTTTAATTTCAAATCCATTTAACATCTATATATGTAACCCACATAAACAAAGCTTCTTTGGTTCTCAATTTTCAAACGTGTTAAAAAGGACCTGAGGCCAAAATGTAAGAGAAAGGCTAAATAAACTATGATATATCTGTACAATAAAAAATAATGCAGATATCTTTTTAAAAGAATAAAGTAAACTGATACATGCTGATGGAAACCACTATCTAAGCTTTACTGCTAAGTTTTTCTTAAGTGCAATACAAAGAACAAATGTGTACATTAAAAAAAAGAGGCACTGCTATACACACATAAATGCTATAGATATATGACAAAATCTTTGGATACACATCCAAAAAAAGTTAAAAGCAGATACCCCTGTGGAGAGAAACTGGGGAACCAAGAGTCAGGGATAGGCATGAAACTTTCCACTCTATTCCTAGTGTATTATTTGAAAATTTTACTATCTGCATGTACCTTTTTACCTTTTCAAAAGTAAAAATGGAATAACAAATTATATTTGAATATTGGAATTATACATGAGTACTTAACTCACATTAAAAAACAGTATTTAACAAAATTGGAAAATACTAGATGACACATTGTTAAAGCAATTTTCAAAACAGTAATACTATAATACAATGCAATAATAATGTAACTCAAAATCTATGTGTGTGTGTGTGGAAGGTGGCTCATGCCTGTAATCCCAGCACTTTGGGAAGCCAAGGCGGGCAGATCACTTGAGGTCAGGAGTTCGAGACCAGCCTGGCCAATACGGTGAAACCGTCTCTACTAAAAATACAAAAAATTAAGCCAGGCATGGTGGCAAGTGCCTATAATCCCAGCTACTTGGGAGGCTGAGGCAGGAGAATCACTTGAACCCGGGAGGTGGAGGTTGCAGCGAGCCAAGAGCCGAGAACACGCCACTGCACTCTAGCCTAGGCGACAGAGCAAGGCTAGACTCCATCTAAAGCAAAACTCCATCTAAAAAAAAAAAAAAAGTATTAGCAGTGACTTTTCCTTCCAGTTGGTAAATTACAAGTGATTGTTTTCATCTTTATAAACTTTTGCTAACTTATACATATTATTTCTATAATCAGAAAATCAGTTTATATGTATGCTACATATATCCATACCTAAATAAAATATTTTTCATTTTTTTATTTACTTTCTGAGACAGAGTCTTGCTCTGCCGTCCAGGATGGAGTACAGTGGCGCAATCTCAGCTCACTGCAACCTCTGCCTCCTGGATTCAAGCGATTGTCCTGCCTCAGCCTCTTAAGTAGCTGGGACTATAGGCACACGCCACCAAGCCCAGCTAATTTTTGTATTTTTAGTAGAGCCAGAATTTTGCCATGTTGGCCAGGCTGGTCTCGAACTCCTGGCCTAAATGAAACATTTATTAAGCCAAAAAGTACACAAATAAAGTAGCACCTATAAACTACCAAGAACTTGAGTGAATATTTGTAAGCTACGTTTAAAACGCTCCCTATGTCGGCCGGGTGTGGTGGCTCACACCTGTAATCCCAGCACTTTGGGAGGCCGAGGCAGGTGGATCACCTAGGTCAGGAGTTCGAGACCAGCCTGGCCAACATGGTGAAACCCCGTCTCTATTAAAAATACAAAAATTAGCTGGGCATGGTGGTGGGCGCCTGTAATCCCAGCTACTTGGGAAGCTGAGTCAGGAGAATTGCTTGAACCTGGGAGGCAGAGGTTGCAGTGAGCCAAAATAGCGCCACTGCACTCCAGCCTGGATGACAAGAGCAAGACTACGTCTTAAAAAAAAAAAAAAATTCTCCCTATGATTTAAGTTCTATTTTGGCCAGTAGTTTCATTCCTAGAAACCTATCCCAGAGAAAGTATATCTGTCCAGTGATTTGTACACAATGACATTTGTAAGAGCGTTCTTTGTTTGAATGTTTATTTTATGTACAAAGAACTATCGTGGTTTTGTATTGGGTAGATGCCTTGGATAATCCTTTGAAGGAGGATCATTTAGTCCAACTTAATAAAACTGATATCGTTCGCGTACTGACGGAAACACTGGCAGCACGTATTGAGGCCACATTTCTGGATCAGACAGTGCCGGTTTGAACAGACGCGACAAGAGCGAGAACCCTGGCTGAATTTTCAGCAGTGGCTCCAGTACAGCTGCTGGTGACCCATCTTGCTGTCAGGAGTGCAACAAGATAAAAGGAAGGAGCTAGCCCATGCATGTGCTCTTCCAAGGGCATTCTTAATCAGCAAAGTATGCAAATAACCCAAATGTTCCACAAAAGATTGGTTAGACACATTCTAGTTCATTCAACCCTATAGCACATTCACCCAGGCAGGCGCTCAGGGCAAAACCCTAGGATTCATTGTAGACTTCTTTCTCTCCATCACCTCTCACAACCAATTCATTATATCCAGTCAGCTCTGCCTTCATATATATCCCAAATCCCTTTATTTCTCTCCTCCTTTGCCACCAACAAGTTCAAACCACAGGCCACTCTCCTCATCCATACTGGTCTCCCTCTTGCTCACCTGAGTCACCTCTCCACACAGCAGGCAAAAGATCAACTTTTAGAAAGTAAATCTTTTCATGTCATTGTCCTATGGAAAACCCTTCCTTGGCTTTCCAGTGCCCTTGGAATAAAATCCAATCCTTACCAGGATCCCCCAGGCTCTACCTGATCTGGCACCTGCTCGTCTCTCTGACCTGACCTACTTCCACATCCCTTCTACTTGCTAGGCTCCAAACATACTGCCACTTCTTTCTGTTCCTCAGACACGCTATGCTAATTCCCACCTTAGGGCCTTTGCACTTGCTGTTCCTTCTTCCTGGAACAACCTGTTCCTAATCATCACAAGCTCATTGTTTACGGTATGAATGAGGACATTCACCTCCTGGAGAGGCCTTCCCTAATCACACAACCTAAGACAGTCACCTTTAATTTATTTGCTTAAATTACCCTTAAGGAATTAAGGGTAACTTTTACTTGCTGCTTTCATTTCTTCTACCGTTTTATATTTTCTAAATTTTGTACAAGGCATGACTTTGATCAGAAAAAACTACTTCTAAAAAATGATCCTGGCCAGGCATGGTGACTCACACCTGTAATCTCAGCATTTTGGGAGGCCGAGGCGGGCAGACTGCCTGAACTAAGGGGTTCAAGACCAGCCTGGGCAACACGTAGAAACCCTAACTCTACCAAAAAAATACGAAATTATCCGGGCATGGTGGTGCATGCCTGTAGCCCCAGCTACTTAAGGGGCTGAGGTAAGACAATCACTTGAGCCCGGGAAATCAAGGCCACAGTAAGCCGTGTTCATGCCACTGCACTCCAGCCTAGGTCACAGAGTGAAACTATGTCTCAAAAAGAAGAAGAAAAAAAATCCCACTGGAAGAATGTGCAAAGATTCAGATGTACATGTGGCTAAGGCAGACTTACTGTCATGGAATGCCTTATTCAAGTCACAAATAGTGTTCTTCAAATATGTGTGAAAATCCTCAAAGAAACCAAAAAAGCAACAATAAGTGGATATGGAGTGGACCTTTGGACTGGAGAGGTCTCAAAACCAGTCAGACCCTTGCTTGACCTGTGCTACATCCTGAGTCTCACCCAGCTAGGGGGGGAAATGGAATAGAACATACTCTAGAAACCCTGTAATAAGCCAAGACTCTGTATGATCTATAAAAAGGATAACTATTGAAACCTGTTTTAGATACATTGTTGAACTCTGGCTCCCAAGTCTCTCTAATACAATGTTTCTATCTTCCAGTTCTCAGAAGTTTTCCCTCTTACATAAGACACACATTTATACTTAATGAGCACCAAAAAGAACCCTGAGCCCTCTGAACTAGGCCATCTTTTCAAAAAGAGGCTGGGCCCATAGACTAACTTGAAATGCTAGTCCCATCAGCAAAACTCCAGCAAGAGCTGCAGTTAATATTGAGAAGCAGAGGCCAGGTGCGGTGGCTCACGCCTGTAATCCCAGCACTTTGGGAGGCCGAGGCAGGCAGATCATGAGGTCAGGAGTTCAAGACCAGCCTGGCCAAATGGTGAAACCCCATCTCCACCAAAAATACAAAAATAGCCACACGTGGTGGTGTGTGCCTGTAGTCCCAGCTACTCGGGAGGCTGAGGCAGAAGAATCGCTTGAACCTGGGAGGCGGAGGCTGCAGTGAGCCGAGACTGTGCCACTGCACTCCGGCCTGGGTGACAGAGTGAGACTCCGGCTCAAAAAAAAAAAAAAAAAAAAAAAAAAAAAAAAAAAATATATATATATATATATATATATAGAGAGAGAGAGAGAGAGAGAGAGAGAGAGAGAGAGAGAGAGAGATAGCAAGTGCAGAAACAGGTTTGTTCCTTAACATCTTTTATCTCAATTAACTCCAAGATGCTTCCAAATGGAGATGTGCCAGTTTTCCTGCACTTGAGATAGTAGATCCAGTATAATGTGGTTTTAAAAAATACCACTATTTCTCCAACCTTTAAAACAGGATTTGCATATCCTTTAGATATGACCCAATAAAAGAATCTATCATTAAATATCAGAATTTGTTCAGAGTTTGTAGTAGGACTCACTCAATAGAGTGCCAGTCCCTGTGTGTGTGTGTATACTCATACATACATGTGCATACCCATACATACACAGAGAAAAGCTAATATTTCTTACAACAGAGGGTAAGACCCAACTCCTGGCAATCTAAGAGAACTCTCCCTTCTATTTACTCTTGCAGTGTGCTAAAGAAAATCTGAGCCAAAGATATGGGTGTGACTCTTCAAATGAGGTATCTGATAAGCCTCAGCCTGTACCACTCTAGGCAGTGTAGGAAGGGCCAATGGGTGACAGCTACCATGAAGCTAATCTCAGATCCATATTAAGCACAAACTTTTACCATAAATCAGAGCTAATTAAACAAAATGGTCTCTATGCTATAGGTTGCTTGACTTCTGGACTAAGATGTACTGTCTAGAATTTGTGACCCAGGCCTTTAATACAGACTCGGTAAGCTCCTTTTATACATTAGGTACTTTGCCTGATCCCTGTCCTCCAAGTTTCAGAGTGGAAATTGTACAATGGTATAGGCAGAAAGAACAAAAGGCCCAAGAATGGGCCAGGTGCAGTGGCTCACACCTGTAATCCCAACATTTTGGGAGACTGAGCCAAGAGTTTGAGACCAGCCTGGGCACTAAAGCAAAACCCCTATCTATAAATAATAATAAAAGAGGCACAAGATTATCTTAATGCTATTGCCCCCAGCACCTAGAACATTGACGCACAGCAGCCACTCAGCAGATATCTTACTGGGTGTGAGACAGGCATTTTTACACTGCATGATATATGACTGCAACATTAGAATCAATAAGACATGTGCAGAGGAGAGGAGGTCAGGTGCGGTGGCTCACATTTGTAATCCCAGCACTTTGGGAGGCCAAGACGGGTGGATCATCTAAGGTCCCGAGTTCGCGACCAGCCTGACCTCGAACCTTCGTAGAGATGGTGAAACCCTATCTCTACGAAAAATACAAAAATTAGCCGGGCGTGGTGGCAGACGCCTGTAATCCCAGCTACTTGGGAGGCTGAAGCAAGAGAATCGCTTGAACCCGGGAGGCAGAGGTTGCAGCGAGCCGAGATAGCGCCACTGAACTCCGGTGTGGGTGACAGAACGAGACTCGTCTCAAAAAAAAAAAGTTATGTGCAGAGGAAAGAGATGAATTCTGCCAGAGCAGGTGAGGGAAGACTTCCAAGAAGCAATGACATCAGAATGGCCCTTTCCTGAAAGAGCAGCTTTTCACCAGGCTGCAGGAGGAGGAAAGCCATGTAGACAAGAGTGTGCCCAAATCCAGGCTGGAGCAGATGGCCGGAGCTACTTTCCAATTCAAATTCCTACACGGTTCTATTTCCTGGGTTTTTGTTGTGCTTCATCGTCTCCTTCAAACCTTCCATTATAAAGGGTACATACAGAAGGGTGGTTGTGTTTCCCACCAGGAAATCAGCTAAAAGCAAACAGCAGGTAACAGACAGAAAAATAAATACCGTGGAAAGGAATGTTTTATTTACCAGGCAGTAAGCCTATAAGATTCTCAGACCTTCTGAGAGGGAAAAATAATCCGATAACCCGAAAGTTCACTAGAAACAAGCCACTTTCAAAACAAATTGCTGTCCTTTATTTTTCTTCTTTCTTTGATAAAGTTTTTTTTTTAATTGGCTCATGCAAAAAGCTGCTTGATTCCCAACAGAAAAAAGAAAATCTAAACATTTCATAGTCATTTCTCACTCCAGGGAGGATCACTGGGGAGGAAATGAAGGCATTTGAAAGAGAATGAAAACTAAAATTTAGAACACAGGAAAGTTAAAAAAAAAAAAGAGAGAGAGAGAGAAAGAGAGAACAAGGGAAAAGAGCAAATGGAAAATTTTCAAAGCCCCTAAGAAAGTGCAGAAATAAGCTACTTCCCATCACACTCTCTTTAAACATGGAAAGGGCTATGAGTCCAGTCCCAGGATGGACAGTGTGAAGCCCTTCATTCCAGAAGGAAACAAGTCACCAAGTAAGGTACAGAGAATTATGGAATGGGCTCATAGAAGGAAACAAGTCTCCTAGTCAGGTACAGAGAATTATGGAATGGGCTCATCTCTTCTCACTGTCTTCCTTCACTGACTCCATGCCCCTACCATGAAGAAGCCCAACCTAAACACAAAACCATTAGGATGAGAGCCAGCCTTCCCCCTCAGGCCGCTCTCCCCTCAAACCGCAGCATTTCAAGAATAAAATGCATGTGAATGTATTAAAATCAAAATAGGCGCACTTGAGGTAACAATACCCACAACAGAAAACTCAAGTGCAATCTGGTACACATAATTCTTCCTTTTGAGACATGGGGGTGGGGGAAGAGTTTCCTGTAAAAGTCCGCTTTTTCAATCTGCTTAAGAGATAAGGAATACAATTCTGGAGATACTTCTTAATTCCTTGCTTTTAAGCTTTCCTTTTGTTTTCTGGTACTGTCCTCCACCTTCCTTTTCAAGCCAGTCTGTGCTTCTGAAATGCAGATCTCCGGATAATTAGTCCATGATGGGCAATAACCAGCCCGGACATCCTTGAGAAGTACATCGACAGTAAAGGACCCCTGCTGGGAAGAACAACTTTTCATAAAGGAGTTGCTAATTACCAGCATCTCCATCCCAGAAGGGTTAAGAGCCTCGCAGCAGCACAACCGCTACCTCTCGCCTTTTAACGCCAATTCTTTCGGAACTGGTGTGAACGTGGAGTGGGAGGAGAGGGGGAAAGGGACGCACTCAACCCCGTCAGACTAAGAAATCAGGCGATCTATATATCCCCAAGTTCACCACGCCAGCCAAAGGAGGCATCTCATGCCAAGGGAGGCAGCTCAAGAAGCCATTTCCAGGAAAGCTGCATTACAAAATGTAATTTATCAGAACGAGTCTCCTCCGAGTCTCCTGACGGCCAGGCCCGGCGGCTTCGGGAGGGGGGGGAGTTGCTGGGGAGAGTTTACCTTAGAAGGCGACAACGAACAGACAGGCCTTTCAAAGCCACCCAGGGCTCTGCCCCGAGGCCCGAGGCTGCGTGGAGGGGCTGGAGAGGCGCGAGGCTGCGAGCCCCCCGGCGCCACAGGTTCCCCGGCGCGCGGCCCCGCCCGACTGCCACAGGTGGGCGGCGCTCCGCCTCTGGGCTCCCGCGGGAGGGGGCGCGCGGCTCTCTAGGGACTCGGGGGAGGGGGCCAGGGCTAAGGGGTACGGGGACGGCTCTGCCTTAAGGAGGGCAGCGTGAGACGGAAGCTCCGGGTTTTCCCTGCCTAGTTCTCGTTCCCTCGGCCGGGTGGCTCGGGCTATTCCTCGCGACAGGAGGAGCGGTGGAGAGGAGCCGTGGGCACCTCCCACCGGCCGCCCCTGGAGCCTCGGCCTCCTCCCCAGGCGCGGTTAAGCCGCGCGGCCGCCAGCTGCATGCGCCCCGGCACGTACGAGCCTGCACGACCACACGCGGGCGGGGGAAGGGCGCCGTGATCCGGGAGCCCCAGTCCCTCCAGGGCCTCACCCCAGCCCAACGCGGCTCGCCCCCGGCCCTCGTCCCCGCAGCCCCTCACCGGTGCTGGCCTTGATGTTCTCCCGCAAGAAGTGGCCGCTGGAGAGATGCTGGAGACCAAAGTTCTGGGCGATCCTCTGGCACACGGTGCCCTTGCCCGAGCCGGGCGGCCCGAGGATGACCGCGCGCAGGAGTTTGGAAGCCATTGCCTTCGCGAGGAGGGGGGCGGTCAAACGCGCAGCCCCGACCGCGGCCCCGGAGGAAGCCCCGGGAACTTTGTTTCTCGGCCCCCTACCTCTGGCACCCTCCGCTCTCACTGGGACTCGCCGGCCGCCCCTACAGGGGGAAGGAGAGACTTTTAAGACAACCCCTCCCCTCAGCCCAGCGCCGGGACCGAGTAGCAGGCGGACTGAGCGCCACGCTACACCTCCCCGCCCTTCTCCACCTCCTCGCCCTCCTCCACCTCCTCGCCCCCACGCAAAGCTGCTGAAGCGCGCCGTGCCCCGCCCTGCCGACTCGGCCTCCAGGGGTCAGAGGTCGGCCCGGCCAGTCCCACCTTCATCCTTAACTCCAGCTCGCTCCCCACGCCGCGTCCGAGAAGGGGGCCGGGCGGCCAGGCATCCCCAAGCCAGTCTCCGCCGAGCCGGGGAAGCTGGCACAAGCGGGGGTGACTCAAAGCCAGCCCCCGCCGCCCCACGCACCGGGCGGCCTAGGGGCTGAGCCCCTGCCCGGTCCTCGCACGTGGGCAACGTGTGGTCTGCGTCTCGTCCCCTCCCCGGCGGCTGTCACATCCCCCGGAGTCTCAGCTGCCGCCGCTGCCCGCCGCCCGCGCGCGCTCGGAGGGGCCCACCTCCGCCCGGGGTTGGCGGATGCGCTCCCCGGCCATGGGGCGCGCGACGAGCCCGAGCCCCGCGCCTCGCCACCAAAAGCAATCAAATAAACACACACCTTGGCTGGAGGCAGCACTCCGAGAGGCTTCCAGCCCGGATCCTGCAGGGCGGCGCCGCCTCCGCCCGCCCAGTCGCGGAGCCCCGGCCGGCCGCGCGGGACTCGCGCCTTACGTAAGCCCGGGAGACCGGCTCCGCGCGAGCCGCTGGCCGCCGCCCCCTCCCCTCCACTCCACTCCACTCCCACCCAGCCTGCCTGGCCCACGTGCTCCCTGCGACCCAGCGAGGGCTGCGGGGGCGAAGCGAGGTGCAGACCACGCGAGGTAGAGAAACCCCTTTTTTTCTTTCGCGGTCGCCTGGGGACCGCGGTCTACTGCAAGGGAAGGGAAAAATACAACTTGTTGAGCGCCTACTGTGCGCCAAGTTTGCGGCTAGGTGATTTCATTGTGTTTACAGCCGAGGAATGGAGCGTGACCATTCATTCATTGATTCATTCTGCAAATGTTTATTGAGTGCCTACTGTGTGCCAGAAACTATTCTAGGCGCTTAGGATCTAGCCGTGAACAACAGATCGAATCCTGCTCTCAAGAAATTGCGTCCTAGCGGGAGGCTGGAACCCAAGACTGACTGACTCCAAAGTCTAGGCGCCTTAGGGAACAGGGAAGAAGGGGATGTCCCTCACCTGTGTTCAGGACCTTCTTGGTAAATGATTCCAGGACTTCCATGCGCATTATGCTGGTGCTGCACCTATAACTCACCAAGTCCAAATGGAGTCTGTCTTCCCCCACTCCACCCTCCCCTGCATATCCCAATCCACATTCTGTTAGATCTGTGCCCACCTTACACACAGCCTTTAATTTCCCACCCCAACTAGTGGGATAAGTGCCCATAAGACTCCAGTTTCTGTGCCATTCCATTTTCCGTGCAGCTGCCAGGAATACTGATAAAGTGAAAATCAATATTTATTATTTCCCGGCCTCAGATATTGTCTTCCCTTCAGGATAAAGTGAAAAATCTTCAGCAGGGGCGCAGAGATGCCTTCCGTACACCTTTGCATTCTGCAGGCCCCCTCCTCTGCCTTCCTTCCACAGGCCACCTGCCTTCAGGAAATCTGTTGCAGAGTTCCCAGCACCAATACCCAGGACTCAGAGAAGGTGAGGGACACAAGTAGTGGGATGGTGTGGAGAAGAACCCCCTCTCAGCTCTTTGATTGGGGTTGGTGGAGGGCAGGGCCTGGCATAGTTTCCTGACACCCAGCGCCTCTCCCCACTGCTTACTCCACGCACAAAATTGGCCAGACAGCACACCCAGGCCACCAGCCCCAGGCCAGCATTTGTTCCATAGACTGATCTCCCTCTAAAATGTCTCAGTGTGGCCGGGCGCTGTGGCTCACACCCGTAATCCCAGCACTTTGGGAGGCCAAGGCAGACGGATCACTTGAGGCCAGGAGTATGAGACCAGCCTGTCTAACATGGTGAAACTCCGTCTCTACTAAAAATAGAATGATTAGCCAGGTGTGGTGGTGCACGCCTGTAATCCCAACTACTCCAGAGGCTGAGGCAAGAGAATCACTTGAACCTGGGAGGTGGAGGTTGCAGTGAGCTGAGATCACGCCACTGCACTCCAGCCTCGGAAACAGGGCGAGACTCTGTCTCAAATAAATGATAAATAAATAAATAAATAAATAAATCTCAGTGTGCTGTAGACCTGATACTGAGCCCCTTCAAACCTTTTCTGGGAACAAAGAGGAAGAACTTGCGGGTCTGGGGGTGGGGGTATATGTGTATAATATGTAGCAGATACTTCTTTGGAGTGGCTCTCAGAAGTGAGCATGCATCAGAATCACCTGGAAGGCATGTTGAAACGTGTTGCTGAGCTCCCCCTGCATAGTGCCACGCACGTCCATGTGAAGAGACCACCAAACAGGCTTTGTGTGAGCAATAAGGCTGTTTATTTTACCTGGGTGCCGGCGGGCTGAGTCCGAAAAGAGAGTCAGGAAAGGGTGGTGGGATTATCATTAGTTCTTATAGATTTTCGGATAGGCGGTGGAGTTAGGAGCAGTGTTTTGCGGGCAGCGGGTGGATCTCACAAAGTACATTCTCAAGGGTAAGGAGAATTACAAAGTACATTGATCAGTTAGGGTGGGGCAGAAACAAATCACAGTGGTGGAATGTCATCAGTTAAGGCTATTTTCACTTTTGTGGATCTTCAGTTGCTTCAGGCCATCTGGATGTATACGTGCAGGTCACAGGGGATATGATGGCTTAGCTTGGGCTAGAGGCCTGACACACAGAATCTGATTCAGTGGATTGAAGGTGGGCATTTCCATCAAGTTCCCAGGTGATGCTGAGGTTGCTGATCTGGAGACCACACCTTGAAAACCACTGCCATAGTGAACAGAGCATTGAGACACAAGATGTGTGGTGTCCTGATTCCTCTGCCAATGTATGACCTTTGGCCCTTAACCTCTACTTTGTAAAATGAGGAGGTTGGATTTAGTACATCCTGAAGATTCCTTCATATCTATTAAGAATTGACTGTAACTTTCCACAGGAAATATGGCTTTTAGCCCGCACAGACTAGCTATCCTATAGCCCTACCTTACCCTACCACCTAGTTCTTTTGTCTACTTTTGAAATGTCTTTACCAACATTACCTTATAGTGTCATGGAACAGTGCTAGCCACCCACATGATTCTAGGACTTTATGCTTTTAGGAGTATAAATTATTAAACAAAGAGTTGTGACACACATTAGAGAAACCAAGATTGGAACCTCGCATTTCACAAAAGAGCCCTCAATGGACCATCCCAGTGCATGGCCATCTCATGGTCCCTCAGCTCAGCTGCTGCTGACTTGGAAGTGAAGCAGAAGATGAAGAAACAGACTTTGGAGTCCAACACACCTGAGATCAAATTGCAACAGCACCATTCACTAACTGCAAATTTCATGATCTCTGTGAGCCTTAGTTTATCTGTAAAAGGAAAATAATACCTCAGAGTCTTGTGGTGAAGCTTAAATGGAGATCATGTATATAAAGGACTCAGTACAGGGCTGGGCATACAATAAGTATTCAGTCGTAAACATCATCATCACCAGTATTAATCATGGGTCAATTATTTAGCCTCTCTAAACCCAGTTCCTGAATGGTGAGAAATAAATGAGATAATACAACAAAGCACCTAGTCAGTTCCCTGGCACTTTTTTTTTTTTTTTTTTTTTGAGATGGAGTCTTGCTCTGTCGCCCAGGCTGGAATACAGTGGCACGATCTCAGCTCACTGCAAGCTCCGCCTCCTGGGTTCACGCCATTCTCCTGCCTCAGCCTCTTGAGTAGCTGGGACTACAGGCACCTGCCACCACGCCTGGCTAATCTTTTGTATTTTTTTAGTAGAGACGGGGTTTCACCGTGTTAGCCAGGATGGTCTCGATCTCCTGACCTTGTGATCCGCCCGCCTCGGCCTCCCAAAGTGCTGGGATTACAGGTGTGAGCCACCGTGCCCAGCCTAATGATAGCCATTCTTATCATATACATACACTCAGGTAATTAACTTCTTCCTATTTCCTTTGTCTAGGGTTTTTAACCCATTTGTAATACTTATCACAGTCTTTGAGTTATTACACAACTATTTATGTTTTTGTCTCCCCTCTAACACTATAAAGTCTGAGGTTTCTGTACTCAAACATATACCCTTTGTAATAATCTGTTAATGTTGGCAAGTCTCTATCCCTCATAACACACTCAGTACCATGCAGCATTGCCTGCCTGGGACGATAGTACAAAGGGAGCCGGACCTCAAATCAGATTTCCTCATTCTGAGCACAGTGCTCTTGTTCCTCTAAACTTCAATTATTTCCACACTATTTTTACAGTTTTGCCATAACATTGTACCACCTTGGCTGTTATTTGCTTATCATGTTTTTTTAATTTTTTTTATATTGACTGAGTTTGTTTAAATAATTGATCTGAGGCTGAGTGCAGTGGCTCATTCCTGTAATCTCAGCGCTTTGAGAGGCCAAGGCGGATGGAGGTCCGGAGTTTAAAACCAGCTTGGCCAACATGGTGAAACCCCATCTCTATTAAAAATACAAAAATTAGCTGGGCGTTGTGGCGCAAGCCTGTAATCCCAGCTACTCAGGAGGCTGAGGCAGGAGAATCCCTTGAACCCAAGAGGCGGAGGTTGCAGTGAGCCAAGATCGCGCCACTGCACTCTAGCCTGGGTGGCAAAGTGAGACTCTGTCTCAAAAATAAATAAATAAATAAATAAATAAATAAATAAATAAATAAATTTGAAAAAGAAATTTTATATAATAATAACTCACTAACCATAAGTAAAAGGATACACTGAAATAAATACAAGAAAAATCAAATAAGATACCAAATACCAGCTGGAATCTACCACCTGTTGATTTTCTGAGCTTAATCTTTGTCTAAATAAAAAAAAAACAAAAACAAAAAACAAAAAACAAAAAAAACAGAGCCAAGCAGGGTGGGATGAGGGTCGGAGAGTTTGTTTACCAAGTGTTAAAAGGTGTTTAAGACATACAGCATCTACATGAGACTCTGCTTAACTGAAATCACATGGCTGAAAATAAGACAGGGAGTACTTTCTAATATTCAGTTTAATTTTTTTTATATATGGAGTCTTGCTCTGTCACTCAGGCTGGAGTGCAGTGGGGTGATTTTGGCTCACTGCAGCATCTGCCTCCCAGGCTCAGGCAATCCTCCCACCTCAGCCTCTCGAGTACCTGGGACTACAGGCGTGTGCCACCACACCCAGCAATTTTTTTTTATTTTTTATTTTTTGTATTTTTAGTAGAGACGGGGGTCTTGCCATGTTGCCCAGGCTGGCCTGGAACTCCTGAGTGCAAGCTACTCCACCCGCCTGGGACTCCCAAAGGGCTGTGATTAGAGGTGTGAGCCACCATGCTGGGCCTCAGACCACGTACCACTTTGAATAATTTCTAGTACCACATCAAACTATCTCCTCCACTATCGGTAATACATTGCACATAATCTAATGTACCTCGAAGTATACCTTTGAAACTTAATTTAATATGACTCACCAGATTTTTGTAATGCTATGATTAAAAATATCACCCGAACCACAGTTCACAGGCACGACACTGACCTCACCTCTAAATTCAAACCCCCATTGTTCCAGCTACCACATCTCTCCATCATTGTCATGTATCACAATTTCATGTTTATTTCTGTTGTATTTGATGAAGACTGTATGCTCCTTTAACATAGTGGCTTCATCTTTTTTACCATGGTTTCCACGCAGCTTAGTAAAAATGCAGCACATGGTGAATATTAAGCAAACATTGTTAAAAGACGGACTGCTGCATGAATGAGTGGATAGAGTTATGTCTCTCTTTGTCTTCTGTGAAGCATCTCTGGAAAGACAACAGAAAGGCTAGTGGCTTATATGTGCAAAGATTCAGAAAAGAAAATAATGGGAAGGAGTAATAAGATACCTGTCCCAGCATGTGCTGTTCCTTTCTCTCTGTAGGCACTCAATAAATACTCAAAAAGCCAAAAGATTTTGCTGAAAGAAGAATAAATGGTGTATAAAGGACTAACATGGTATTATGTGTGACCTCATACATTCTTACAAGTGAAAGAATCATCTTAGCCCCAATTTTACCAGCCCACATGGTTATTAACCTGTAACATCTTAACAGGGTTTGAAAAGGCAGCAGCACTTATTTTACAGCCCTGCCCTCTCAGATAAAAAGAAAAGAAAAAAGCTCCCAAGCTGTTAACAAAAGAAAACTAGAAGGAAAGAAATCAACATTCTTCTAAGTTTACCTGGTATGGCCCACTATTCTCCATGAGCAACAGACTACAGATCATTCCTAGAATAACAGCATATGATAGAGGCAGGCTCTCAGGAAGATGTGGAACTCCCACCCTTGGTCTTTTCACCTTGAAACACTAGAAAGCAGTTTAACAATCTCTTATGTTCTTCCCTCAAACATAATGATATAATGATGATGTCTTGCTCAAAACTTTGCTCCAATTTGTACGTCTGGTAGTGGGGATGGACAGGACTGTGTCATTCACATTCTTCACTCCACGTTCCCAACCACAATCAATAGGAGAATTCCTTCTAGAAGCTGCCTTGGGATTTGTAGGCATGCCTGGAGATCAGATGTGTTTGGGCGTGTCTTTCCTCTGTGCAAAGTTAACTGCCAGAGGAAGTACAGCTTTCTTCCTGCTCCAGCTGGATGAAGGGGCTGAAACTGAATACTAAGTTTATTCTGTCCAAGCGTAGCTCCTCAAGGCTGGGTAAGGAAAGGGGATCCCACTTAGGAGAGACTTCTAAGTTTGGGCTTCTGTTAAGAGCAGAAGATGATAATTAGTGTGTATTGAGTAATTACTATGTGCCGGGGAATCTCTAAGATATAGGTAGATAAATAGAGATATAATAATTTTAAAGGAAAAAAAATTTTTTTTTGAGATGGAGTCTTACTCTGTTGCCCAGGCTGGAATGCAGTGGCGCGATCTCGACTCACTGCAACCTCTGCCTCCCAGGTTGAAGCAATTCTCCTGTCTCAGTCTCCCAAGTAGCTGGGAATACAGGCGCCTGCCACCACACCTGGCCAATTTTTGTATTTTTATTTTTTATTTTATTTATTTACTTATATTTGAGACACAGCCTTGCTCTGTCGCCCCATCTGGAGTACAGTGGTGCGATCTCAGCTCACTGCAACCTCCGCCTCCTGGATTCAAGCAATTCTCCTGTCTCAGCCTCCCAAGTAGCTGGGATTACAGGCGGCTGCCATCACGCCTGGCTAATTTTTTGTATCTTTTTTAGAGATGGGGTTTCACCATGTTGGCCAGACTGGTCTCGAATTCCTGACCTCAAATGATCCACCTGCCTCTGCCTCCCAAAGTGCAGGGATTACAGGCGTGAGTCACCGTGCCGGGCCTAATTTTTGTATTTTTAGTAGAGATGGGTGAAGGGGTGGGTTGCCCCTCCACACCTGTGGGTGTTTCTTGTTAGGTGGAACGAGAGACTTTGGAAAAGAAAAAGACACAGAGACAAAGTATAGAGAAAGAAATAAGGGGGCCCAGGGTACCAGCGTTCAGCATACGGAGGATCCCGCCAGCCTCTGAGTTCCCTTAGTATTTATTGATCATTCTTGGGTGTTTCTCGGAGAGGGGGATGTGGCAGGGTCATAGGATAATAGTGGAGAGAAGGTCAGCAGATAAACGTGAACAAGGGTCTCTGCATCATAGACAAGGTAAAGAATTAAGTGCTGTGCTTTAGATATGCATACACATAAACATCTCAATGCCTTACAGAGCAGTGTTGTTGCCCGCATGTCCCACCTCCAGCCCTAAGGTGGTTTTCCCCTATCTCAGTAGATGGAACATACAATCGGGTTTTATACCGAGACATTCCATTGCCCAGGGACGGGCAGGAGACAGATGCCTTCCTCTTGTCTCAACTGCAAAGAGGCATGCCTTCCTCTTATACTAATCCTCCTCAGCACAGACCCTTTAGAGGTGTCGGGCTGGGGGATGGTCAGGTCCTTCCCTTCCCATGAGGCCATATTTCAGACTATCACATGGGGAGAAACCTTGGACAATACCTGGCTTTCCTAGGCAGAGGTCCCTGCGGCCTTCTGCAGTGTTTGTGTCCCTGGGTACTTGAGATTAGGGAATGGTGATGACTCTTAACGAGCATGCTGCCTTCAAGCATCTGTTTAACAAAGCACATCCCACACAGCCCTTAATCCATTTAACCCTGAGTTGACACAGCACATGTTTCAGAGAGCACGGGGTTGGGGGTAAGGTTATAGATTAACAGCATCTCAAGGCAGAAGAATTTTTCTTAGTACAGAACAAAATGGAGTCTCCTATGTCTACTTCTTTCTACACAGACACAGTAACAATCTGATCTCTCTTCCTTTTCCCTGCAGACGGGGTTTCACCATATTGGTCAGGCTGGTCCCGAATTCCTGACCTCAGGTGATCCACCCACCTTGGCCTCCCAAAGTGTTGGGATTACAGGTGTGAGCCACTGCACCCCGCTTAATTATGAGATTATTTAGAGATTATTATTTAGAGATTATTTTTAATCTCTAAATATTTAGAGATTATTTTTAAATGTTATTCTAGGGGCCAAGGGAAATACTTCTTTGCTCTCCTAAGATTCCCTGAAAAATCAATTTGCAAAAGACAAATTAATTGGAGAAAAGGCATACATATTTTATTAACGTGTACACGGGGAGGATCACACAGTGATTACATACCCTCCCAGTAGGGTTCAGAAAGTTATATATCATCTTAGCAAAACAGGTTATGGTGGAAAAATAGATTTTTGGAGGGGAGAAGAGGAAAAATGAATAGATAAGTGAATGTGAACAGAGATTAACTTGTAAATCATTCTCTTTGGAATTTGAATGAGACAGAGAGGCGAACACGTTACTTCGTGAAAGGGTCTATTCAGCTGTGGTTACATTTTTGGTCTTAAAAGGAGGATAATTAAAAACAATTGTTCTTGGTAGGTCTAGATCTTAGGCAGATAAAGGAACTTCAACTTCATCCTGTGCTTTGGGAGAGACGGTGGAGGTGGGAGGTCAGAGAGATCTTGAGACTTCTTCAATTCAGCAAGTCAAAGCCCCATATTTTGGGGTATTAATTTCTGAGCTCCAACGATCACTTACAAGCTGGGTGATTTAGACCTATTGTTTAACCTTAATTCTCCTATATCCCCAAAGGGGAATAATTACCACTAATAATACCAATATCTATTTTCATAAGGTTTTTGAGGATTAAATTATCTCTGAAAAATCACATCAAACACATCATAAGCACTCAATAAATATTAGCTATTGCTACTATTCATTCAACACTATATTTCAAGCACTGTTCTAGATGTTGGCAACACATCAATGAATAAAACAAATATCTCTGTCCTTGTGCAGCTTACATTACTATTAATATTTCCATGCAATGTGGTAAAGTATGAACACTCATCATTTTGAGGCAGGAGAATAGGGCCTGGAGGCAGGGAACCTAAGGACTTCCTAGAACTAAATCAAATGGAAACACTTCAGCTGTGACAGGTAATATCCCTTCCACTTACATAGGGTGTACATCAAGTAAATGACTTTGTAATTTTACATCATCCTCTTCATTTACATAGGGCGTACACCAAGTAATCAATGGAAACCTCTAGAGGGTATTTAAACCAAAAAAAATTCTGTATTGGGGCTCTTGAGCCCCTATGCTTGGGCCCGCTCCTACCCTGTGGAGCATACTTTCATTTTCAATAAATTTCTGCTTTTGTTGCTTCATTCTTTCCTTGCTTTTCTTGGGCGTGATGTCCAATTCTTTGTTCAAGATGCCAAGAACCTGGACAACCTCCACTGGTAACAATTTTATCCCCAGAGTCTAGTTGTCTTGGCTTGGGATTGCCCCCGTTCCTGAGAAAATGAATTGGGTCTATTCACTTCTTTGAGAGGTGGTCCTAGATAGCACAGTAAAGGACAGAAAAAGTCAAACAGGAAAGGGAGAAAGGCCAAGACAGTATACTGAATTAGTGAGTTACCTCTATGTGCGAATGGAACTCAACCTCACAGAGACCCTCTGAATGGCTGTGTAGAACACACTTCAGAAGTGTTCTGGGATATCTGTCCCCCAACTTGTTTTGCATTGGTAGAAGTTCGCTCCTGAGGCATCCCTTAAGCAGAAAGACCCAGAAAGTCATTCCTACGCACAAGAATTTTCTGCAGATCTGATGAGAGGGCTGAAGGGATATGGGTAAGGAACCAACAGCTCTGCTGTGCTCGCTGAGTGACAGGCATGTGATAGGCTCTGAATAAATACGTAAAATAAAGAACAAGGCCGGGCATGGTGGCTCACACCTGTAATCCCAGCACTTTGGGAGGCTAAGGTGGGCAGATCACGAGGTCAGGAGTTCAAGACCAGCCTGGCCAACATGGTGAAACCCTCGTCTCTACTAAAAATACAAAAATTAGCCGGGCGTGACTGGGGGGAACCTGTAATCCCAGCTACTCGGAAAACTGAGTGTCTCACGTGCCCGTGTGAAGAGACCACCAAATAGGGCTTGTGTGAGCACATGGCTGTTTATTTCACCTGGGTGCGGGCGGGCTGAGTCTGAAAAGAGAGTCAGCGAAGTGTGGTGGATTATCATTAGTTCTTACAGGTTTTGGGATAGGCGGTGGAGTTTGGAGCAATGTTTTGCGGGCAGGGAGTGGATCTCACAAAGTACATTCTCAAGGGTGGGGAGAATTATAAAGAACCTTCTTAAGGGTGGGGAAGATTACAAAGTACATTGATCAGTTAGGGTGGGTCAGAAACAAATCACGATGATGGAATGTCATCAGTTAAGGCTATTTTCACTTCTTTTGTGGATCTTCAGTTGCTTCAGGCCATCTGGATGTATACACGCAGGTCACAGGCTTAGCTTGGGCTCAGAGGCCTGACACTGAGGCAGGAGAATCGCTTGAACCTAGGAGGCGGAAGTTGCTGCGAGCTGAGATCACGCCGTTGTACTCCAGCCTGGACGACAGAGTGAGACTTTGTCTCAGATAAATAAATAAATAAGAGCAAAAGAAAAAGAAAGGGGGAAAGCACTCAAGTCTGTCTGAGGACACAAGAAGCCTTTCCAGCAAAACTGGTAATTATTGAATTGCATCGTTTTGTTTTATTTGTAAGAGATGGAGTTCTCATTCTGTTGCCCAAGCTGGAGTGCAGTGATGCGATCAGGGCTCACTGCAGCCTCAAACTCCTGGGATCTAGTGACCACCCCCGGCCCCCACCCTCTGGAGTAGCTGGAACTGCAGGCACACACCACCATGCCCAATTTTTTTTTTTTTTTTTTTTTTTTTTTTGAGATGGAGTCTTGCTCTGTAGCCCAGGCTGGAGTGCAGTGATGCAGTCTTGACTCACTGTAACCTCCAACTCCAGTGTTCAAGTGATTCTCATGCCTTGGCCTCCTGAGTAGCTGGGATTACAGGTGTGCACCACCACACCTGGCTAATTTTTGTATTTTTTGATAGAAACGGGGTTTCACCATGTTGCCCGGGATGGTCTCAAATTCCTGACCTCAAGTGGTTCAACTGCCTTGGCCTCTCAAAGTGCTGGGATTACAGGCATCACCATGCCCAGCCCATCCTAACCATTTAGATTTTATTTTAAAGGAATGGAGAATCATTGAGTTATACAAGTACAAGAGTGATATGACTGACTTGATATTTTAGAAAGATAAATCCGGAGCTGGCCCACTGGTGCACTCCCATATTCCCAGCTACTTGGGAGGTTGGGGCATGAGGATAGCTTGAGGCCATGAATTTGAGACCACCCTTGACAATGTAGCAAGATGCCATCTCCAAGAAAAAAAAGCAAAAACAAAAGAAGAAAGATAAATTTCTTTTCCTTATAGATACCTCAGTAGAAGGAGTTGAATCTGATGTCAGACAAACTAATTAAGAAGATGTTAACAATATTCTAGGAGAAAGATCATAGGATCTTCAAATAAGACAGTGGCAGGGGAAATGGAAAAGAAGAGATGAACACAAGCTTTGCCTAGATATAGCATAAATTGGTTAGATGCAGAGGAATAGAGAGAAGCATGGATGGTGCTCAAGATTCTGGCTTTTAAGGGAAAATGGCCCCTCACACTGAGCTGGAATACACAAGAAGGAGAGAAATAGGTGAGGGGATGATTTTTTTCACATATACTGTATCAGGAGCCTTTGAACTTTTGCATCCTAGTACTTCCCAAAATTATTTTGAAACATGTAACGCACACAAATTTTGACATTGACTGTTAAAATTGTACGTCACAAATGTGAAATGTTGGAAGGGGTGAAATTTCCAGCCATCCTATAAATACTGACTTTTTTTTTTTTTTGAGAGGGAGTCTCGCTCTGTCGCCCAGGCTGGAGTGCAGTGGCGCGATCTCAGGTCACTGCAAGCTCCGCCTCCCGGGTTCACGCCATTCTCCTGCCTCAGCCTCCCGAGTAGCTGGGACTACAGGCGCCCGCCACCACGCCCGGCTAATTTTTTGTATTTTTAGTAGAGACGGGGTTTCACCGTGTTAGCCGGGATGGTCTCCATCTCCTGACCTCGTGATCCACCCGTCTCGGCCTCCCAAAGTGCTGGGATTACAAGCGTGAGCCACTGCGCCCGGCCAAATACTGACATTTTAAAATGAAACTTATATCACTCCTTTTACAAAAAATTTATTTATTTGTTTTTATTTGAGAGACAGGATCTCACTCTGTCCCCCAGGCTGGAGTGCAGTGACACAGTTTCAGCTCACTGAAGCCTCAACCTCCCAGGCTCAAGCCATTCTCCCACCTAGGCCTCCTGAATCACTGAGACTACAGGCACATGCCACCACGCCTGGCTAATTTTCCTTACTTTTTGTAGAAAGGAGGTCTCACTCTGTTGCCCAGGCTAGTCTTGAACTCCTGCCTTGGCCTCCCAAAGTATTGGGATTACAGGTCTAAACCACTGTGCCCAGCCACATCACTCCTTTAATGTGTGTAATGAAATCTAAATACCATAGCAAACTGATAGCCATTAGCATCCTCTTGAAAATTACGAAGCCAGGCATGGTGGCTTATGCCTGGAATCCCAGCACTTTGGGAGACCAAGGCAGGAGGATTGCTTGAGGCCAGGAGTTTGAGACCAGCCAGGGCAACATAGCAAGGCTCTATCTGTACAAAAAAAAAAATATTAAAAAATCAGCCAGGCATAGTGGCATGTGCCTGTAGTCCCAGCTACCTGGGAGGCCAAGGTGGGAGGATGGCTTGATCCCAGGAGTTCAATGCTGCAGTGACCTATGATCGTGCCACTGCCACTGCTCTTCAGCCTGGTAGACAGTGAGACTTTCTCTGAAAAGAAAAAAAGGAAATTACATGAACAAGCTCTTATATGAAAGCCAAATTTTTACATGAATTCTTTTTCACCTTGAACCAAAATTTCCACTCCACTTTCCCTCCATTTTACTGTGATCTGACATATTTTTATTCTTAGAAGACTTTTCTTCATCACCCTATTGTACTCAGCAAGAAAAATATGCATATAGATGGAAATTAATTTTGCTAGTCTCCTGTGATCCTAAGTTCTTCTTTTTTAAGAACTCAAGTCTTCAGAATTGTTATCATTATAATTATTAGTAGTACACTAATGATCAAAATGACCAATGCATTACTAATTTTGATCAAAATCATTAAATAAAAATTATAATAAATGCCTCTAAGATAAATTATAATTTTAAGAAATTAGTTCATATGCATATTACGTGTGAATATGATTGCTCAACTGAGATAGTATTCAACATTAATTCCACTCTGTCCCATTTTCATAGATAAAAGTGTTGAGAAATCTCATTCATGTAAGGCAGAGGATGCGAATAGAAGATTTCTTACAGTAATGTCATTAAACTCTTTGAAGTCCTTCCAAATTGTATTCCAAAAATCGCAGAGTGATCTATCATTAAAATGCATTGTTTAGGCCAGCTGCAGTGGTTCACGCCCGTAATCCCAGCACTTTGGGAGGCTGAAGAGTGCGAATCACATGAGGCTGGGAGTTCGAGACCAGCCTGACCAACATGGAGAAACCCTCTCTCTACTAAAAATACAAAATTAGCCAGGCATGGTGGTGCACGCCTGTAGTCCCAGCTATTCGGGAGGCTGAGGCAGGAGAATTGCTTGAACCAGAGAGGCAGAGGTTGTGGTGAGCTGAGATTGCACCATTGTACTCCAGCCTGAGCAACAAGATTGAAACTCCATCTCTAAATAAATAAATAAATGCATTGTTTAGTGATCTATTGGCTAAAACTTGATTCTTCCCAAAAACATCTGACTTAGAAAAGGGTTTGCTGTCCAGTCATGAGAGTCATTCACTTTCTCAGTTTCTGAAACATTTGCCAAAAAGACTCTCTCCAGAATTATCAAATGATTATTAAATTACACCTATTATTTTTCTACCTAGAAACATTTTGATTAACCTGATATATTCAGAAAGGGTTAGAAAATGAAAATATTAATTTCTTTCTTTCTTTTTTTTTTTTTTTTTGAGACCAAGTTTCGCTCATGTTGCCCAGGCTGGAGTGCAGTGGCGCAATCTCGCCTCACTGCAACCTCCGCCTTCCGGATTCAAGCGATTCTCCTGCCTCAGCCTTCCTGAGTAACTGGGATTACAGGCATGTGCCACCATGCCTGGCTAATTTTTTGTATTTTTAGTAGAGACGGGGTTTCTCCATGTTGGTCAGGCTGGTCTTGAACTCCCGACCTCAGATGATCCGCCTGCCTCGGCCTCCCAAAGTGCTGGGATTACAGGCATGAGCCACCGCGCCTGGCCGAAAATATTAATTTCAAAATACCTTGTGTAATAAAAATTTTGATGAAGCATTTCTCTCTCATCATGTGATTTAAATATATTTTATTCAAAATCTCAGTGCTATATTTTTAGCTCATTTGATTTATGAAAAATGTCCACCTATTACCTAACTAGCAAAGTCAGCCTTCACTGTCAAACCAAGGGGCCAAGTAAAACTTTTTTTTGGTCAGTAAAAATGTGACTACATTTTTCTATTCAAATAAACAGATTAAGACACATCTCCCTTTGGGAGGCCAAGGTGGGCGGATCACCAGGTCAGCAGATCGAGACCATCCTGGCTAACACAGTGAAACCCCATCTCTACTAAAAAAATACAAAAAATTAGCCGGGCGTGGTCGTGGGCACCTGTAGTCCCAGCTACTGGGGAGGCTAAAGAGGAGAATGGCGTGAACCCGGGAGGTGGAGCTTGCAGTGAGCCAAGATCGCACCACTGCACTCCAGGCTGGGCGACAGAGCGAGACTCCGTCTCAAAAATAAAATAAAATAAAATAAAATAAAGACACATCTCCACTGAGGAGCACAGTGACTCACACCTGTAATTCTAGTACTTTGGGAGGCTGAGGCAGGCGGATCATGTGAGATCAGGAGTTCGAGACGAACTGGCCAACATGGTGAAGCCTTGTCTCTACTAAAAATACAAAAATTAGCTGGAAATCGCTTGAACCCAGGAGGTGGAGGTTGCAGTGAGCTGAGATTGCACCATGGCACTCCAGCCTGGGCAACAGAGCGAGACTCTGTGTCAAAAAAAAAAAAAGACACATCCCCATGACAAACATTTCATTTCTGAATTCAGAGAGAGAGAGAGAGATAGGAGAGAGAGAGACAGCCCTGCTAAGAATTTGCTCCTAAATGAAATTGTTATTCTCTTCAATATTTTTTATCTATCTTTCCCACCCCTGACACCTTTTTTTTTTTTTTTGGCTGTCAAAAAGCCCCCTATCAGAAGTGATAGTTCTTCGACAACAGTCAGGGGATAGAAAGGCTGAGTTTGTTAAAGAAAAATTGTCATCCTATCCCTAGTCCACTCTACAGTGTAACTGAATTTAGAACATTCCAACAGGGGCCAAAATAGTCCATTCCAGAGGCCATACTTCTTCCTTCACAGGGCATGTGTTAAATCAGAAAAAAAATGCCAGCCCTGCTTTGAGTGCATGTTGCCCACATTCAAAGAGCTTTCACCTCCTCTAGTATCTTGAATAATCTCTTTGGAACCCTGGAAGTTTTTTTGTGTTTGTTTGTTTTTTTGAGATGGAGTTTGACTCTTGTTGCCCAGGCTGGAGTGCAATGCCGCGATCTTGGCTCACTGCAACCTCTGCCTCCCAGGTTCAAGCGTTTCTCCTGCCTCAGCCTCCTGAGTAGCTGGGATTACAAGCGTGCACCACCATGCCTGGCTAATTTTGTATTTTTAGTAGAGACGGGGTTTCTTCATGTTGGTCAGGCTGGTCTCAAACTCCCGACCTCAGGTGATCCACCCTCCTTGGCCTCCCAAAGTGCTGGGATTACAGGTGTGAGCCACTGCGCCCAGCCTGGAAGTTTTTACACCTAATGTAAGGTACCATAACAAGATAGGGACAAGTATGCCTTTTTATTTTACCAAACGGGGTATGAGTGATTAGGAAAGGTGAGCTGAAAAGGACAACTGGCATAACACCTCAACACTCAGCATTTTCTCAGATTAATTCTTTCTAGCAGAATTACATATGGAAATGGAAATCCAGAAACTGACTCCCTTCAAATCATCTGTGTCATCATATCTCTTGGAAAATCCCTCCATCTGTCTTCGAAAACTATTTGATATATCATTTGATCCTCACAACAGCTCTTTGAGTTTGGTACTTACAATGACTGTTAATGTGACTCCTATTTAAGAGATGAAGAAACTAAGGTGCAGAGACATCAGTCCAATTATCCAAGGTCACTTGAACCCAGCTGAATCAGTATCTTGGCCTCTGTCAGCAAAGTCCCCCATTTCTGCTCTAGCTAAGCAGACCAATACACAGCTCCCAGCACCACTGGCCTTTCTACCTGGAAAGGCTCTCGTCCTTCTGTCTGCCTCCTTGTAGAATGCTGGTCTAAATGACACTCAGGTTTCTATCAATTTCTCATTTAGACTCAGTTAGTGTGTTTTATCCTTGGCTCAAGCTAATTTTTTCCCCCATTTTATTAAGAAAAATTTCTGCCAGGCGTGATAGTTGATACCTATAATCCCAATGCTTTGGGAGGCAGAGGTGGGAGGATTGCTTGAGGGCAGGATTTCAAGACCAGCCTGGGCAATATAGCAAGACCCCATTTCTATAAAAAATTTAAAAAATTAGCCAAGAGTGGTGGCAGGCTCCTGTAGTCCCAGCTACTTGGGAGGCTGAAGTAGGAGGAGGGCTTGAGCCCAGGAGTTCAACGGTACCATTGCACTCCAGCCTGGGCTACAGAGTGTGACCCTGTTTCAAAAACAAAAAGAAAAAGAAAAAATTTAAAAATATATCAGTTGAAAAATATTTATATACTCAACTGTATACCCATTAGCTAGATTCTACCATTAATATTTTAACTATACTTGCCAGATTTTTTTTTTCGAGACAGGGTCTTGCTCTGTTGCCCAGGCTGGAGGGCAGTAGCATGATCATCGTTTACTGCAGCCTCATCCTCCCAGGTTCAAGCAGATCCTCCCACCTCAGCCTCCCAAGTAGCTGGGACCACAGGCATGCACCATTATACCTGGCTAATTTTTTTTTGGTAGAGATGGAGGTCTCTTCATGTTGCCCAGGCTGGTCTCAAACTGCTTGCCTCAGGCGAGCCTCCTGCCTTGGCCTCCCAAAATGCTGGGATTAAAGGCAAGAGCAAACAAATCCTTGGCAGTTTACATTCCCACCCCAAAGCTCCATAAAATAGGAAAATACCACATACCATCATCTGAGGTCTTTTCAAGGAGAAGGGCTTCTGACCCACAGAAAACTATAAAGAAAATTTCTTGGCCGGGCACGGTGGCTGTCACCTATAATCACAACACTTTGGGAGGCTAAGTCAGGCAGATTGCTTGAGCCCAGGAGTTTGAGACCATCCTGGGCAACATGGTGAAACCCCATCAAAAAAAAAAAAATACAAAAATTAGCCAAGTGTGGTGGCACATGCCTGTTATCTCAGCTATTCAGGAGGCTAAGACAGGAGAATCACTTGAGACCTGAGACCAAGGTTGCAGTGAGCTGAGATTGTACCACTGCACTCAGCCTGGGTGACAGAGCAAAACCCTGTCTCAAAAAAACATTTTTTTTTCTCATCTCCACGGGTTCAGGTCATTCATTTAGTCCAGTGGTACCAAACCTGGAAGTACATCAGAATAACCCGGAGAGCTTTTAAAATATACCATTGCCACAGCCCTATCCCAGACCAACTGAGACAGAATCTCTGGGGGAAGAGGTAGGATTTTAGCATTCAATTAGCCAACAGCAACAACCCGGGCACCATTTTAGGCATCCGGGTGAGTAAGGATCCCTGCCTTCATGGAGCTTCACCCTCTTGCCTCACCACAGTGTTCCCTCCCGCCCAGAGTATCTCAGCCCCTCCTGCCTCTCTTTCCTTCTTAGACCTTCAGATATTTGTTCAGGCCCAGGATCCTCTTCTTCCTCTTCTCTGGTGATATGGTTTGGTTGTGTTCCTACCCAAATATCATCCTTTCTGGACAGAGTTTTGCTCCTTCGCCCAGGATGGAGTGAAGTGGCGTGATCTTGGCTCTCTGCAACCTCCATCCCCCGGGATTAAGCAATTCTCTTGCCTCAGCCTCCCGAGTAGCTGGGATTACAGGCACCTGCCATCATACCCAGCTAATTTTTGTATTTTTAGTAAAGATGAGATTTCACAATGTTGGCCAGGCTGGTTTTGAACTCCTGACCTCAGGTGATCCACCCGCCTTGGCCTCCCAAAGTGTTAGGATTACAGGTGTGAGCCACCACGCCCAGCCTCAGATCTCATCTTGATTGGAGTTCCCATAATCCCCAAGTGTCACGGAAGGGACCCAGTGGGAGGTAATTGAATCATGGGGGTAGCTGCCCCCATGCTGCTGTTCTTGTGATAGTGAATGTGTTCTCACAAGATCTGATGGTTTTATAAGGGGCTTTCCTCCTGACTTCGCTCTGCAATTCTCCTTGCTGCCACCATATGAAGAAGGAGGTGTTTGCTTCTCCTTCTGCCATGATTGTAAGTTTCCTGAGGCCTCCCTAGCCATGCTGAACTATGAGTCAATTAAACCTCTTTCCTTTATAAATTACCCAGTCTCTGGTATGTCTTTATTAGCAGCATGAGAACGGACTAATACATCAGGCTAAAGAGGGCCTGCTCATCCCTCATGGTCCAGCTTACAGGTCACTCCTCGGAGGTCCCACCTGGCTTACAGCTAAGTTAATGACTTCCTTCTCAGGATTCCTCCTGCTGGTTTCTCATCTTGTCACTGTCTAGGATTATGCTGAGGTTTGTCTCCTGTGTGGAACTCCGCACTAACTGTAAAAAGGCAGAGACTGTTGTATTTGACCTGATAACCTCATCACTTAGGAAAGTGTCTGGAGCATGGCATAGCCTCAAAACTTAAAGCAAAGACCAGTTTATATTATATTGAATGTAAGGCAATCACCACCTCCATGCATTACATGTTTCCTGGGTCTAATTCTGAAATTCTGAATTCTTCCAGATGACTTGTGACAGTCTGACAGATGCTCTGTTTTACCCAAAAGGAAAGAAACTAGACTTTTCAGTGTACAGATCTGAGATCATGAAGAGCTCTGGGGGCTTATAAATTGTGTTTCTGGATTTTTGTAAGTCCTCCATTGAAAACTTTTTTTTTTTGAGATGAGTCTTGCTCTTTCACCCAGGCCAGACTGCAGTGGCGCTATCTGGGCTCACTGCAAGCTCCGCCTCCCGGGTTCACGCCATTCTCCTGCCTCAGCCTCCCGAGTAGCTGGGACTACAGGCGCCGGCTACCGTGCCCGGCTAATTTTTTTGTATTTTTAGTAGAGACAGGGTTTCACCGTATTAGCCAGGATGGTCTCGATCTCCTGACCTTGTGATCTGCCCGCCTCGGCCTCCCAAAGTGCTGGGATTACAAGCGTGAGCCACCGCGCCTGGCCGAAAACCTTTTTATAAAAAAACTCCTTCTCCTACCAATAGAATGTTGCAACGGGAAATGTCCTACAGAATAACTGTTGGCCGGGTGTGGTGGCTTACACATGTAATCCCAGCACTTTGGGAGGCTGAGGCAGGCAGTTCACCTGAGGTCAGGAGTTCAAGAACAGCCTGGCCAATATGGCAAAACCCCGTCTCTACTAAAAATACAAAAAAATTTAGCTGGGTGTGGTGGTGGGCGCCTGTAATCCCGGTTACTTGGGAGGCTGAGTCACAAGAATTGTTTGAACCCAGGCAGCAGAGATTGCAGTTAGCTGAGATCGTGCCACTGCACTCCAGCCTGGGCGACAGAGCGAGACCCCATCTCAATTTGAAAAAAAAAAAAAGAGAGAGAAGAACTGTCATGAAATAGCCTGCTCAGCATGGCAGAAATAGTGCAGGCCTTGAAGTCCGTTGGGACAGAGGACAAAGTGTCACCTCCACCCTTCCTATTTATTTGACTTGAGAGGCAGTTTACTTAACCTCTCTAAACCTCAGTTTAGATGCAGTTTACTTAACCTCTCTAAACCTCAGGTAAGATGCAGACAAATATTCTCACGCCCTTCTCCCCACCTCAGATGTAAGCATCATGAAGAATAACATGAATAGTTCACATGTGCCGGGTGCATACCATGTGCCAGACACGGTGCTGACTCCTTAACAACTCAACACACAAACTCTTCAAGGTGCTATTATTATCCCTGTCATACAGACCACAACACTGAGACATGTTGAGTGAGTTGTCAATGATTATACAGCTAGTAAAGAGGGGATTCCAGCCAGGCAATCTGGTTCCATGTGCCCACTCTTTTTTTTTTTTTTTTTTTGAGACAGAGTCTCACTCTGTCGCCCAGGCTGGAGTGCAGTGGCACTATCTTGGTTCACTGCAACCTCCGCCTCCCAGGTTCAGGCAATTCTCTGCCTCAGCCTCCCGAGCAGCTGGGATTTCAGGCGCCCACCACCATGCCCGGCTAATTTTTATATTTTTAGTAGAGATGGGGTTTCACCATCTTGGCCAGGCTGGTCTTGAACTCCTGACCTCGTGATCCACCCGACTCAGCCTCCCAAAGTGCTGGGATTACAGGCGTGAGCCACCTCGCCCAGCCCCATGTGCCCACTCTTATCCATCTTCCAGGGACCCTGCTTGCTTCATTCACCTTGGATCCCTAGCTCCTAGAACAGTGACTGACACATGGGTGCTAAAAATTACTGTTGGGTGGATGAATCAATACCTTCTTACTGCATTATAAGGAGGAAGGAAGAAATATTTATTATCTACCATATTTCAGCCTCTTTTATGTGTATTATTTGGCTTAATTGGCAAAATTGATAGACCACTAACAATTCCTACTATTAAATCCATTTTAATAATAGCACAGAGGCTGAAACTGAAGAGGCAGAGTAACTTGCCTTAGGACACACAGCTAGGAAACAGCCTCTAAGCCTCCAAACTCCAAAGCCTATGTTCTTTTCTCTATGACTGTGGTCTTCATGTGTTTTTATTCACATACCCTTAAAATAATGTTGTATAATATACACCTCCTTGCACCTTTTTATGTTGATATCTTGCATTTTAATCATTATTTTAAGTAATTACAAAGGCTGTAGTTTCCAGAGTATTATAAATATTGACCTTTTAAAACCATTGCATCAATTTTTTTTTGTTTGTTTGTTTTTTTGAGACAGAGTCTCGATCTGTCACTCAGGTTGGAGTGCACTCGCGCGATCTCCACTCACTGCAAGCTCTGGCTCCCAGGTTCACGCCATCCTCCTGCCTCAGCCTCCCGAGTAGCTGGGACTACAGGCACCTGCCACCGCACCCGGCTAATTTTTTTTTTTTTTTTGTATTTTTAGTAGAGACGGGGTTTCACCGTGTTAGCCAGGATGGTCTCGATCTCCTGACCTCGTGTTCCACCCGCCTCGGCCTCCCAAATTGCTGGGATTACAGGCGTGAGCCACCGCGCCTGGCCGAGTTTTTTTTTTTCTTTAAAGTTTTAAATTCCTTGCTCTTTTTAGAGACAGGGTCTCGCTTGCTGCCCAGGACAAAGTGCAGTGGCTACTCACAGGTGTGACTCCACTACTGATCAGCATGAGAATTTTGACCTGCTCTGTTTCCAACCTGGGCCAGTCTACCCCTCCTCAGTCAACTTGGGCAGTCCTCTGCTCCCAATAAAATTACTTAATTTTTTATTCCTGCTATCACTACCACAATTTACAGGGTAATATGCCTGATGCAATAAAAAGGGGGAAAAATCTACAACAGATAAAAGACCTCAGCAATGTACATCTAATTGACGATAGATTGCATTAATTTTTTTTTTTTTTTTTTAAACAGAGTCTCGTTCTGTCACCCGGGCTGAAGTGCAGTCACACAATCTCAGCTTACCGCAACCTCTGCCTCCTGGGTTCAAGCAATTCTCCTGCCTCAGCCTCCTGAGTAGCTGGGATTACAGGCATGCGCCACCACACCTGTTAATTTTTGAACTCAGCTCTACACGAAGTGGACCTAATAGACATCCACAGGACTCTCCACCCCAAATCAACAGAATACACATTATTCTCAGCACCACATTGCATTTATTCCAAAATTGACCACATAGTTGGAAGGAAAGCATGCTCCTCAGCAAATGTAAAAGAACAGAAATTATAACAAACTGTCTCTCAGACCACAGTGCAATCAAACTAGAACTCGGGATTAAGAAACTCACTCAAAACAGAACAACTACATGGAAACTGAACAACCTGCTCCTGAATGACTGCTGGATAAATAATGAAATGAAGGCAGAAATAAAGATGTTCTTTGAAACCAATGAGAGCAAAGACACAACATACCAGAGTCTCTGGGACACATTTAAAGCAGTGTGTAGAGGGAAATTTATACCACTAAATGCCCAAAAGAGAAAGCAAGAAAGATTTCAAATTGACACACCCTAACATCACCCTAGAGAAGCAAGAGCAAACAAATTTAAAAGCTAGCAGGAGGCAAGAAATAACTAAGATCAGAGCAGAACTGAAGGAGATAGAGACACAAAAAACCCTTCAAAAAAATCCATGAATCCAGGAGCTGGCTTTTTGAAAAGATCAACAAAATTGATAGACCACTAGCAAGATTAATAAAGAAGAAAAGAGAGAAGAATCAGATAGACACAATAAAAAATGATAAAGGGGATATCACCACTGATCCCACAGATATACAAACTACCATCAGAGAATACTATAAACACCTCTACACAAATAAACTAGAAAATCTAGAAGAAATGGATAAATTCCTGGACACATACACCCTCCCAAGACTAAACCAGGAAGAAGTTGAATTGCTGAATAGACCAATAACAGGCTCTGAAATTGAGGCAATAATTAATAGCTTACCAACCAAAAAAAGTCTAGGACCAGATGGATTCACAGCCGAATTCTACCAGAGGTACAAAGAGGAGCTGGTACCATTCCTTCGGAAACTATTCCAATCAATAGAAAAAGAGGGAATCCTCCCTAACTCATTTTATGAGGCCAGCAGCATCCTGATACCAAAGCCTGGCAGAGACACAACCAAAAAAGAGAATTTTAGACCAATATCCCTGATGAACATCGATGCAAAAATCCTCCATAAAATACTGGCAAACTGAATCCAACAGTACATCAAAAAGCTTATCCACCAAAATCAAGTCAGCTTCATCCCTGGGATGCAAGGCTGGTTCAACATATGCAAATCAATAAACGTAATCCATCACATAAACAGAACCAAAGACAAAAACCACATGATTGTCTCAATAGATGCAGAAAAGGCCCTAGACAAAATTCAACAGCCATTCATGCTAAAAACTCTCAATAAACTAGGTATTCATGGAATGTATCTCAAAATAATAAGAGCTATTTATGACAAACCCACAGCCAATATCATACTGAATGGACAAAAACTGGAAGCATTCCCTTTGAAAACTGGCACAAGACAGGGATGCCCTCTCTCACCACTCCTATTCAACATAGTGTTGGAAGTTCTGGCCAGGGCAATCAGGCAGGAGAAAGAAATAAAGGATGTTCAGTTAGGAAAAGAAGAAGTCAAATTGTCCCTGTTTGAAGATGACATGATTGTATATTTAGAAAACCCCATCATCTCAGCCCAAAATCTCCTTAAGTTGATAAGCAACTTCAGCAAAGTCTCAGGATTTTGTGTGATTTGCACAAAATCAATGTGCAAAAATCACAAGCATTCTTATACACCAATAACAGACAGAGAGCCAAATAATGAGTGAACTCCCATTCACAATTGCTTCAAAGAGAATAAAATACCTAGGAATAAAACTTACAAGGGATGTGAAGGACCTCTTCAAGGAGAACTACAAATCACTACTCAATGAAATAAAAGAGGACACAAACAAATGGAAGAACATTCCATACTCATGGATAGGAAGAATCAATATCATGAAAATGGCCATACTGCCCAAACTAATTTATAGATTCAATGCCATCCCCATTAAGCTACCAATGACTTTCTTCACAGAATTGGAAAAAACTACTTTAAAGTTCATATGGAACCAAAAAAGAGCCCGCATTGCCAAGACAATCCTAAGCAAAAAGAACAAAGCTGGAGACATCACGCTACCTGACTTCAAACTATACTACAAGGCTACAGTAACAAAAACAGCATGGTACTGGTACCAAAACAGAGATATAGATCAATGGAACAGAACAGAGGCCTCAGAAATAACACCACACATCTACAACCATCTGATTTTTGACAAACCTGACAAAAACAAGAAATGGGGAAAGGATTCCCTATTTAATAAATGGTGCTGGGAAAACTGGCTAGCTATATGCAGAAAGCTGAAACTGGGTCCCTTCCTTACACCTTATACAAAAATTAATTCAAGATGGATTAAAGACTTAAATGTTAGACCGAAAACCATAAAAACCCTAGAAGAAAACCTAGGCAATACCATTCAGGACATAGGCATGGGCAAAGACTTCATGACTAAAACACCAAAAACAATGGCAACAAAAGCCAAAATTGACAAATGGGATCTAATTAAACTAAAGAGCTTCTGCACAGCAAAAGAAACCACCATCAGAGTGGACAGGCAACCTACAGAATGGGAGAAAATTTTTGCAATCTACCCATCTGACAAAGGGCTAATACCCAGAATCTACAAAGAACTTAAACAAATTTACAAGAAAAAATCAAACAACCCCATCAAAAAGTGGCAAAGGATATGAACAGATACTTCTCAAAAGAAGACATTTATGCAGCCAACAGACACATGAAAAAATGCTCTTCATCATTGGTCATCAGAGAAATGCAAATCAAAACCACAATGAGATACCATCTCATACCAGTTAGAATGGCGATCATTAAAAAGGAAACAACAGGTGCTGGAGAGGATGTGGAGAAATGGGAACACTTTTACACTGTTGGTGGGAGTGTAAACTAGTTCAACCATTGTGGAAGACAATGTGGTGATTCCTCAAGGATCTAGAACTAGAAATACCATTCAACCCAGCGATCCCATTACTGGGTATATACCCAGAGGATTATAAATCATGCTACTGTAAAGACACATGCACACATATGTTTGTTGTGGCACTATTCACAATAGCAAAGACTTGGAACCAACCCAAATGTCCATCAATGATAGACTGGATTAAGAAAATGTGGCACATATACACCATGGAATACTATGCAGCCATAAAAAAGGATGAGTTCATGTCCTTTGCAGGGACATGGATGAAGCTGGAAACCATCATTCTGAGCAAACTATCGCAAGGACAGAAAACCAAACACTGCATGTTCTCACTCATAGGTGGGAACTGAACAATGAGAACACTTGGACACAGGGCAGGGAACATCACACACCAGGGCCTGTTGTGGGGTGGGGGATTGGGGGAGGGATAGCATTAGGAGAAATACCTAATGTAAATGACGAGTTAATGGGTACAGCAAACCAACATGGCACATGTATACATATGTAACGAACCTGCACGTTGTGCACATGTACCCTGGAACTTAAAGTATAATAATAATTAAATAAATAAATAAATAAAAGAATCACATAGTTGGCCGGGGAACAGTGGCTCACGCGGGTAATCCCAGCACTTTGGGAGGCCGAGGTATGGCGGATCACAAGGTCAAGAGATGGAGACCATCCTGGCCAACATGGTGAAACCCCATCTCTACTAAAAATACAAAAATTAGCTGGGCGTGGTGGTATGTGCCTGTAGTCCCAGCTACTTGGGAGGCTGAGGCAGAAGAATCGCCTGAACCCTGAAGGTGGAGACTGCAGTGAGTCGAGATCACGCCACTACACTCCAGCCTGGTGACACAGTGAGACTCCGTCTCAAAAAAAAAAAAAAAAAAAAAAAAAGCCGGGCGCGGTGGCTCACGCCTGTAATCCCAGCACTTTGGGAGGCCGAGGCGGGCGGATCACGAGGTCAGGAGATGGAGACCATCCTGGCTAACACGGTGAAACCCCGTCTCTACTAAAAAGACAAAAAAATTAGCTGGGCGTGGTGGCGGGCGTCTGTAGTCCCAGCTACTCAGAGAGGCTGAGGCAGGAGAATGGCGTGAACCCGGGAGGCGGAGCTTGCAGTGAGCCGAGTTCGCGCCACTACACTCCAGCCTGGGCGACAGAGCGAGACTCCCTCTCAAAAAACAAAAACAAAAACAAAACAAACAAAAAGCAAAAAACAAAACAAAAGAATCACATAGTTATATGTCATCAAAAATAATTTTAATGATCTACTGTCAACCTTAATTAAGATTTCCTTCAGTTTTGTTGAAAACAAAATATTAGAAACCACCTGACTTACAAAAAGGCATTGATACCCAGTTATTAGAGTTACTCAGTTCTCAACGCCATCATCAATATTTCTAATTGCCTCTTTGTTTGGATATTTTTACCCCAGAGCAATGCACCAAAGTAAGCTTGAGATGGATGGAGTGCACATCTTTCTTTGCTTGAAGTAGTAGGTGGGTAGGAAGGTAGGAACAAAGGACCTGCATCTCCCTCAGTCCACTTTGTTAGGCAGATCAATTTAGGACCAGCACATATGGAAGCTCAGGATCCGAAAATTTTTATTTCTTTAAAACTATTTGTCTTAGTCCATTAGGGCTGCTATAACAAAATACTGTAGACTGGGTGGCTTATACATAACAGAAATGTATTTCTCATAGTTCTGAAGTCTTGGAAGTCCAAGATCACAGCCCCAGCAGAATTGGTGTCTGTGAATGCCAGTTTCCTGGTTCATAGATAGCACCTTCTAGCTGTGTCTTCCTGTGGTAGAAGATGTGAACGAGCTTCCTCAGGCATCTTTTATAAGGGCACTAATCCCACTCGAAAGGGCTCTGCCCTCATAACCTAATCGCCTCCCAAAGGGTCCCATCTCTTAATACTATCATCTTGGAAGTTAAGATTTCAATATATCCTTTAAGGGGGCATGAACATTCAGACCATAGTATTATCCTCACCTGCATCCCTCTTGGAAGTCTTCCTGACTCAGAGGAGGGTGTACACATATCCCCGTTAGAAGGCTGTTGTCTCTTTATATTTTATCTGGAGTTGTCAGGACTAGAAATAATAGATGTTGGCCGGGCACGGTGGCACACGCCTGTAATCCCAGAACTTTGGGAGGCCGAGGTGGGTGGATCACCTGAAGTCAAGAGTTCGAGACCAGTCTGGCCAACATGGTGAGATTCTGTCTCTACTAAAAACACAAAAATTAGCCAGGTGTGGTGGCAGACGCCTGTAATCCCAGCTACTTGGGAGGCTGAGGCACAAGAATTGCTTGAACCCGGGAGGAAGAAGTTGCAGTGAGCCAAAATCGCACCATTGCACTCCAGCCTAGGTGACAGAGCGAGACTCCGTCCCCCACCCACCAAAAAAAGAAAAAGAAAAAAAGAGAAATAATAGATGTTTAGTGCATAAAGCACACACATTATAACATCTAGTTATCCTGACTTTTAATTTTCTACTAACCTAGTTACTTAGAGTAGTAAGGAATCGGGAGCTGGGACTAGATCCATCCAGCAGGGATGACCAAGCCTTGTGGATTGACACAAATGCACATTCAGATAGAAGGAACATGGTCTGGCCATCAAAACAGTGTCCCCAAGGACTGAAAAAAAAAGGACTGAGACAAAATAGAATCAGGCAAAAGATCTCAGGACTGAGGCAGACGTCCTACCCACCAGGTAAGAAGATAATAAAGAACAGGACTCAAGAGTGGTGGTAACCAACTATGGAGAGGTCTACCAAAGCGCACAAGGGAAGTTACATAACTTCTGAATCAGAAGAATGCAGTTTGAGCCTCACCTCTGCAACCTACTTATTGACTGCATGAATTGTCGAATTGTCTCCTCAGCTCAGTTTTGTTTGTTTGTTTGTTTGTTTTTGTGAGACGGAGTCTTCCTCTGTCGCCCAGGCAGGAGTACAGGGGTGCGATCTTGGATCACTGCAACCTTCGCCTCCCGGGTTCAGGTGATTCTTCCGCCTCAGCCTCCTGAGTAGCTGGGATTACAGGCGCCCGCCACCACGCCCAGCTAATTTTTGTATTTTTAGAAGAGACGAGGTTTCACCATGTTGGCCAGGCTGGTCTTGAACTCCTGGCCTCAGGTGATCTTCCTGCCTCGGCATCCCAAAGTGCTGGGATTACAGGAGTGAGCCACTGTGCCCGGCCAGCCCAGTTTTCTTGAAGGTCAAATGGTAGTCTTGCATAGTTATAGTTTGGATTAAATACGATGGTGACATAGTGCCTGGCATGTAATAAGTACTCAGTAAGTGGTAGCCACTTAAATAGGAAACTACTGAACTACCCACATCTCCCAAACTTACCTACATCACAGTCCCTCTTATGCCATTCTTCTTCCTCTTGCTGGAAGAGAAGTCCCTGGTGGAAGAGAAGAATGGATCCACCACTGCTTTGAATCCTCACCTCTCAGTTATGTCCTCCTTTGTTTCTTCCACTTCTTCCTCTCTACTGCTTTCCCATTCTGATTACACATGACAGCTTGATTCTCTCACGTCTTGAGCTCTCTTGTCTTCTCTAGCTCTTTCTCCTTCCATTCCAGAAAGAATTTTATTCACCCAGTGTCTCCTCTCCCTTATCTGCCATTCATGCCTTGGCCTTGTGCAATATGACTTCTGTCCTAACCATTCCATTGAAATTATTCTTACCAAGATGACAATTCAGTCACTATTCTTTTAACCATATTTATTGAAGGCCTACTCTGTGTCAGGCTCTGGGAATACAGCCATAAGCAAAACAAATCCCTGCTGTTATGGGCTTTCCATTCTAGTAGGGATTACAAACAATTAACTAATAAATAATTATTGTAATATCAAGTAGAGATAGGTATTGTGATAAGAAGTTCATCTGGATAAGGGGCTGGCAAGAAAATAGAGTGTTATTTTATATAAAATAGTCAAAGAAGGCCTCTTTGCAAAGGTGACATTTAAGCAGAGATCTCACCAAAGTTATGGTGTAAGACATGCAGATATCTAGAGAGTTGGGGTGAAGAGGAGTTTATAAAGGGAGAACAGAAAGCACAAGGATCTTGAGGCAAATAGTCACTTGAGAAGGGAGAATGGCCTTCTGTTTCTTAAATCCAGTAACAAGACCTTTGTCAATATTAACCTTGTTAGACTCTCTGCAACACTTACCGACTCTGAACTTCTCTCCCTCCACCTTGAAAGTCCTTTCTCTATTGGATTCTACCATACTATTCTCTAGTTTTCCTGCTTTTTCTCTGTCCATCCCATCTCACTTTTATTCTTGAGCTTCTCATCCTCAACCCTATTCTTTTTTTTTTTTTTTTTTTTTTTTGAGACAGTCTCCCACTGTCGCCTAGGCTGGAGTCGCAATTCGGCTCACTGCAACCTCCAACCTCCGCCTCCTGGGTTCAAGCGATTCTCCTGCCTCAGCCTCTCGCAGTGGTTTTGGCTTCAACTACCACTCACATGTTGATGAAGCCAAAGTTTATATTTCGAACCCACACTTCTCTTCTGAACTCCACACTCACATATCCAATCATTTTGCACACCTCTTCTTGGATATATCCTGGAAACTTCCAAGTCAATATGTCTAAAGATAAGCTCATCATCTTTCCTCCTAAATCATCTTCTTGTATAATAGTCCATATTTAAATTGGTGGGACCACCTAGCTGCCTAAGCTAGAAACCTAAATGTCCGTAAGATTCTTCCCACTTTCTTTCCCTCCCTGTTGGAAGAGTCACAGGACTAGTTTTTTATCTAGTATCTCAATCTCTGTCCATTGCCACTGCCTCATGCAGATCCTTTCCCACCATTTCTTGCCAGTTTGCCAGCTTCCCAACTGGTTTTCCTGCTTCCGGTCTCTTACCCCTGACCTTACCTTCTGCACTAACTCTAGAATGACTTTTATGAAATGTATATCTGATTGTGTCACTTCTATTTCTTTTCTTTTTTTTTCTTTCTTTTTTTTTTTTACAGATGGGGTCTCACTATGTTGCCCAGGCTGTTCTTGAATTCCTGGGCTCAAGCAATTCACCTGCCTCAGCCTCCCAAAGTGCTGGGATTACAGGCAAGAGCCACTGCAGCTGGCCAGAAATTGAGATAATTTTAAGTATAAAGTGATGGCCAGTTGTGACAGCTCACGCCTGTAATCATGGCAAAACCCTGTCTCTACTAAAAAATTAGGTGGGCATGGTGGCATGTGCTTGTAATACCAGCTAGTCAGGAGACTGAGGTACAAGAATCGCTTGAACCAGGGAGGCAGAGGTTGGGGTGAACGAAGATCGTGGCACTGCACTACAGCCTGGGCGACAGAGTGAGACTCCGTCTCAAAAAAAAATAGTCTCAATTTCCATTAGGATAAAATCCAAACTTCTTAGCAAGGAACATATGGTCTTTTAAGATCTGGCCACTGCTGACTTCTCCAGCCTCATATTTCATTACTCCACACAGGCACCCTATATTTCTGCTACTCCAAATACATTTAAAATTTTTTAAAATTTATTTTTAATTTTTTGTAGGGATGAGGTCTTGCTATGTTGCCCAGGCTGGAGTGCAGTGGCATGATCACTTGACTTGGGGTCAAATGATCCTCCAGCCTTGGCCTCCGAAGGTACTGGGATTACCAGCGTCCAAATTAATTTCAATCAAAACTTTATTATGTCATATCCTTACTGATCTCCATGCCTTTGTATGTGCTGTACCTTCTAAAAATTCAGGGCTAGCAAAATTCTCTTCAATCTTAAAGTCACAGCTTAATCTTTCTAGTCTTGTCTCAGTGCCCATATACCTAGGCCGTGGCTATGTTAGAGGCATCTCCTCTGTGGTCTGTTGCCTTAGGAGTGGTATACGTTCCTGTCATTTCCTTATACATGTTAAGTCTACTTATTTTTCTTCCTCTTTATTTATAATTTTTTTTTCCCCTGAGACGGAGTCTCACTCTATTACCCAGGCTGGAGTGCGATGGTGTGGTCTCGACTCACTGCAACCTTCACCTCCCGGGTTCAAGAGATTCTCCTGTCTCAGCCTCCCAAGTATCTGGGACTACAGGCGTGTGCCACCACACCTGGCTAATTTTTGTATTTTTAGTAGAGATGGGATTTCACTATGTTGGCTAGGATGGTCTTGAACTCGTGACCTCATGATCCGCCCTCTTCGGCCTCCCAAAGTGCTGGGATTACAGGTGTGAGCCACCACATCCAGCTTATTTATAAATTCTTTGAAGCCAGTGTCTGCTTCTTTCCTCCTTGTCCCAGGGCCTAGCTTAGTGTACAGCACATAGGAAGCATTCAATAAATGTTCTTTTGAAGGATGGAAGGAAAGAAATAATCCAACACAACTATGTTAAGGAGGTATGTAGAATCCAGGAATAAGATAAGAGCAGACATAATGGGGAGACAGTCCAGATGACATCTGACCCCTTCCAACCTTCAGCTTTGATGAGTTCCTGGGGCAGGAAAACTCAAAATGAATAATGAAGGGAGACTTTTATTGTGATCTCATCTCTCATTCATCTGACTTCCTCTCTTCTCTGGTCTGCAGAGAAAAATATATTTGTACCCTAAATGTGGGATAAGCTGATGACTTTGCAGATGCCATCATTTAATTATTTGCCTATTAAAACCCAGCAATGTGCAACCCATCCTTTTTGCCTCCTCTTCCTTATTTTCTAGCTTTTCATGAAGGAAAAAATACAGCAACAAAAGACTTACTGGAGGAATATGTGGCTGTTTAATGTGGACTTCTCTTGTATCCTCTAACAACCAAGCAAACTGGTAATTCTTATTCTTTGCTGAATTACAAAGGATATATTATCCCTGCCCATTCTACTGCAGGAGAATAATGGTGTGCGGAAGGAAGAGAAAGGGACATTATAGAAAGGGACATTATTTTTCCAGGCCTCCTTCCCAACAAAGAGGAAAAAGCTGTCGCCAAAGACCTATGTGTTTTGCTAAGGCACTGAATCTTTCCCTCTGGTAAAATCTAAAATCCTCAGGTGAACCCAGTTCTAGTTTTGGAAATCTCATCTACTAAACTAAAAGTATGAGTAAATAACATAGATACATGAATATTTTATGCAATATTATTTCAAGCGGCAAAAGACAACATCGGAAACCACTTGAATATTTATTATAGAGGAATATAAAAATAAAATATGGGATATCCAAACTATAGATATTATGCAATTATTAAAAATAGTAAGGCCCTTGTGAGGTGGCTCACACCTATAATCTCAGTGCTTTGGGAGGGTGATGGGGGAGGACTGCTTGAGGCCTGGAGCTCAAGACCAGCCTTGTAGCTGGGCAATGTAGCAAGACCCTGTCTCTACAGATAATTTAAAAATAAAGTAAAAATTAGCCGGGTGTGATGGTGCACGCCAGTAGTCCTAACCAATCAGGAGGCTGAGGTGGGAGGATCCCTTGAGCCCAGGAGTTGGAGGGTACAGTGAGTTAAGATCACACTACTGCATTCTAGCCAGGGCAACAGAACAATGACCCTATCTCTAACGAAAGAAATAATAATAGCAAGTTAGATCTATGTGTATTAACCTGGAGGAATTTGAATGAAATATAGATTAAAAAAGCAAATTATTTTTAGTCCCATTTGAAAAAGATTATGACAAAAATCTCTAGACATCCGAATGTATACATATGTATGTGTGTGTTTATATATATACACACACAGATATACGTAGGTATGAAAAGATACATATCAAAAGTTCACATTGGTTGCGGGGAGGAGGGAATTGAGCAGAAAGGGATATTGTTGACTGTTTTACACAATAGTATTGTTTAGTTTGTTCCCTCAAGCTGGCATTGCATTTGCACTTTGAAAGGAAAACCCAAATTTAAAAAAATATCCCCCCAACACACACTTTCTGAAGATAAAAGCCCTCAACTAGTGCTTTAAGTCTAAAAATCATTCTAACAAGCAGGATTCCTTTGACTCCTCCTAAAGGATCCCCTGCTTAGCTTGTTATAATAGTACATCTGGAGAAAAATGGGGGGAAAAAGGAAGCAAAAACTCTCTGGCTGGGCTGCAGAAATCTTTTCTGAAACTGACTAGCCTGCTGAGTGATAGCAGTGGGGCCATGGAAGCCCACGCTCTAAAATGGCCCATTGGACCTCTGTGTTCTCAGGAAGGAGAAAAGTAGAAAAAGGCAGCCTGATTGCCTCTTGGCTCTTAGCCAAAGTTGCTGCGAGTGGTGGGAGTGGAATTTTTCCATGGCAGAGGAAGAGGAAAAATCAGATCACATTTCCCACTGCCAGGGCCTATTTATTCAGGAAGATCTTGGGGCCCTTGCTGTTCATAACAGAAGTGTATTTACTGGGTCGTGCCTTAATTTTCACCATTAGAAATCTCTTTTTCTTTTCGTTTCTTTTCTTTTTTTTTTGAGACAGAGTCCTCGCTCTGTTGCCCAGGCTGGAGTATAGTGGTGTGATCTCAGCTCACTGCAACCTCCACTTGCTGGGCTCAAGCAATCCTTCCCACCTCAGCCTCCTGTGTAGCTGGGACTGCAGGTGTGTGCCACCACACTTGGCGAATTTTTTTTTCTTTTTGAGATGGAGCCTAGCTCTGTTGCCCTGGCTGGAGTGCAGTGGCATGATCTTGGCTCACTGCAACCTCCGCCTCCCGGGTTCAAGTGATTCTCCTGCCTCAGCCTCCTGAGTAGCTGGGATTACAGGTGCGCCCCACCACGCCCAGCTAATTTTTGTATTTTTAGTAGAGACGGGGTTTCACCATGTTGGTCAGGCTGGTCTTAAACTCCTGACCTCGTGACCCACCCACCTTGGCCTCCAAAAGTGTTGAGATTACAGGTGTGAGCCACTGCGCCCAGCCTCACTTGGCAAATGTTTAAAATTTTTTGTAGAGACGAAGTTTTACTTTGTTGCCCAGGCTGGTCTTGAACTCCTGGGCTCAAGTGATCCTTTTGTCTCATCCTACCAAAGTGCTGAAATTACAGGCGTTAGTCACCACACCCGGCCCTTTTTTTTTTTTTCTTTTTCCTTCTTTTTTGCCTTCATATTTGGATGTGTTCCTCCCTAAAATGCAAACACCCTAGAGAAGTGCCATGCCATGCATGGCCATTATTAGATTAACTGCAAAAGGAAGTCAGGGCAAAACAAACGTGAAGAACTGTTGGTTTGGCAAGGAAAACCACATTTTCCAGAAGAATCAGACATTACTCTCTTTTATCTTACAAAAACAATGACATCAGCAACTTTTGGGAAGACTTGAGAGCCCACAAGAGGAATCTTCTCCTCTTTACCCCTTCTTCTGCCCTTCCCCAACCAGGGTACTTAGATAGTAGTCATGGATATTCAGAAAGCATTTTTGTAAAAATTTCACTTGGGAGTGAAGAGGTTAAGTACAGAACTACCGAATCATGTAGTTGGAAGAGACTTAATGGCCATCTGCTCCCACCTCTACCTATATACTAATAATACTTGACACCATTTTCTGAAGGCTATGGGCTTTGTCACTGTGTGCCAAAGTCACACAAATAATATTTATAGTGTCCAGGCAATTAATCCCCAGATTCCATGCTTTTTGCCTCAGGTACACTACCTTTCTTTATGACATCACTGAAAAGTTACCAGTCTCTGCTTGGACACTTCCAGTAATGAGGAGCTTACTATTTTTAGAGGCAGCCTTTTCGTTACTTATGAGGAAACTTTTTTTTGACGCTGGCTGTACAGAAAACAGCCAGCATAACCATTCGTCATGTTTAGACCTTTAAGTGCCAAAGATATCTCATCCCTCAGTCACCTCTGTTGTCTGCTCTTAGTTCTTTCAACTGTTCCCTCCTCTGTTTTCACCATCCTGGTCCTACTTCTCAATACACTCTCTAGTTTGTCCAGTAACATCCAAACTTAATTGTCATGTCCAGGACTGAAAATAACAATTACCCAAAAGTAAATTCCACAATGGCAGAGAATGTATCTGTCTTCTTTATCTAGTTCTTAGCAGTTGCCCTGGCATAAAGTAGGCACTCAATATATTTGCTGAATGAATGAATGACGCTTCTAGATGTGGAAGCTTCAGTACAGAATAGAGCAGGACTCTCCCCTCCTCATTCTGGATGCTTCCTGGGTTGATGAAAGTAGTCTAGCTCACTGCTTGCCTAATTGGCAGCCCACCCTCACCCTGGCCAATACTGACAACTTACCCAGTTTGTTGTCACTCAAATTGCTAAGACTTTGTAAAAACTACCAGCACATAGCCAGGCAGGACTTTCCCATCCTATTTGATGGTTGTTGTTGTTGTTGTTATTTTAACTTTGGGCCATACTTCATAGCAGTGTGCTCTAGTGGAAAGAGCATACTCTTTGGCCATTGATATGGTTTGGATGTTTGTCCCCTGAGGTGGGGCCTGGCAGGAGGTGATTGGATCCTGGGGACAGATCCCTCATGAATGATTTAACACCATCCCCTTGGCAATGAGTGAGTTCTCACTCAGTTAGTTCACATGAGATCTTGTTGTTTAAGAGTCTGAGACCTCCCCCACCCCCTTGTTCCTGCTCTCACCATGTGACACACTTGCTCTTCCTTCACCTTCTGCCATGATTGGAAGCTTCCTGAGGCCCTCACCAGGAGCAGATACTGAAGCCATGCTTATACAGCCTGCAGAACCATAAGCCAATTACACCTCTTTTCTTTATAAATCACCCAGCCTCAGGTACGACTTTAGAGCACTGAAAGAATGAACTAACACAGAAAACTGGGAATGAGAAGAGGGGCATTGCCTTAAAGATAACCAAAGATGTGGAAGCAGCTTTGGAATTGCGTAAGGGGCACAGGTTGGAAGAGTTTGGGAGTTCAGAAGAAGACAGGAAGATGAGGGAAAATTTGGAACTTCTTAGAGACTGGTTAAATGGTTGTGTAGCCCTGCTCAGCCTCAGGACACTGCTCCCCACATCCCAGCTGCTCCAACTACAGCCAAGGCTCAAAGGGCCCCAGGTACAGCTTGGGCCGTGGCTCTGGAGGGCACAAGCCATAAGCCTTGGTGGCTTCCATGTGGTGTTAAGCTTGCAGGTGCACAGAATGCAAGAATGAAGGAGGCTTGGCAGCCTCTACCTAGATGTCAGAAGATGTGTGGAAAATCTGGGTGCCCAGGCAGAAGCCTGCTGCAGGGGTGGAGCCCCCACAGAGATACTAGATGATGCCAAGGGGAAATGTGAAGTTGGAGCCCGCACACAGTTCCCACTGGGGCACTGCTCAGTGGAGCTATGGGAAGGGGGCCACTGCCCTCCAGACCCCTGAAGGGTAGAACCACTGACAGCTTGCATCCTGAGCCTGGAAAAGCCACAAGCACTCAATTCCCACCTGTGACAGCAGACAGGTAAGCCATGGAGGTGGGGCTGCCCAAAGCCTTGGGAGCCCACCTCTCACACCAGTGCACCCAGGATGTGGGACATGGAGTCAAGGCTTATGTTGGAGCTTTAAGATTTAATGCCTGCCCTGCTGGATTTCAGACTTGCATGGGGTCTATTACTCCTTTCTTTTGGCCAATTTCTCTTTTTTGGAACAAGAATGTTATCCAACACCTATACTGCCATTGTATCTTGGAAGTAAATTATTTTTTATCCTACACGCTCATTGATGGAAGGAATTCATTTCCAGATGAGACATGGGACTTGGGACTTTTGAGTTAGTGTAGGAATGAGTTCAGACTCTGGGGGATTATTGCAAAGGCATGATTGCATTTTGAAATGTGAGAAGGACATGAGATTTGGGGGCCAAGGGCAGAATGATATGATTTGGATGTTTGTCCCCTCCAAATCTCATGTTGAAATATGATTCTCAATGTTGGAGGTGGGGCCTGTGGGAGGTGATTGGATCATAGGGGCAGATTCCTCATGAATGGTTTAGGCCCATCTCCTAAGTGAATTCTTGGTTAGTTAGTTCACATGAGATCTGGTTGTTTAACGGTCTGGCACCTTCCCCCACCACCACCTCCTTGCTTCTTCTCTCGCCATGTGACATACCTGCTCCCCCTTCACCTTCCACCATGATTGGAAGCATTCTGAGCCCTTCATCAGGAGCAGATGCTGGAGCCATGCTTGCACAGCCTGCAGACCCTGAGCCAATTAAGCCTCTTTTCTTTTCTTTCTTTCCTTCTTTATTTATTTTTTTTTTGTTTCCTTCTGATTCAGTCCTCATAAACTGCTTTTCTTTATAAATTAGTCAGCCTCAGGTATTTCTTTATAGCAACACAAAAGTGGCCTAACACAGCCACATATACACCTGGGTAAGAATCTTGGCTTCACCTTCAATGGCTGCATAACCTTGAATCAATCACTTAGCCTCTCTGAGCCTTCATTTTCAGCATCATAAAATGGGGTACTGGGCCAGGTGCAGTGGCTCACACCTGTAATCCCAGCACTTTGGGAGGCCGAGGCGGGCGGATCACGAGGTCAGGAGATCAAGACCATCCTGGCTAACACTGTGAAACCCCATCTCTACTAAAAATACAAAAAATTAGCCCAGCGTGATGGTGGGCACCTGCAGTCCCAGCTACTTGGGAGGCTGAGGCAGGAGAATCGTTTGAACCCAGGATGCGGAGGTTGCAGGGAGCCGAGACTGCATCACTGCACTCCAGCCTGGGTGACAGAGCAAGACTCCGTCTCAAAAAAAAAAAAAAAGGCTGTCGGGAGTGGGGCGGGTACTATACAAAATGTCTCACAGGGATATTTTGAGGATTAAAAGAGATAATGAATGTAAGGTACCTAACACATAAGAAATGCTGAACAAATTGTTAATTTACCTAAATAAAAAGTTACTATTATCCTAAGTTCTTAGACTACGTGTGCAGCTTAAGCACTGAAGGACACTGTATACAGTCTGACAAGCATAGACAAAAAAGAATGTATGAAACTCCCTGGTGCGTATATGAAGAAAACAAAATCTACAAGAACTAAAACAACTGGAAAAATAGAAGATCAAGGCTACTTTGCAAAAGACCACTCAGTCAGACATCTCTCTGGCATAGTGCCAAGCTCAGAACAAGCAACACACAGCCTGCAGTTATGAAACATTCATGGCACAGAGAGCCATCGGGTAACCCAGGTGCCATCCTATGCCTCAAGGCCAGGCTTCATTGGCGTCAGAAGTCAGGAAAGAATCAAGAGTTTAATCCATTCAATTATTCAATGAACAGCTGGGCTCAGTGGCTCACGCCTGTAATCCCAGCTCTTTGGGAGGCCAAGGAGGGTAGATTGCTTGAGCCCAGGAGTTCAAGACCAGCCTGGGCAACATGGCAAAACCCTGTCTCTACAAAAATTACAAAAAAGCCTGGCATGTTGGCAGGTTCTTGTAGTCCCAGCTACTCAGAGGGCTGAGGTCAAAGGATTGCATGAGCCCAGGAGGTTGAGGCTGCAGTGAGCTGTGATCGCACCACTGTATTCCAGCCTGGATGACAGAGTGAGATGCTGTCTCAAAAAAAAAAAAAAAAAAATGAAAACAAAAAACACCCAAACTTCAATAAGCATATGGAGCACCTAGTATATTCCAGGTACTATGCTTAGCTGCTGCCCATACAGAAAAGAAAAAGACACACAGTCGCTGCCCTCAAGCAGCTCACAGTCTAGTAGGGAAGAAAAGAACACAGATATTCACAAGGCAGTGGTATAACTACACAAATGGTATGTGCAGAGTATAGCAAAGGCACAAAGGACTGGAGAATATATCAAAGAAATGATGCTCTTGTTTCTAAAATCTTACATTTTAGCTTAAAAAGCAAGACTTGAGACTCTGGAGATGGGAATTCTCATCTCTTCTTGCTTCTCTTTGGTTTTACACAAATATTTTAACCTGTTTGAGCATTGGTGTCCCCATTGAACTATATGTTTCTTAAGGTTTGGGCAGCGACTTAAGCTCTCTGTGCCTGAGTTTCCTTCTCTGTATAATGAGGATAGTAGTAAAACCTACCTCACAGGATTAAGTGGCTTCATGTTTGTAAAAGTATTCAGAATAACGCATGAATAATAACAATCTGCCTGCTAAGTAAGATAAATGTAACTATCCTATTGTTTCTGTCACCAGGCTCCCATCATAAAACCTGTGATTTGTTTACCCACATAGGTGATTCTTCCAGTATCCTGCTTTCTTTATTGTTCTCTGCCACACCTGGGAAATGCATGTGCATGGGTCATACTCTAAACCTTGTCATTTTCACCTGTTCTTTTTAGAGACAGTCTGTCACCCAGGCTGGAGTGCAGTAGCACAATCATAGCTCACTTCCGCCTAGAAGTCACCCTCTAGCCTCAGCCTTCTGAGTAGCTGGGACTACAGGCGTGTGCCACCATACACAGCTAACATTTTGACTTTTAACAGAAGGTAATTTATTTTTATGTTTACTTAGGGAGTGCCCACCAATTCCTAGTTTGTACAAAGCTATTTGTGAAATATAGACTTGTAAATATGTCTTCAGTTTTTCTGATAAAGGAACTAAATGAGTCATAAAGTAGTGGGTTGGAATAACATGGCTAATGAGAAACTAAGTGAATCGATTTCATTCCTAAAACAAACATATTTTATTTAGATGTTCCTTAGTTAAAGTAGCAGTCCTTGGATGTTAAACACGTAGTCTCTATTTAACATTAAATAAATGGGTGGAGGTAGGGAAAGCCTTTGCATTGAGCAGCTTAAGAAAGTATCTGTGAGGCTGGGCACAGTGGCTCATGCCTGCAGTCTCAGTTCGGGAGGCTGAGGTGGGAGGATCCCTTAAGCCCAGGAGTTGGAGACCAGCCTGGGCAACATAACGATACTCCATCTCTACAAAAAAATTTTTTAAATGAGCCAGGCATGGTGGTATGCACCTGTAGTCCCAGCTACTCAGGAGGCTGAGGCAGGAGGATTGCTTGAGCCCAGGAGGTCAAGGCTGCAGTGAGCCATGATTGCACCACTGCACCCCAGCCTCAGCAACAGAATGAGACCCTGTCTCTAAATGAATAAATAAATAAATAAATAAATAAGTAAATAAATAAGACTGTATATGTTTCAAGAAGGTTATGATTCTATTATGGCAGGAGAGAAAATCTGTTAAAATGTAAATAAGGCTTTGTCTTCATTTCTAGATTCTCCCATCTTTGTGTCTACCCAGTGAATAAAATATTCCTCTGCACTCTCTTTCTGGCTTCAACAGCCCTTCCATTTACCATCGTGGAATTCTTCTCCAGGGTTTCACCATGGAGTCATCTAGCCATGTTGACAGGGACAGCCCCTCTAACTTCAGCTTGAGTTTTGCTGGAGTCTGGGAGTCTGGGATTGGGCTGCTCCCTGAATCTGTCAGGAGCCCTAGTCTCTTGCCATAGCCACCGTCAGATTCCAGCCTTCCAAAATCCTGATCTACTGACCCAGGCACTGCAACTATACTAGGTCTCCAAGTTTCCATTTATATTTGAATTGCCCACTGGACTAAAAGCTCTTCTCTGAATCTCCATCTACTTATCTGAGTCCTGACACCCTACTTAGTTCTTTTGTTCTTTTTTTGTAAGAAACGGGGTCTCACTCTGCCTCCCAGGCTGGAGTGCAGTAGCATGAGCACCGCTTACTATATCTTTGAACTCCCAGGCTTAAGCAATTCTCCCGCCTTAGCCTCTGGAGTAGCTGAGACTACAGGCACACACCATCATGCCTGGTTAATTTAAAAACAAATTTTCTTTTCTTTTTTTTTTTTTTAGAGATAGGGTTTCCTTATGTTGCCAAGGCTGATCTCGAACTCCTGGCCTCAAGAAATCCTCTCTTCTTAGCCTCCCAAAGTGCTGAGATTATAGGCCTATTGAGCCCAGCTCCTACTTAGTTCTTGCTGGAATCCACCTCTTCCTATTTGTGTGACTTGCAGCAACTAACCTAATCTTTCTGAATCTCCGTTTTCTACTTCTTAGGCTGTTGCAAGGACAAAATGAAGTGCCAAAGACAGACAGACATTGGTATAGATACAGATAAGGATATAGATAGAGGTATGCAGATATTCAAGAAACATTAGTTTTTCATCCCTATATTTACAAATCTCAGCTTCTGGTGCTATGTCCATTACTTCAGGCCTCCTTCACTTGCCATGAAAGCCTGAGTCTGCCATTCCTTCACAGACATTCTATGTGTCCACTGTTCCCATGCCATCCTTTCTCCTTTTCATTCCTAGCCTGCACCGCTGAGGTCCCTGCAGGCACTATGGTTTAGCCAGCACAGCTCACAGCAGACTCATCTGCTTGGATCATCTTTCTTTCTCCCCTTCTTCATCCCTATCTCCATACTTCCCAAGCATCCTTGATACTCAAAGTTTGGTGCAGCAGCAGTATCACCTGGGTGCGTGTTAGAAATGCAGTATGTGATGCCCCACTCCAGACCTGGAATTCTGCATTTTGACAGGGTTAACATTCCTCCTCCAGGAATCTTTCTCTGATGTCCCTGTGGTAAGTTAAGGGCTCCTATGCTATGCGCCATCCCACAGGAATCAGCCTGCCATAGAACCAAGGAAACTCATTCCTGGCCTCGGGACCCACATGTGCAAAAGTCTACAGGCTAAAAATATCCTAGAGCATGTGGTGTATGGATTAATTTATCCCTTCCATTGCAACGATTTTTTTTTTTTTTTTGAGACGGAGTCTCACTCTGTCACTCAGGCTGGAGTGCAGTGGCGTGATCTCAGCTCACTGCAATCTCTGCCTCCCAGGTTCAAATGATTCTCCTGCCTCAGCCTCCCGAGTAGCTGCAATTACAGGCATGCACCAGTTGTGTCTGGCTAATTTTTGTATTTTTAGTAGAGATGGAGTTTCACCATGTTGGCCAGGCTAATCTCGAACTCTTGACCTCAGGCGATCCGCCTGCCTCAGCCTCCCAAAGTGCTGGGGTTACCGGTGTGAGGCACCACACCCAGCCTCCACTGCAATGATTTATGTACATATCTGTCTCCCTTAGTCATCCATGAGTTCCTTAAGAGCAGGAACTGAGTCCTGTTGATCTATTTCTAATAACTGGCATAGTGTCAGGCATAGAAGTACACAGATAGGACAGCAACAAGAAGATAGGTTTGGAGAGGGATTTCTTCTGGGCTTAGTTCATTGTCCATCAAACTGGTATCCTGAGTATCTTGAGCTTTCTTCTAGAGCAGTAGGATAAGACCACTAAGAAAAAAACAAGTTTTTTCAATTAAAGGAAGAAATTACAAATGATGGGTAGGTTTATGGGTGCTCTGTAAGCTATCCTTTTAAAAAATCCCTTAAAAATATATTTCATTGGTAACAGTAAAAAAGGTGAGGAGGAAGAAGTTCAGAGGTGGCTGAATAGTGAAGAGTGAGCATATGTTTTTGGTTTTACTGCCGCTCCAGTTTCAACTCCAAAGGCATGCATGTATTTCCCTGGAGACACATGTGACTTAGTTACAGGCCTTGTGCTACATTTCTTTTGTCTATAGCACAAGGGTGAGTGCCTCTTATGCTCATTTCTGAGAAAGGACCCCAAGTTCAGCTGGTTTGTCCTGGTTACATGAGCTGAAGTTGAGAGAGCCTTAACTCCCACCTCCTTTACAAAAATTCTATTGGGATTATGAAATTTAGAGTCAAACAGAGATTAAAAGTCCTCTAGTCTGCCAGTCTCCAACTTGCACCCCTTGGCTCCATTAGCATTATTGCAAAAAGTCCACAAGTCTATGTAGGCATTTAGCATTGGGTTCAGGCTGAATAAAGGTTATGTCTTGCACAAATAGGTTCTATTTTTCAAGCCACAAGTGGCTTAGAACACTGACTCTAGAGCCATGCAGCCTGAGTGGAATCTCAGCTCCACCAGTACTAGTTGTGTGCCTTTAAGAAAGGCACTTTCTGTGCCTGTTTTCTCATCTGTAAAACAGGGATAACTATACTTATTTCACAGGATTACATGAGCTAATACTTGTATACTTTTTACCATAGCATCTGGACTATAATAGGCACTATATAAATGCTAGCTAAAGAAAACAAATAAAAAGTAAGCCAGGCATGGTGGTGCATACTTGTAGTCCTAGCTACTTGGGAGGCTGAGGTGGGAGAATCACTTGAGTCCAGGAATTTGAGGCCAGCCTGGGTGACACAATGAGACCCCATCTCTAAAATAAATAAATAGAATTCAACTAGATGATCTGAGAGAGAATACGGAGATTCAACAGAGAAGTGATGAGAAGCACTGAAAGCAAGTTAGGAGATGGAAGCAAGACAGTTTGTTTGGCTCGGATCAGCTGGGAGCCAGGAAAAGCCCCTTGATATGGGAAAAGGGTAAGAAAGAGCCCCAAGGCTCCACATTCCCACCACAGCCTTTTATAGTCTTAGCTATAGGGGAACCAACCCACATGGGCCTTGAGACTATCATAGGGAGCTGCCTAAAGACTGCACAGAGGCCGGGCGTGGTGGCTTACACCTGTAATCCTAACACTTTGGGAGGTCAAGGTGGGTGGATCACCTGAGGTCAGGAGTTCAAGAACAGCCTGGCCAACATGGTGAAACCCCGTCTCTACTAAAAATACAAAAATTAGCCAGGCACGGTGGTGGGTGCCTGTAATCCCAGCTACTTGGGAGGCTGAGACAGGAGAATTGCTTGAACCTGGGAGACAGAGGTTGCAGTGAGCTGAGATTATGCCACTGCATTCCATCCTGGACAAAAGAGCAAAACTCTGACTCAAAAAAAAAAAAAAAAGGCACAGAGGCATTGCTCCAGAGAGGGAACACACACAAAGTCCCACAGGCATCCATGTCCTAAGCAGCTGCAGCTTGGTGCTATTCTGAGAACCAAGCTCTCAAAGGTCTGCATCCTGCCCTAGGGTCTGGGCTGTCGCTGTCATCACTGGGCTAAGGTGGGAGAGGGGAGGCTAGGCGGTCCCATGTACCCCAAGGAAAATTCCCATTGCTGCTGTGGCAGAATGCTGTGGGACCAAGGCATGAGCAAATTACACTGCCCACAGTTACCTGCCTTGGCTGCTCCAGCAGAGACAGGCTCCACCTTCAATGGTGGCAGGCCCACAGTGTGGTCACCATTGCCCACATCTGAGCCACGCTGCCCCTTCCTATTGCAGCCAGCACCTGAATGCACTACCAAGGGGGACTGAGGACATGTCTACCAGCCTGGTCTCCTTCCACCAGTACTCAAGTGTGCTATCCAGAGGTTGGGTCAACCCAACCTGCCAATACCACCACAGCTATCACCCAACTGGATGTATCACCAGGGACCAGATATCACAGCTATCACCCAACAGCATGTACCACCACAGCTATTACCCAACTGCATGTATCACCAGAGGGACTAGCCTGCACAACCTGTCACAGCCACTACCAACACCACCATGGACCTCCTGGACTCCAGTGGGTTTGTTCTACCACTGCTACTGCCATGGCCCACATCACACCAGCTGCCAAGGGGCCTGATAACTTGCACATACGCCCAACACACTGTTGCCACAACCAGCATTTAAGCAAGCCATCTAGAAGGCTAAGAATCAGCACTCCAGGACCCACTAACGTTGGTGCCAACATAGGTCCCCTGAGGCCCACAAACAGGCATGCTTGGCCCACCACTACCGCCACTGGGGCTCAAACACTGGCCCGCCCACTTGGCACCCTAGTTCCAGCAAAACCTAACCACAGACTCCAGTAATAACCAAACCTGAAGCCACCAAAAAAGCATGGATGCCACTGATGCCATTTACAGCTGAAGAAACACAGCCAGGCTGGGTGCGGTGGCTCACACCTGTAATCCCAGCACTTTGGGAGGCCAAGGTGGGTGGATCACCTGAGGTCAGGAGTTCGAGACCAGTCCAACCCATACGGTGAAACCTCGTCTCTACTAAAAATACAAAAATTAGCTGGGCATAGTGGCATGCGCCTGTAGTTCCAGCTACTCAGGAGGCTGAGACAGGAGAGTTGCTTGAACCCCTGGGAGGCGGAGGTTGCAGTGAGCCAAGATCGCACCACTGTACTCCAGCCTGGGTGACAGAGTGAGATTCCATCTCAAAAGAAAAAAAAAAAAGAAATCACATAGCCCACATGCTATTGCATGCACCCCAAATCAAGGCCAACCAATGATCCTATCTAACCAACAACATATACACATCTTCAGGGAAAAATCTTCCCCTACAAAGCAATTTCAAAAAATTAGAAGAAGTGACAATTATGCTAGATATGCAGATGTCAATGCAAGGACACAGGAAACATGAAAAAGCAAGAAAATATAACACCACCAAAGGAAAACAATAATTCTCCAGCAGCAGATCCCAATAAAAAAGAAATTCACAAAATACTGATTTTAAAGAACCTTGGTGAGCTACAAGAGGATTCTGAAAAAGAATACAGAGAAATCAGAAAAACAACTCAGGATATGAATGAGAAATTTACCAGAGGTATTTTTTAAAAGAACCAAACAGGCCAGGCATGGTGGCTCATGCCTGCAATCCCAGCGCTTTGGGAGGCTAAGGCGGTTGGATCACAAGGTCAGGAGATTGACACCATACTGGCTAACACGGTGAAACCCCATCTCTACTAAATGTACAAAAAATTAGCCGGGTGTGGTGGCGGGCGCCTATAGTCCCAGCTACATGGAAGGTTGAGGCAGGAGAATGGCATGAACCTGGGAGGCAGAGCTTGCAGTGAGCAGAGATCGCGCCACTGCACTAGAGCCTGGGCGACAGAGTGAGACTTCATCTCAAAAAAAAAAAAAAAAAAAAAAAAAGAGAACCAAACAGAAAGCTTAGAACTGAATAATTCATTTATTTAAGGAAATACAAAATACACTTGAAAGCTTCAACAACAGCTCATACTTGTAATCCTAGCAATTTGGGAGGTCAAGGCAGGTGGATAGCCTGAGCTCAGGAGTTTGAGACCAGCCTGGGCAAAAATGGCAAAACTCCGTCTCTACTAAAAATACAAACAATTAGCTGGGCATGGTGGCACACACCTGTAATCCTAGCTATGCAGGAAGCTGAGGCACAAGAATCGCTTGAACCCAGGAGGTAGAGGTTGCAGTGAGTGCAGATCATGCCACTGCAGCCTGGGTGACAGAGTAAAACTGTTGTGTCTCAAAAAAAAAAAAGAAAAAAAAAGGAAAGATAGCTTCAACAATAGACTAGATCACCGAGGGCGGTGGCTTATGCCTGTAATCCCAGCACTTTGGGAGGCCAAGGCATGTGGATCACGAGGTCAAGAGATTGAGACCATCCTGTCCAACATGGTGAAACCCCATCTCTACTAAAAATACAAACATTAGCTGGGCATGGTGGTGCGTATCTGTAATCCCAGCTACTCGGGAGGCTGAGGTAGGAGAATCACTTGAATCCGGGAGGCGGAGGTTGCAGTGAGCCGAGATCGCACCATTGCATTCCAGCCTGGGCAACAAGAGCGAAACTCCGTCTCAAAAAAAAAAAAAAAAAAAAAAAAAAAAAAGACTAGATCAAACAGAAGAAAGAATTTCAAAACTTCAGGACAAGTCTTTTGAAATAATTCAGTAGGATAAGAATAAGGAAAAAAAGAATGAGGCCAGCCACAGTGGCTCAGGTCAGTAAACCCAACACTTTGGAAGGCCAAGGCAGAAAGGTTGCTTGAGTTCAGGAGTTTTGAGATCGGCCTGAGCAACATAGTAAGATCTCATCTTTAGTACTAATAATTTTTTAAAAAATAGGCTGGCATGGCCAAGTGTAGTGGCTCACTCCTTTAATCCCAGCACTTTGGGAGGCCGAGGTGGGTGGATAACCTGAGGTTGGGAGTTTGAGACCAGCCTGACCAACATGGAGAAACCCTGTCTCTAAAAAAAATACAAAATTTGCCAGGTACAGTGGCGTGCCTGTAATCCCAGCTACTCGGGAGGCTGAGGCAGGGGAATCGCTTGAACCTGAGAGGCGGGGGTTGTGGTGAGCCAAGATTGCGCCATTGCACTCCAGCCTGGGCAACAAGAGCGAAACTCCATCTCAAAAACAAAAATAGGCTGGCATGATGGCACACACCTGTAGTCCTACCTACTCAGGAGGCTGAAGTGGGAGGACTGCTTGAGCCTGGGATGTCAAGGCTGCAGTGAAGTGTGATTGTGCCACTGTCCTGTAGCCTAGACAAGGCAAGAACAAGACCCTATCCTGAAAAAAAAAAAAAAAAAAGAAAAAAGAATAAGCAAAGCATTCACGATATTTGAGAAAACATAAAGCAACTGAATATTCTAATTATTGGTGTCCCTGAAGGCTAAGACAGAGTAAAAAAATTAGAAAACCTATTTAACTAAATAATAAATGAAAACTTCCCAAGTTTAGCGAGAAATTTAGACATCCAGGTAAAAGAGGCTCAGTGATCCCCAGGAAGATATAATGCAAAGATGTATTCTCCATGGCACATTATAGTCAGACTGTCTATAATAAAAGACAAAGAGCAAATATTAAAAACTGAAAGAAAAAAAAAAGCATCTAGTCACCTATAAAGGAAACTACATCGGACTAACAGTGGATTGCTTTCCTTTTTTTTTTTTTTTTTTTGAGACAGGGTGTCACTCTGTTGCCCAGGCTGTAGTGCAGTAGCATGATCACTGCTTACTGCAGCCTTGGCCTGCCAGGCTCAAGCGATCCTCCCAAGTAACTAGAACTACAGGCATGTGCCACCACACCTGGCTAATCTTTTAATTTTTAGTAGAGAAGGTCTCACTATGTTGCCCAGGCTGCTTAACAGTAGGTTTCTGAGCAGAAACCTTATAGGCCAGAAGAGAATGAGATGATATATTCAAAGTGCTGAAAGTAAAAAAAAAGCCTGTCAGCCAAGGATACTATATCCAGAAAAATTATTTTTCATTAATGAAGGAGAAATAAGGTCTTTCTCAGACAAGCAAATGCTGAGGGTTTTGGTTGTTGTCTGTTTGTTTGTTTGTTTGTTTGAGACAGGGTCTCACTCTGTTGCCCAGGTTGGAGTACAGTGGCATGATTATAGCTCACTGTAGCCTCAACCTCCCAGGCTCAAGTGATCCTTCTGCCTCAGCCTCTCAGTAACTGGGACCACAGATACACACCAAGTCCAGTTAATTTTTAAGTGTTTTGTAGAGATGGGGTTTGGCTTTGTTGCCCAGGCTAGTCTCAAACTCCTGGGCTCAAGGAATCCTCCCACCTTGGCCTCTGAAAGTGTTGGGATTACAGGCATGAGCCACTGCACCTGGTCTAAGGATATTCACTGGGCCTGTAAGAAATGCTCAAGGGAGTCCCAGACCTGAAAGTAAAAGGATGATATTTACCATCATGAAAACATACAACAGTATAAAACTCACTGGTAAAGCAATCACACAAAGGAGGAAGAGAAAAAGCTCAAATGGTACCCATACAGATATCCACCAAAGCACTTAAGAAACAGTAAGAGAGAAAGAAAGGAACAAAGAATATATAAAATAGCCAGAAAACAATTAATAATATGACAAGAACAAAGCCTCATATATCAATAATAGCCTTGAACATAAAAAGATGAAATTTTCCACTTAAAAGACATAGAATAGCTAAATGGATTAAAATAATAATAATAAAAAACCATGATTTAACTATATGCTGCTTACAAGAAACTCACTTGGTAATCCCAGCACTTTGGAGGCCATGGTGGGTGCATCACCTGAGGTAAAGAACTCAAGAATAGCCTGGCCAACTTGGCAAAACCCCGCGTCTACTAAAAATACAAAAATTAGCCCAGCATGGTAGCATGCTTCTGCAATCCCATCTACTCAGGAGGCTGAGGCATGAGAATCCTTGAACTCAGGAGGCAGAGGTTGCAGTGAGCCAAGATCACACCACTGCACTCCAGCCTGAATGACAGAGCAAGACTATTAAAAAAAAAAAAAAAAAGAGAAACTCACTTTGTCAGTAAAGGCACATATAGACTGAAAGTAATGAGATGGAAAAAGATATTCCATGCAAATGAAAACCAAAAGTGAGCAGGAATAGCTATACTTATATCAGACAAAACAGACTTTAGGCCAGACATGGTGGCTCACACCTTTAACCCCACCACTTTGGGAAGCCAAGGCGAGAGGATCACTTGAGACCAGGAGTTCAAGACCAACCTAGGCAACACAGTAAGACCTTGTCTCTACAAAAAATTTAAGAATTAGCCAGGCTTGGTGGCACACATCTGTAGTCCCAGCTATTTGGGAGGCTTAGGTGGGAGGATTGTTTGAGCCCTAGAGATGGAGATTGTGCCACAGAACTTTAGCCTGGGTGACAGGGTGAGACCGTGTCTCAAAAAACAAAACACAAAACAAAACAGACTAAGTCAAAAGTAGTTAAAAAAAAAAAAAAAAAGACAAAGAAGGTTATTACATAATGATTAAGGGATCAATCCAGGAAGAGGATATAACAATTATAAATATATATGCTCCCAACTCTGGAGCACCAGAAAGCAAATAATACTAGATCTAAAGAGAGAGATAGACTGCAATACAATAATAGAGAGGAACTTTAAGACCTCACTCTCAGCATTTGACAGATCATCTAGACAGAAAAGGAACAAAGAAACATTGGATATAAACTGGACTTTAGACCAAATGGACCTAACAGAAATTTACAGAACATTCTAACAACTGCATAATATACATTATTATTTTAGTTTAGTTTAATTTTTTGAGACAGAGTCTCACTTTGTCACCCAGGCTGGAGTGCAGTGACACGATCTTGGCTTACTGCAACCTCCAACTCCTGGGTTCAAGCAATTCTCATGCTTTAGCCTCCCAAGTAGCTGGAATTACAGGTGCACACCACCACACCCAGCTAATTTTTGTATTTTTCGTAGAGATGGGGTTTCACTATGTTGGCCATGCTGGTCTCAAACTCCTGACCTCAAGTGATCCACCTGCCCTGGTCTCCCAAAGTGCTGGATTATAGGTGTGAGCCACCATGCCTGGCCAGAATATACATTCTTTTCCTCAATACATGGAAGATTCTCCAGGATAGATCATATGTTAGGCCACAAACAAGTCTCAACCAATTTTCTTTTTTTTTTTTTTTTTTTTTTTTTGAGACCGAGTCTCACTCTTTGCCCAGGCTGGAGTTCAGTGGCAAGATCTTGGCTCACTGCAACCCCACGTCCTGTGTTCAAGTGATTCTCCTGCCTCAGCCTCCTGAGGAGCTAGGACTACAGGTATGTGCCACCACAGCCAGCTAATTTTTGTATTTTTTGTAGAGATGGGGTTTCACTGTGTTGGCCAGGCTGATCTCAAACTCCTGACCTCAGGTGGTCTGCCTACCTCAGCCTCCCAAAGTGCTGGGATTACAGGCGTGAGCCACCATGCCCGACCTCTCAACCAATTTTCTAAAAATCAAAATAATATCAAGTATCCTCTCAGGCCACAATGGAATAAAATAAGAAATCAATACCAAGAGGAACTTTGAAAACTGTACAAACACATGGAGATTAAGCAATAAGCTCCTGAATGATGAGTGGGTCAATGAAGAAATCAGGAAGGAAATAAACAAATTTCTTAAAATAAGTGAAAATGGAGTTACAACATACTCAAACCTGCAGGATACAGCAAAAGCAAAAGCTGCACTAAGAGGGGACTTTTTTTTTTTTTTTTTTTTTTTTTGAGGTAGAGTCTGGCTCTATCACCCAGGCTGAAGTACAATGGTGAGACCTTGGGTCATTGCAACCTCCACCTCCCAGGTTCAAGTGATTCTTCTGCCTCAGCCTCCTGAATAGTTGAGACTACAGGCACACACTACCATGCCTGGCTAATTTTTGTATTTTTAATACAAACCGGGTTTCACCATGTTGGCCAGGCTGGTCTTGAACTCCTGGCCTCAAGTGATCCTCCTGCCTCGGCTTCCCAAAGTGCTGGGATTACAGGCATGAGCTACCACATCTGGCCAAAAAAGTAGAAAAATTACAAATTAACAATCTAACAAGGCATTTCAAGGAATAAGAAAAGCAAGTACAAACCAAACCCGAAATTATCAGAAGAAAAGAAATAAGGTAGTCATGGTGGCATGTGCCTGTAGTCCTAGCTACTCAGGAGGTTGAGGCAGAATGGTCGTTTGATCCCAGGAGGCTGAGGTTGCAGTAATCTGTGATCACACCACTGCACTCCAGCGTGGGTGACAGACCAAGACCCTGTCTCAAAAAAAAAAAAAAAAACCAAGAAGTTGGTTATTTAAAAAGATAAACAAAATTGATAAATCACTAGCCAGAGTAACCAAGAAGAGAAGACCTGAAAAACAAAATCAGAAATGAAAAAGGAGCTATTGCAACTGATACCACAGAAATACAAAAGCTCATCAGAGACTATTGTGAACAAATAGACACTGACAAACTGGAAAACCTAGAGGAAATGGATAAATTCCTGGAAACATACAACCTACCAAGATTTAATCAGGAAGAAATAAAAACCTGAAGAGACTGATAGTGAGTAGAGACATTGAATCTGTAATAAAAAGTCTCCCAACAAAGAAAAGCCCAGGACCGGCCAGGCGTGGTGGCACACGCCTGTAATCCCAGCACTTTGGGAGGCCAAGGCGGGTGGTTCACGAGGTCAGGAGATTGAGACCACCCTGGCTAACACGGTGAAACCCTGTCTCTACTAAAAATACAAAAAAAAAAAAAAACTTAGCTGGACATGGTGGCAGGCACCTGTAGTCCCAGCTACTTGGGAGGCTGAGGCAGGAGAATGGCGTGAACCTGGGAGGCGGAGCTTGCAGTGAGCTGAGATCGTGCCACCGCACTCCAACCTGGGCGACAGAGCAAGACTCCGTCTAAAAAAAAAAAAAAGAAGAAGAAGAAAAAGAAAAGCCCAGGACCAGATGGATTCACAGGTGAATTCTACTGAATGTACAAAGAAGAACTAATAACAATCTTCCTGAAACTATCCCAAAAAAAATTGAGGCGAATACTCCCTAAATCATTCTTCAAGACCAGTATCACCCTGATACCAAAACCAGGCAAGGACATCACAAAACAAAACTACAGGCTAATATCCCTGATGAACGTAGATATAAAAATCTCCAAAAAAAATACTAGGAAACCGAGTCCAACAACACATCACAAAGATAATACAGGAGGCCAAGGCAGGACTGCTTGAGGGCAGGAGTTTGAGATCAGCTTGGGCAACCAAGCAAGTCCCTGTCTCCACAGAAAATACAAAAATTAGGCAGGCATGGTGGTGGGAACCATCTGTAGTCTTAGCTACTCAGGAAGCCGAGGTAGGAGGATTACTTGAGCCCAGGAGGTCATGGCTGCAGTGTACCAAGATCACTCTGCCGCTCCTCAGCCTGGGCAACCGAGCAAGACCCCGTGTTTAAAAAAAAAAATCTATTAATTAATTTAAAAAAATAGTATACAACAATTAGGTGAGATTTATACCAGGGATGCAATAATGGTTCAACATACACAAATCAATAAACATGATACATCACATCAACTGGATGAAAGACAAAGACCATATGATCATCTCAATAGATAGAGAAAAAGCATTTGCTAAAATTCAACATCCCTTCATGATAAAAACTCTCAACAAACTAGATAGAAGGAACATATCTCAAAATAATAAAGGCCATATATGACAAAGCCACAGCTAACATTATACTGAGTGGGGAAAAATTGAAAACCTTTCCTCTAAGAACCAGAACAAGACAAGGATGCCCACTTTTACCACTCTCATTCAATATAGTACTAGAAGTCCCAGCTAGAGCCATCAGGCAAAAGAAAGAAACAAAAGGTGTCCAGATTGGAAAGGGGAATTCAAATGGTCCCTCTTTGCTGATGACATTATCTTATTTGTAGGAAAATCTAAAGATCCCACCAAAAACTCTTAGATTTGATAAATAAATTCAGTAAAGTTGCAGATACAAAGTTGATGTATAAAAAATTACTACCATTTCTATATACCAATAATGATCTAGCCAAAAAAGAAATCAAGAAGGCAATCCCACTTATAGTATAATAGCTACCAAAAAATTAAAATGTCTAGGAATAAATTTAAACAAGGAGGTGAAACATCTACAAGGAAAACTGTAAAACACTGATGAAAGAAAGTAAAAATGACACAAATAAATGGAAACCCATCCCATGCTTATGGATTGGAGCGTTAATCTTGTTATAATATTCATATTGTCCAAAGCAATCTACAGATTCAAATCAATCCCTAGAAAAATACCAACATTATTCTTCACAGAAGTAGAAAAAAAATCCTAAAAATCACATGAAACCCCAAAAGAGCCCAAATAACCAAAGCAATCCTGTGCAAAAAGAACATGACCTGAAATCACATTTTCTGATTTCAAAATATATTACAAGGCTATAGTCGCCAAAACAGCATGGTATGGCTAAATATAGACACATAGACCAATGGGACAGAATACAGAATCTGAAAATGAGGCCACATACTTAACAACCAACTGATCTTCAGCAAAGTTGACACGAACTTACAGTGGGGAAAGGATACCTGCTTCAATAAGTGATGCTGAGATAACTGGATAGCACCATGCAAAAAAAATAAAACTGGACCCTTATCCTTCACCATCTAGAAAAAAATCAAGTCAAAAATGGATTAAAAGGTTAAAATTTTAAGACCTCAAACTATAAAGACACAAGAAAGAAAACCCAGGGAAAACTCTACTACTGCACTTTGGTCTGGGCAAAGAATTTATGATTAATACTTCAAAAGCACAGGCAACAAAAACAAAAATACACCAATGGGACTTAATTAAATAAAAAGTTTTCTGCACAGCAAAATAAATAATCAACAGAGTGAAGAGACATCTTGTTGAATGGAAAAAAATATCTGCAAATTATTCATCTGATAGGGGAGTAATATCCAGAATATATAAGGAATTCAAACAACTCAATAGATACTATTGTGTGGAGTAGGCTCTTCACCTCTTTCCTCACCACATGCTCTTGCTCAGGAACTTATTATGGCTCCCTATTGCTTACTCCACTAAATTCAGTTTCTCCGTCTAACTATTAAGGCCTCAGTAACCTGGCCACATTTGGCCTCTCTAGTTCACACATTCTCAACAGGGGTAATATCACACCCAAGGGGGCAAATGGTTCCCAGGGGTTGGAAAAAAATCTTACTTTTTAATAGATATAGCACACAAACAAATCTATCTATACTACACAACAAAGATACAATGTATCTGTGGTATTAAGATTTCATTAGAGGGAGTGATTAGGAAAAATGTCTAAAAAGGTTTCTGGACAGACGGCAATAATGAAAAAGTTTAAGAAAGACTGATACAACCTTATTTCTCTCAAGAGAAAGAGCACTCACTGCACAAGGGGTCAAGGAAATTATTTTGTCTTTGGTCCTCAGTTTTCCAGAAGTAAAATGAAGGGGAGTTACTTGTGGCCTCTAAGGCTCTTTTCTGCTCTGACAGTTGATCCCCCAAGACTCAGGGGCTCCCCAAGAACACAGGTATGCCTGTGCTCCTTTCATTTGTGAATTTCATTCTCCCTACTGGCCATTATTTCCTCTTGTCCATTTCCCTTCCACACATTCCCAGAACTTCTATTTTTTCCTCCTTTTTTCGGGGCCCCACCTCCTTCACATGAAGCCTCCTCTAATAACCCTCCCATCTGCAATCCACAGAGCTGGGGTTAGGGTATGTGAGCTAGGATTCAAGTGATGGGGGATTCCTCAAAGTCCTAAGAGATGGGGTTCTAGCCAGTGCCTAGCACAGTGCTTGGCATGAAATAGATGCTTAATAAGTATTTGCTGAGTGTAGAAAGTATGAATGAATAAATAAATTATATTTCTGAATCTCCCCCCAGTTTTCCTCTCCAGCGCCTTCCACAATGTTGAAAGCAGCATGTAACTCAGGGAGGCGTCATCCTGGTTTGGGTTTCCCCAGAAGCAAACCATGAGACAAGCAATGGAGTGCAAGTTGTTTATTTGGGAAGTGACCCCAGGAAATGCTGGTAGAACAGTGGAGAAGTAAGGTAGAGAAGGAACAAATACCAGTAAAAATTGTGTTACCAAGCAAGTCATCACTAGAGGCAACCAGAGCTTAATTCTGCTGGAGAACTCCAGGAACCAGCATAGTTACCCCCACAAAAGAGGAAAGAGGAGAAGCCTTCGGGTCAGCTAGGTACTGAATGCACCAGGTCCTGCAGAGCGGAGAGTTAAATCCAAGGTCATGGCAAAACATCTGAAGTTCATCGCCAGGACTGTGATGGTACAGGAAGGGAACATGGAAGGTGCATACAGGACCCTAAGCAGAATCCTCACTACGGATAGGCTGATTGAGGGCATTAAGCCTCAACGGTACTGTGAGAAGCCATGCCACCGGCGACAGAGGGAAAGCTATGAAAGGTGATGGCGGATCTACGGCATGGAAATGGCTCGCAAGATCAACTATTGATGCACAAGAATTGGGCAGATCTGTGCAGGGCTGCTGAGGCCTGTGGATGCAACACCCAGTATGAAACCCTCATCCAGTTTTGTCTCTTTTTTCTTTCTACAATCCCATTTCCTATTACCGTTCTCTACAATAAACTCAATTACATGTCTGCAAGAAGGCCTCCACATGTAGAAACCATCCCATTAGTCAGCAGTGGAGCCTCTCTTTTATTAAGTGAAAGAAGAAACTGAGTCTGAAAGTAGTCTAGGAGTAGAGTGGTGTTTGCCAGGGGCTGGAGGAGGAGGCAATGAGGAGTTATTGTTTCACAGGTACAGAGTTTCAGTTTGAGAAGATGAAAATGTTCAGGAGATGGATGATGGATGGTGGTGGTGGTGGTTACACAAAAAGGTGAATGTACTTAATGCCATTGAATTGTACATTTAAATGGTTAAGATGGTAGATTTTACGTTTTACTACAATAAAAATTTTTTTTGAAAGTCTAAACAAACAAACAAAGAAAAACAAAAAGAAGAGAAAGGAGCTGGGGTACTTATCCACCAAATCCCATTTGGCAATGATTGAGAGCCACTTTCAGGGAGAACTAGCCTCATGGTGCTTCCAGCCTGCAGCAGGTGAAGGCATAGTGATCACTGGCATCCAGAAAACATCCCTAGGCAAAGAGACCCAGGTGCTGGCAATTAGTATTCAGGCTAGAGACCATGGAAGCAGTTAAGGCCAAGGGATAAAGGGGCCCCACCTGCAGCACCTGCTACAGGGCTAAAGGTGAGGAGTGAAGTACTGGTGCAAAGGTAATTTCAGTTTTAGCCATTAAAGTAATTGCAAAAACTGCAATTACTTTTGCACCAACCTAATAGAACTGCTTGAAACCTTTCCTTTTTCCTCTTCCCCAGCTCCTAAACACAGCCCATTCCAAACAGATACAAGTATTATCTTGCATTTGTGAAACACCTGCACTTTAAAAACCTCTCACCTTTATAACCCTGAGGTGATACCCCTGCAATGAGCACCAGTAGTCATCCCTGAATGGGGCTCCTCAGAGTTATGAAATGTCCTTCCTGAGAGACAGGGAGGGCAGAAACAGTCTTGCTATTGTCTCTATTTGGCAAATGAAGAAAATGGCGCACAGAGACAATTAATGCCCTTTTATTAGAAACAGAATAGTGCCAGGCATGGTGGATCATGCCTGTAATCTCAACAGTTTGAGAAGCTGAGTTGGGAGGATCACTTGAGGCCAGGAGTTCAAGACCAGCCTTGGCAACATAGCGAGACCCTGTCTCTACAAAAAATTTTAAAAACTTGGCTGGAGGTACTGGTGCATACCTGTAGTCCCAGCTGCTAGGGAAGCTGAGGTGGGAGGATCACTTGAGCCCAGGGGTTCAAGGCTACAGAGAGCTAGGATCATGCCACTGTACTCCAGCCTGGATGACAGAGTGAAACCCTGTCTCTAAAAGTAAAATAAATACATAGAAACAGAATGAATTAGAAGATAAGCAATTCCACAGAGGCCAGAACTCTTTTCACGGCTCCAGGAGGTGTTACGTCCTGGATAGATGTTGTGGTCTTGTCATGGGTCTCTACTCTTTAGCTCCTTCCTGTCTGGTAGAACCCCCCCAAACTGAGCCACTCCCGTCCCTAGGCGGCCCCTTGTGTGGCTCTGTGAACACAGAGTTAGGACAAAACAGCTGATCTCGGCAAGAGCCCTCTGACACTCCATTCCATTCTGAATTGGGAAGGAAAATCCCTGAACTTTTGATTCAGCCTTGCCACTCACTTCCTGTAAGGCTATGCCCAAGGCATTTGACCTCCTGACCCTCATTTGCCTTATCTATGAAATGGTTAAACGATAAGATAAGGTAGAGAATGTTTTGTCAGATTGTAAAGTGCTATAAAAAATGTAAGATATTATCATTACTGGGGTTAAAAATGTCTCCATTCTCTGAACTCCTAATGTACATGTGTCAAGACCATACAACAGCACTAACATTTTCTCCCACCACTGTATTTCAAACGACTTGCCCTTCCTGCAGGTGCCATGTTTTTTCTTGTTTCCATGTCTAGGCAGGAGCTTTTCTCTCTGTCTCTGCTTGGGTTTTCTCCAAGTTACCTCCTGCTCATCTTTCAGGACTCTACTCGAGTGACACTTCCAGGAATTCTTTCCTGGTTGCCTTCCTCTGCAGTCTAAGTAGAATGTCCCACCTCTGTGTACCCATGATTCCCTGGGATCCCCTCTATTGCTTGTTGCTTTCCTTGTTTCCCCCATCAAAACCATAAACCCCTGCTAAGCAGGGGACCCTGCTTTTCTTTTATTTATTTATTTCCTTTCTTTCTTTCTTTCTTTATTATTATTACTTTTTTTGAGATAGGGTCTCCCTTTTCTGCCCAGGCTGGAGTGCAGTGGTGGAATCTCTGCTCACTGCAACCTCTGCCTCCAGAGTTCAAGCGAGTCTCCTGCCTCGGTCTCCCGAATAGCTGGGATTACAGGCACACACCACCATGCCCAGCTAATTTTTGTATTTTTAGTAGAGATGGGTTTTCATCCTGTTGCCCAGGTTGGCCTTGAACTCCTGGGCTCAAGTGATCCTCCTGCCTCAGCCTCCCAAAGGGCTGAGATTACAGGCATGAGCTACTGTGCCCAGCAGCAAGGGGAAGTTGCCTTTTTTTTTTTTTTTTTTTTTTTTTGAGAGGGAGTTTTGCTCTTGTTGCCCAGGCTGGAGTGTAGTGGTACGATCTCGGCTCACTGCAACCTCCGCCTCCTGAGTTTAAGCGATTCTCCTGCCTCAGCCTCCCAAGTAGCTGGGATTACAGGCACCCACCACCACGCCTGGCTAATTTTTTGTATTTTTAGTAGAGACGGGGTTTCACCATGTTGGCCAGGCTTGTCTCAAACTCCTCACCTCAGGGGATCCACTCACCTTGGCCTCCCAAAGTGCTGGGATTACAGGCGTGAGCCACCATGCCCAGGGACCTTGCTTTTATATCCTCATACACAGCACTGTGTTAACATATAGACAGTGCTTGATAAGGGCTTGTTGAGGATGAATGAATAAAAAACAGATATGAGTTGTATGTTTCCTCAACCCAGGTATAAGTTACTTGAGGAAAATGAAAGAACACTAGACTTGAAATTAGGGGACCTGGATTGTTCTTCTCTGCTTCATGTTAGTATTGGAGGAGAGCCTTTTGGCAGCAGCATCAGAAGATGCCCCTTAATCTGGGTCTAACATGATTTGGGGCATTTATTTTCACCATTCCCAGAGCACTTGTCCCAAAGTTTGAGTCAAATTCCAGACTACAGAGTTCTACAATTTCAACTTGAGAAAATGTCATTTGCTCCTGAAAAATTGCAGATTTATTGCCTCCCTTTGCCTGTTACATTCTCTGCCACTGAGAAACTATATTTCCCTGCTGGATGAGTGCTTCTTCCGCAGCCACTTAGTAATCACTGGAAAACCTATTGTTTTTACTATTGTGTCTTGATTAGACATTAGTGTTTATTCAGCCTAAAATGTTCCAGGTACTGCACATGAATTACAGCATTTTGGAATTAGAAGGAGCCTTAGAAATTGTGGGGTTTAGAGCTTGATACATGAGTTTGAATCCTGGCTTCTCAGACAAACCTTAGTTTTTTCATCTGTCAAATGGGGATAGTAATAGTTCAGTTTTTCTGAGTACTAAATAGTATAAACACCCTCTAATTAGGAACATCTTCAGTATATAGTGCCTTGGATACAAGAAGATTGAATAATTGTTTGTTTTCTTCCTCACTTCATTTTACCAATCAGTAGCTTAAGGCCCAGAGTAGTAAAAAGATCTAAACAATATCAAATCGCTAGTCTGGAAAACACCCAGAGTTTGAACCTGGTATCTTAATGTCAAGCCCCAAACTATTTCTTTTTCCCATATGATAAATTTATAAAATCTCTTAACTATCTACCTAAGAAGTAACTTTTCCTAGGCTACAAGCAGATATCTCAGTTGGCAAGCCAAGTAAAGAACAGCAAGTTAATTTTTTTTAATTTTTATTTATTTATTTTTTAGGCAGGGCCTTGCTCTGTTGTCCAGTCTGGAGTGCAGTGGCAGCTTCTTAGCTCACTGCAGCCTCGAACTCCTTGCTTCAAGCAATCCTCCTGCTTTGGCCTCCAACAGTATTGAGGTTACAGGCATAAGCCACTAGGCCTGGCCAAGAACAGCAAATATCTGAAAAAGAAACACACAGCTCTCTCTAAGAGACTGGTGTCCAAAACTTAGGGATCTCCTGTACAAGCAAAGTCAGCTTCCCTCAAATACTTTGTCACCAAGGCTAGTCTAGTCCATGATGAAAGTTTAAATTCAGGCCAATGGGTAATTTGTGCAAAATGCATTTATTTCCCCAGGGTAAACTCACTTATGCACCCCTGCTCTCAGCATACCCTCTAGATGTTTCAGGGCCTTTGGTCAAGGGATTGGTGACTCCACTTGATGGCAGCAGCCTCCTTGTTAGGTTTCCTACCCTCAGTCTCAGTATTAGTTGGTTTTCACACTGCTGATAAAGACATACCCAAGACTGGGAAATTTACAAAAGAAAGACATTTAACTGGACTTACAGTTCCATGTGGCTGGGGAAACCTCACAGTCATAGTGGAAGGCAAGGAGGAGCAAGTCATGTCTTACATGGATGGCAGGAGGCAAAGAGGGAGAGAGCTTGTGCAGGGGAACTCCTATTTTTAAAACCACCAGATCTCATGAGACTTATTCATTATCACAAGAACAGCACAGGAAAGACTTGCCCTCATGATTCAATTACCTCCCACCAGATCCCTCCCACAACACATGTGAATTCAAGATGAGATTTGGGTGGAGACACAGCCAAACCATATCACCACCTTTCCAACTCATTCTCCTGGTTGACATCAGAATTCTCTTTCTAGAACATAGATATGGTCCTGTCACTCCTCTGATCAAAAACTATCTCAATGGTTCCTGATTTCTATAAGATGAGGTACAGACTTTTTAACACAGGGAAAACATGAGTGCATTTTAAAATGTATGTACATATGCATTTTACTGGCAGGATCATATATCTATTAGTTTGCAAGGGCTGCCATAACAAAGTACCACTGACTAGTTGGCTTAAACTAAATTTATATTCTCACAGTTCTGGAGGCTAGAAGCCCAACATCAAAGTGTCAGCAGGATTGGTTTCTTTTGAAGACATTTCGTCTTGGCTTACAGATGGCCATATTCTCCCTGTGTCCTCACATGGTCCTTCTTCTGTGCACACACACCACTGGTGTCTCTATGTGTGTATAAATTTCCTTTTATAAAGTCAGATTGGATTAGAGCTGACCCTAATGCTCTCATTTAACTTAATCACCTTTTTAAAGACCCTATCTCCAAATACAGTCACATTCTGCAGTACTGGGGATTAGGACTTCAACATATGAATTTTGGGGGGGATGCAATATGTGTGCATTAAGTACATTTTAAAACTATGAGCCTAGAGTTTATCAAAGAGTTATTAAAAATTAAATTACTTGGCTAATTGTTATATTTCAGATGTAAATTCTCTTAGAAGGAAAGTCCAATAATTTGGTGTTACTAAATGTTTAACTGGCTTGAGGTGGACATTCAGAACTGCTATAGTGGAACTCTCAGAATTAGTGATGCTGCTGGGTCTCAAACATCACTTCAGGGGCCTTCTCAACCAGACTGTGGCCTGATTGGAAGCAGAGATTCCATCTCATTAAATGTTAGAGCCAGGCATGGTGGCTCATGCCTGTAATCTCAGCACTTTGGGAGGCTAAGGTGAGTGGATCACTTGCGGTCAGGAGTTCGAGACCAGCCTGGCTAACATAGTGAAACTCCATCTCTACTAAAAATACAAAAGTTAGCTGGGTATGGTGGCGGGCGCCTATAATCCCAACTACTTAGGAGGCTGAAGTAGGAGAATCACTTGAACCTGGGAGGTGGATGTTGCAGTGAGCTGAGATCGTGCCACTGCACTCCAGCCTCGGCGACAGAGTGAGACTCCATCTCAAAAAAAAAAAAACAAAACAAACAAACAAAAAAAAACACCCCTAGCCTAATACCTGAAAGGCATTCATACAGTGAAATCCATCACCCCAAAGCCCTGCCCCTTCCATACCTGCTTTTTGGTTTCACTGAGCCTCATTCTCATCCCCAAGCCTATCTCTCACTCTCTTGTGTCTTAGCTTTTCTGTCATCCTTGAATGCCCTTTTCCCTTGAATGCCAACTTATTCATCATGTTCTGACTTATATGTTACAGTGTTTACTCCCTCCTATCTCTCATAGTATCATATACATCTTGCTATTTAGCAAATAGCATGATGTATTTTATTTTGTTTTTTAATTTTTAAAAAATTTTTGAGACAGGGTCTCACTCTGTCACCCAGGCTGGAGTACAGTGGCACAATCACAAATCACTACAGCCTCAACCTCCTGGGCTCAAGCAATCTTCCCAACTCATCCTCTCAAGTAGCTTGGACCATAGGTACGGCTCACCACATCTGGCTAATTTTGTAATTTTTTTGTAGAGATGGGGTCTCACTATGTTGCCCAGGCTGGTCTCAAACTCCTGGGATCAAATGATTCTCCCGCCAAAGTGCTGGGATTACAGATGTGAGCCACCACATCCAAAGCATGATGTATTTTAATCTTTTTAAATTAATTTTTAAAATAGAGACAAGATTTCACCATGTTTCCCAGACTGGTCTCGAACTCCTGAACTTGAGTGATCCACCCGTCTTGGCCTCCTAAAGTGCTAGGATTACAGGCATGCACCACCACACCTGGCCACAGCATGATGTATTTTAAAGGTCAGTTTGCCTGTCTCTCTCACTAGACTTTAAACTTCTTGAGGGCAAGAAAAAATATTCTATTACACAATAAGGACTTAGTATTAACTAGAGGAGTCTGTCTGCAATTCTGCATGGTGGCTTGGGTGGTGGTCATACACATGGATGGGCACAGGGAGTGGATTTGCCTTAGCCCCATGTTTTCCCACACCCAAGAACATCTACCTGCTCTGCCTGACTCCAGGCCAAAAAGAGGACAGAGGTCGTTTCATTATGAGGCCCCAGAATGCTCAGATCAACCCTCAAAGAGCGCCCCATCAAAAAAGAACTCTGGAAGTTAATTACTCTATATCCCCCATCCACTCTTCTTCCTCTTAGTACTCTGCCATCTGACCCTAGCACTGCCAGCTTCTCAGTCCAGGCAGGCTGCAAGAATGACCTGTCTTTGGAAAATGTATATGACATTAGATCAGTGGAGGGAGGAGGGGGTGGTATATTTTGTTATGAATGTGACTGGAAAACAAAATTGGGAATAATTATTTCTGGGATGTGATATTATGAGTGACTTATTTTATTCTGCAGAATAAGTTGTACTGTCTAAATTTTCTATGAAGAGAATGTTTGACTTGTATAATTGAAAATAAAGGCCAGGGCATGGGGGCTCACGCCTGTAATCCCAGCACTTTGGGAGGCAGAGGCGGGCAAATCACTTGAGGTCAGGTTCAAGACCAGCCTGATCAACATGTCAAAACCCCATCTCTACGAAAAAATGCAAAAATTAGCCGGGCGTGGTGGTGTGCACCTGTAGTCTCAGCTACTTGTGAGGCTGAGGCACGAGAATTGCTTGAACCCTGGAGGCATAGGTTGCAGTGAGCTGAGTTTGCAACACTGCGCTCCAGCCTGGGCAACAGAGTGAGACTCTGTCTCAAAAAAAGAAAGGAAAGCCAGGCATTGTGGATCACGCCTGTATTCTCAGCATTTTGGGAGGTTGAGGCGGGTAGATCACTTGAGCCCACGAATTCAAGAACAGCCTGTGCAACATGGCAACATCCTATCTCTACGAAATATACAAAAATTAGCTGGGTGTGATGGTGCGTGCCTGTAGTCCTAAATACTTGGGAGGCTGAGGTGCGAGGATCACCCAGGGAGCCATAATTGCCCCACTGCACTCCAGTCTGGGTGACAGAGGCCCTGTCTCAAAGAAAAAAAAGAAAGAAAGAAAAAAAAGAAATGTGGGGCCTGGATATTATGAGATTACTGAACCAACCAGGAAAAACCTGAGCAGCTGGCTGGGTAAGACTTGGGAGGGGAGTCAGTTGGTGCCATCCCTCCCCTGGCTGTGGTTTAGCACTTCCTATTAGTGACCGTCCTCTCTACTTTAAATATTCATGAAAATGATTCTGGGAACTGTGGCTGGCTGGATTTCCTTTCTTTTTCCTTTTCTCCTTTCCTTTCTTCTTTCTTTCTTTTTTTTTTTTTTTTTTTTTTTTTTTTTTGACATGAGGTCTTGTTCTGTCATCCAGGCTGGAGTACAGTGTGATCATGGCTCACCGCAGCCTTGACCACCCAGGCTAAAGCAATCTACCCACCTCAGCCTTCCAAGTAGCTGGGGACACAGGTGTGTATCACCACGTCTGGCTAATTTTAAAAATTATTTGTAGAGGTCTCGCTATGTTGCAAAGACTGGTCTTGAACTCCTGGGCTCAAGCAATCCTTCTGCCTCGGCCTCCCAAAGTGCTGGGATTACAGGCTTGAGCCACTACATCTGGCCCTGGCTGGGTTTCAACAGTAGCAATACACAGAATCCTCCAATTGGCTGATTCTCTTATTGTCAACCAAGTTTTCAGACCCTGGGGACTCTCAGCGTAATACAGCTCTCTGTCTTTTGTCCACCTAAGACTTTCTGTTCATGCTTCCTCAGAGAAGAGGTGGGCAGATGTTTTTGGAAGTGGCAGTTAGAGTCAATCACCTCATATCTGAATTTGTGTTATGAGGGAGGTTCATTATCTTGGGACTTGTGGCAACCACAGAGGTGCATCACTCAGATCTTCCTTTAAGAAAGAAGTTGCTGCTCAGCTGCAAGCAGTGCAGTTAGCCGATAGCCTCCATTTGTTAGCTATTGAGCTGAGGTCATGCTCTTCTTGGGCATCCCCCAGCCAATGACTAAGCATGGTAGGGATACTAGGGCCTGGCCGTTTTTGCCTAATGTGGGGCTTTTCTAATGAGTAATCTTTGTTCCAGAACTTTCCAGAGGGTCATCAAGACATTCTCAGATCCACATCATGGTCTGAGACTTTTCCTACACAATCCTGCTTCTTCCCCACTTTTATCTTTTATAGGCATAATTATCCCCAACAACCTCTTGCAATCCTAACTCCAGCTCAGTGGATCCTAGTGACAGAATTTTGCACCTGCATGCGTGTGTGTGTGTGTGTGTGTGAGAGAGAGAGTGTTTGGTAAAGACTCATGAATATGATTAACACCTAAGCCATCCACGCAGCACTAAAGGACCTACTAATTTAGCTAACATGTACAAAAACCTACTCTTACAGGAACTTTGTTCCTATTCTCAAAAAAGCCAAGTCTAATGAAGGAGACAGAGAAGAAAATGGATCAGCCAAATATATCGTGATATCTTAGTGTATACATGCATGCTTCTAATTCTTTAAGTAAATGGAAACCTCTATGAGTTCTCAATGTTCTCATCCTACTGTTTTCTTTAGCGGGTTGAAAATTCCTCCTGCAATCTTGTTCATTATTTTGCTTTGCAAAGTATTTTGCTACTCACACAACAAAGTTACGCTCGAATGCACATCCAGTTGGGAAATTCTAACAAATTCTGAATCGGAATTGAACAAATTCTAAATTGAAATAATGAGTCCCTGAATAACAGAGTTGATTATATTGTCCTCAGTATTTCAGTTTCTGGTGCTTTTGTTATTTTTGGCCCTGAAATGACTGATGATCAGCAGATCTGATAATGACAGTGATGACTGAAGTCCAGAAATAATAAGGCATAAGCCATAGTTACATTAAAGCCAATAATAATAATAAGCCTCATACCTTAAATCCTTAGTTCACTAATTGTACCTGTAACCTAAGAAACCACAGCAAGCAACTGTTGAGAGGAAATCCAAGAACACAACAGAGGAGCCAATATTCTGTAGCATCACAGTTGGATTTTCTCTGTTCTAAGAAACTCTAAAAGGATTTGTTGCCACCTTTCGGGAGTTCACTGCAAGGTAGAAGTTGAGGCATATGTTAATTTTTTGAATCACTTATAAAAGGGCATGAATGGTATCTTTGACATAGAAGTACCCAAATCTACCAGGCTTTCAGCATCTTTTCCTTTAATATATATTTTGTAATGGACCATCAATGACAATGAAAAAGGAAGGAAACATTTATTGAACACCTACCATGTGCCAGGTACTATGTTCTGTACTTTATCATTTAATCTTTTGTAATTATTATCTGCATTTTGGGGAAAAAAAGAAATAAAATTGATAGGTAATGTGGCCCAATTCTTTTTTTTTTTTTTTTTGAGACGGAGTCTCGCTCTGTTGCCCAGGCTGGAGTGCAGTGGCCGGATCTCCGCTCACTGCAAGCTCCGCCTCCTGGGTTCACGCCATTCTCCCGCCTCAGCCTCCCGAGTGGCTGGGACTACAGGCGCCCGCCACCACGCCCGGCTAATTTTTTGTATTTTCAGTAGAGACGGGGTTTCACCGTGTTAGCCAGGATGGTGTCGATCTCCTGACCTCGTGATCCGCCCGCCTCGGCCTCCCAAAGTGCTGGGATTACAGGCGTGAGCCACTGCGCCCAGCCGATGTGCCCCAATTCTTTTTAATAGTGCAAGGATAGAAAATAAAATCCAAGTGGTTTTGACTTGCAACATTTTGTTGCACACACAGATACTTTTAGAAAATTTGACATATAGTACTTTGAAAAAAACTACACCAAAAAATCAAGTCTTAATTCTTAGTTGCTATGAGGCATTAACTTCTGAATTGTTTGTTTTGTGGAAATCCTACCTTTAAGATTTGGGATGTCTTTTCCTACACAAAGGGAGTGTTGTGATTTGGTAAGCAGCATCTGCTTCAACCACCGTGAGTCCTAGATTCTGTATCACAATTGATCATTGAGGGGCAGACTATTTTCTCATAGAAACGGCTTTGTCATTGGTGGTTGCATTCCTGAGCTACATTCTCAGCACCAAATAAATCAAAGGAAGAAGCACTGATAAAAACAAACATATACCTTCATAATAATTTCGAATAATCACTGCCTCACAGCCTATAAAATGAACACAATTTTTCAAGGGCTGGTCCCCAGAGTACTCTTATAAACACTACATGTAGCATATACAACACACAAGTCTAGAGTCTCATAAAATGAGCCCAAAATTAACATTCTAGCCATTATATACACACATATATGTGGGTATATATATATAAATTAAACATTTAAATAAGAATTTTGCTTGCATTTTAGAATTTTAGAAGAATTTTAAAAGAGAACTTAGCCGGGTGCGGTGGCTCACATCTATAGTCCAGCACTTTGGGAGGCCATGATCTGTGGGCAGATCACAAGGTCAGGAGTTCGAGACCAGCCTGGCCAACATAGTGAAACCCCACCTTTATTAAAAATGCAAAAATTAGCTGGGTGTGGTGGAGGGTGCCTGTAATCCCAGCTGCTTAGGAGGCTGAGGCAGGAGAATTGCTTGAGCCTGGGAGGCAGAGGTTGCAGTGAGCCAAGATTGCGCCATTGCACTCCAGCCTGGGCGATAGAGCAAGAATCTGTCTCAAAAAAATAAATAAAAATAAATAAATAAAAGATGACTTAAATTAACCATAATGCTCTAAACTGGCTACTAAGTTATCAAGTAGGTTGATCAGGGAAGTGCTATAAATGTAATGTGTCCAAATATCCTCAAGCTTTTGGAAATAATTTGACAGGAGGATTGCAGTGGAGGGGAGATAAAAATGTGTACAAGTTGAATGTCAGTAACTATCATTGCAACAAATACTGATTGAGTGTCGTGCATGGTGTTACTCTATCTGCATTATTTCATTTAATTCTCACAAAAACCTTATGAATAAGACACTGTTTTTACAATTATTTTAAGATGAAGAAACTGACAAGAGTTAAATAACTTGTCTAAGGATGCACACAGGTAGGAAATGAAAAGGCAAGGATAAAGGCCAAAGCTATTGACTGTAGAGTCTTTTCTTTCTTCCCCAAACAATAATGACTCATTTTCTTTCTTTTTTTGTTTTTCTTTCTTTCTTTCTTTCTTTCTTTTTTTTAGAGATGAAGTCTCCCTATGTTGCCCAGGCTGGTCTTGAACTCCTGCGCTCAAGCGATCCTCCCACCTCGACCTTCCAAAGTGCTGGGATTACAGCCATGAACCACGATGCCCAACATGACTCACTTTCTTGTGCACTTCTCTGTGGTAGGTACTACTGTGACTTCATTACATATGTTTAGTCATCTAATCCTTGCAACAGTCTTGTGAGGAGAGTACTATTATTATCCTCATTTTACAGTTGAAGAAAGGAAGCATAGGTAAGTTCACGTGTAATTAGCAGAGCAGTCATTCCTAAAGAGTACTAATTGCTGATCAAAGGCAACCAGAGAGAAGGTCTCTAATGCCATGCCACAGTGGTCTGTCTCTGCTATAAGATTTTTGTTCACAATTTACTTGGCTAAAGACTATGATCTACTGCCCAAATATGAGAAAGCATGAATTTTGTTGGGATAACTAATATGCTGAATGGCAGAATCAGGATCCAAAAATATCCCAGTGGTCAAGATGTAACTATGAGAGAACTGTCTGAGATTTGAGCAAAGACAAAATTACTACAGACAGAAAACTTATCAAAAACTTATCTAAGAGTATAGCCATCTGTAGGATGGTTGGTCAATAACTGAAGCAAAGATACACACAAGTCACAGGGGCAAAGGGGAAAAGAATCCTGAGTGCATGAATGCATGGTTCTTGTGACATGTTTATCTTTGTGCTAGAGATGGACATAGCACACTACCATAGTAGAAGATCAACACTGCTGTTGGTGGAACATTCCATCTTTAGGAGAAATTTAAGGACACCTGACTCTATCCTTAGAAGGGAAGCATTTGGATATTTTTGGGCTATGGTCTTGGGTGCTAGAGGGAGTGAGAGGTTTAACTGAAATGTAGTGAGCAAAGAGTTTAAAAGCTATTGTGATTCTCAAGCAACATTATCTTGTATGTAAGAAACTGCAAAGAATCTACAAAAACGTATCATAACTAGTAAGTCCGTTTAATGAGCATCAAAAGAATAAGATACTTAGGACTAAATTAGACGAGAGAAAGGCAAACTTGTACAAAACACTGCTAAGATAAATTTAAAAGGACTTATATAAAATGGGAGAGATATGATGTCATGGGTTGGAAGATTCAATATTGTTAAGATGACAATTTCCCAATATTGATGTATAAATTCAGTGTAGGCTGAATGCGGTGCCTCAAGCCTGTAATCCCAACACTTTGGGAGGCCAAGGCTGGAGGTTGCTTGAGGCCATCCTGGGCAACATAGCAAGATCCCGTCTCTGCCAAAAAAAAAAAAATTAGCTGGGTATAGTGGCATGTGCCTATAGTCCTAGCTACTACAGAGGCTGAGGCGGGAGGATCCCTTGAGCCCAGGAGTTTGAGGTAGCAGTGAGATATTATATGATCATGCCACTGCACTTCAGCCTAGGTGACAGAGCAAGACTCTCTCTCTAAAAAAATAAATAAATAAAACTAAATAAAATAAATTCAATGTAATATCTGTCAAAATCCTAGTAGGCTATTTTTGTTGTTGTTGAGACAGAGTCTTGCTCTCTGCAGTGGTGCAATCATGGCTCACTTCAGCCTCAACTTCGTGGGCTCAAGCAATCCTCCCGCCTCAGCCCCCCAACTACCTGATATTACAGTTGTGCACCACCATGACTGGCTAATTAAAAAACATTTTTTTTTAGAGAAGAGGTCTCACTATATTGTCCAGGCTGGTCTCAAACTCCTGGGCTCAAGCAATCCTCCCACCTCAGCACCCCCACTACCTGAGACTACAGGTGTGCACCACCATGACCGGCTAATTAAAAAAATTTTTTTTTGAGAAGGGATCTCACCATATTGCCCAGGCCAGTCTCAAACTACCAGGCTCAAGCAATCCTCCCACCTCAGCGCCCCCAAGCAGCTGAGACTACAGGTGTGCACCACCATGTCTGGCTAATTAAAAAAAAAATTTTTTTTAGAGAAGGGGTCTCACTATATTGCCCAGGCTGGTCTTGAACTACTGGGCTCAAGCAATCCTCCTGCCTTGGCCTCCCAAAGAGCTGAGATTACAGGCATGAGCCACCATGTCCAGCCTTTTTTTCTTTAAATTGACAAGCTATTCCTAAATTTTATATGGAAGTGGCTGCCTAAGGATTGATCACCATCATGAATGACACAATAACTACTTGAATCAGGAAGTTTATGACCAGCCAACTCCTTGAGATGAACAAATCGTCATTGATGTCCTTCACCCTGGAAAGTTATCAGTACCCAACACACAAATTTGGGAGATGAACAAATGTTCATTGATGTCCTTCACCCTGGAAAGTTATCAGTACCCAACACAGAAATTTGGGAAAAACTATCCAAAATGTACAAGGCTACACTGGATGTCAGTTACTTGGGAGGCTGAGGCATGGGAATCACTTGAACCCAGGAGGTGGAGGTTGCAGTGAGCCAAGATCACACCACTGCACTCCAGCCTGGGCGACAGAGTGAGACTCTGTCTCAAAATTAAAAAGATGCTGAACATCATAAGTCATCAGAAAAATGCAAATTAAAACCAAAATGAGATACCACTATACACTTACTAGAATGGCTAAGACAAAAAAGATTGACCAAGTGAACAAGTGTTGACCAGCATATGGAGAAACTCACATATTGCTGGTGGGAATGTATTTGGATTCAGAACTCATTCTGGTGGTGGCAAGACAACCGGCTTTGATGTGATTTATGATTCCTTGGATTATGCAAAGAAAAACGAAGCCAAACATAGACTTGCAAGACATAGCTTGGATGAGAAGGAAAAGACCTCAAAAAGAACACAAGAACAGAATGAAGAAAGTTAGGGGGACTGCAAAGGCCAATGGTGGTGCTGGCAAAAAGCCACAGGAATAAAGATGCTGCATGACGTTATCTGCAGCCACTGTGTGGACTTTTCATAAGAAGATTAATAAGCTAATAACTTTCATGTGGCAAAAAAGTTTATATGAAAGTGCAAAGAATCCAGAATAGTGAAACAATTTTGATAAAGAAAAAGTTGAAGGATTTACCTGATTCTAAAACTTACTACAATGCCACAGTAATCAAGAAAGCATTATAAAGACAGAACAATAGATATTTAGATAAATGGAAGACTAGAAAGTCCAATAGCAGACTTCACACTTTTGTTGTTGTTGTTGTTGTTGTTGTTTTTGAGACAGAGTCTCACTCTCACCTAGGCTGGAGTTCCGTGGCATAATCTCGGCTCACTACAACCTCTGCCTCCCAGGTTCAAGCAATACTCCTGCCTCAGCCTCCTGAGTAGCTGGGATTGCAGATGCGTGCCACCACACCTGGCTAATTTTTGTATTTTTTTTTTTAGTAGAGACGGGCTTTGCCATGTTGGCCATGCTGGTCTTGAACTCTGGACCTCAGGTGATCTGGCCTCCTCGTCCTCCCAAAGTGCTGGGATTACAGGCATGAGCCACTGTGCGGCCCACGCTTTGGTTCAATTGATTTTCAAGAAACGTGCCAAATAATTCAGTGGGGAAAGAATAGTCTTTTCAACAGAAGGTGCTGGAACAGCTGAATAACCACATGCAAAAAGATGAAATTTGACCTTAACTTCACATTATATACAACAACTTGAATAAAACAGGACAAAATCTTTGCAGCCTTCGATTAGGCAGATTTCTTGCACATGACAGAAAAAGCATGAACAATCTAAGACACAGCTGACAAGTTAAAACTTTATAAAAATTAAAACTTCTGCTCTTCAAAAGACACCACTGAGAAATGACAATATTTGCAAAACATACATCTGATGAAGGACTTGCATCCATAATATATTAAAAACTTCTAAAATTCGGCAATAAGAAAATAACCCAGTAAGAAATGAGCAAAATAGACCACGCATAGTTGCTTATGCCTGTAATTCCAGCACTTTGGGAGGCCGAGGCAAGAGGACTGCTTGAGCCCAGGAATTCAAGACCAGCCTGGGTGACATGGTGGAACAAAAGAATACAAACAAATACAAAAATTAGCTGAGTAGGGTGGCATGGGCCTGTAGTCCCAGCTACTTGGGGGAATGAGGCGGGAGGATCACTTGTGCCCAGGAGGTTGAGGCTGCATTGAGCCATGATTGTGCCACAGCACTCCAGCCTGGGTGACAAAGCGAGACCCTGTCTCAAAAAAAAAAAAAAAAAAAAATTCAAAACAAAATGGAAAGCAATTATGCCCTTATGACACCTCCTTCCTCTTTGGCTGGCCTCTGAAACATCTGGTGCCTCAGTAACTCTGGGGTAAATTTCTCCTTGAGTTCTCCTCCCCAGAGCCTTGGAAGGCCTTGAGGGAGACCTGGAGTGGATTGACTAGCAAGTAACCCTAACCCTGGGGAAGCATCTTCTTTCTCTTGGTGGAGGTTAGAAACAGAAAACTGACAAACAGGAGCACATGTAGAAGACCATGCACAGGATGGCGAAGGCCTTATAATCACGTCCTAGTCATTCTTCATTCTTCCATCAAATACTTGTTGTCTTCACTCTGCCAAATAAGTCAAATAAGTGCTGTGGCTATAAAACAATGAACATTACTGACAAGGTGCTTGCTCTCATGGAGCTTATATTCTAATAGTGTAAAGCAGAGCACAGAGCATACATAGCTGGGTGGATAAATAGAAGAAAGTAATAAGAAAACAACGTTAAGTCCTCTGCAGTTAAAAGGGTGAGAGCACAGAATGACTGAACCACAAGAGGGAGCCAGTCGTGCAAAGACCAAAGGGAGGCACATCAGAGGCACCATTTCTGTCTTAACTGCCATAGCCATTTGAAGCCCTCTATTCCATCTTTAACCAGCTTAAATTTCAGAGTCGATCTGTATAATCACTCCCTGAACTCCCTGACCACTTTAATTCTGCCATGCTGGTGGGCAAAACTGCAACTCCGGTTAAATCCAACTTTCCACCCATACTGTTTCTGTACCCATGAGCTGGTCATAGATGGAAAACAGACAGACAGATAGACAAACACACCCACCCACACACACACCAAGCTGTTTGGTCTTACTTTAAAGGTATCACTAGGAACTTAAGTAGGCCCTTGCTATTTTCCCAGCAAATGTCCTGTATTTCCCTGGTCCTTTCACTCTCCTACTCTATTCATGGACATTTTCATCTCTGTTCTTCTCTTCTCCCCCATCCTCACTCTCAGCTGTCGACTGTGCTTCTTTCCTCACTGAAAAAACTGAAGAATCAGAAGAGAACTTCCATTCACTCTTACCATGCACACTTATCCATGCAGGGGTACGGCTTTAGGCCCTGCCTTTCTCCCTGTCAGTAAGGAAGCACTCTTGGTGCAGCCATGCAAAAGCCTCCACTTGTGCGTTAGATCTCACCCCTCTCGCAGAATAAAGAACACTAGACCAGCAAATCCTCCCTGTCTACCCTACTTCATCAATTTTTCCTCTACTGGATCATTTCTATCAGTATACAACCATGCTGTTGTGTCAACCATTTCAAAAACAAAAATCTCCTCTTGACAGCACTTCCCTTATTGGTTACCTTCTTATTTCTCTGTAACCCTTGTAGCCAGTTGTCTATACTAGCTGTCTCTAATTCCTCTTCTCCTATTATTCTCTCTTAAATTCTCTCCAATCCAGCTTTTGTGCACCACTGAGCTGAAACTGATCTTTCCAAGATCAACAAAACCAGCAAAACTCTATCAGAAGGAAAAAAAGAATGAGGCAGCTGTAAGTTAGGGAAGACGTGTTAGGGGAAGGAAATGGGCAGAAGAGGACTAGACTGAGTACCTGTAACAAAAGAATTCCTTACATGTGTTGTATTCTTTCCACTCCGTTTGGACCATAATTATATATACATATATGTATATATATTTCCTTATTTTCTTTGGAATCTAGTGTTTCCCAGATTGTCAAAGCAGGCTATTAGAGTGAAATCTGAATATTAGACTAATCTGCTCACCATTTAGGGAAAAGGAGAGTAAAACAAAATCATAGCAGTGAGAGAGCTTTTATTTTATGTTTGCTTACCTCTGAAATTGACGTGAAACCTCAGAAACCTAAAAGTCTCTTTAACCTAACCAGGAATGATTTAAACAGTCTAAGAAAGAGTTGCCCCCAAACAATATCCCTCTATTCTAAGATAAATGTAGTTGTGGTAATTTTGCAGCTATCCCTTTTTAAAAATGGCCCAGCCAGGAATTATGTATATTAACCTCAGGTAGCTTTGAAAGTCTGGCTGCAGTACTGTGCTTTCTGATCTTATCAGTGAGAACAACTGTGACTTACCTCAGTGAGGTGGCCTCACTCCTTTAGTGGGCAGGGTGATTCCTATGGATCTAGCACCAAATGAGGTAAACATTTAACAATTACATTTAACAATTGTCCCAATCAGTTGGTTAATATAGGGAATCTCATTAGACAGTGCATATCAGTGTCTGGGAAAATGCAAGTAACAATCCATTCATGAGTTATAAAATTAATTTGATGGGTCGACCAATTTTTTAAAAAATGAAATAAAATAGAAAATATCAGAGTGCATTACACAGACTTAGGATAAGACATAGTTCGTGAGACTTTGGTTTCAGTTGTGAAGAGGTATGTTCTGGTTCATAAGATTACAATTTTTTTATTTTTTATTTTTTATTTTTTTTTGAGACAGAGTCTCGCTCAGCCGCCCAGACTGGAGTGCAGTGGTGCGATCTTGGCTCACTGCAACCACTGTCTCCCGTGTTCAAGCAATTCTCCATCTCCATCCATAATGCAATAACCAGTGTGGCAGAATGTACTAATCAAAATTCGAGAACATTTGGACATTTTCCACATCATTTTCAGCATCATATATCACTAGGCATGAGCAGAAACAAGAGGAATCTGGGGCACTTTAGAGTGGGGCTTTCATGTGCAATACCAGTAAGAGCTTGAACTTTGTAAGTTAAACTACCATAATAGAGATGTTACACTTTACAAACTATTTCACAAACTTGATTTCATTTGAGTTTCTTGTCCATCCTTTGTAGCAAGCAAGGCAAAAAGGTAGCAGCATCTGTGGCAGGTTTCAATGATCCATCCAGTTTAGATCACAAGCCCAGCCAGCAGCTGGGAGGAAGGCTCTTACCCACAGTCCCAGAGAAAGAGCTGGCAAGGGTGAAAAACTATATGTGGGCTCCAGCCAAGTAAACTGGGGTTCGGGGCAGAAATCCAGTTCCAGGAGGGAGAATGGGAAGGGTGAACAGGAACTGGGGCAGAAGCCCAGATAGTAAACAAAGCACACAGGTGGCGAGGCCCATCCTCGGGCACATTGGATTCCAAGCTCACACCCACAGAGTTCCAGAACTCCATGCCTGGCTTTGAAGAAGTAGCAAAGAATATCATGTGGATAAGGGACATGGTGTAGAGGTTATCAGGCACCTGCAAAGGAAAGAAGAGACTGTAGGAATTGGAAAGTTAATCAATCAGCCTGGCATGAGTAGGGTTGCCAGATAAAACACAGGATGCCTACTGAAATTTGGATTTCAGATAAACAATGGAAATGTTTTAGTATTAAGTATGTGTCATGCAATATTTGGGACGTGTTTATGCCAAAAAGTTATTGTTTATCTGCAATTTATATTTAACTATGCGTCTCATATTTTTATTTAATAAATCTGGCAACTCTTCCTGTGGGTGTGATGGAGGATGAGGCTGGAAGGCTTGGCAGAGCAAGATCACAAAGGGTCTTGTGTGTCATGCTTGGCAGATAATGGGGAGCCAGGAAAGTTTTTTAAGCAGGGGAACAGTGTAACAGGGTTTGCATTTTAGAATCACTGTAGTAGCCTGTGGAAAACAAAACAGAGTTCAGAAGGACAGGAACTGAGAGACCAGAAAGCTATTTCAATAGTTCAGATTTGAGGGAAATTGAAAATAACTTAACCCACTTCACAGTTCTGCCTAAAGCTAGCAAGGCTCCCAGGTTTCCAGGTTCACTTGGGCTACAGAGACCAACTATTCTTTCAAGAGCTACTCTTTGTTTTTGTTTTATTTGAGATGGAGTCTTGCTCTGTCGCCAGGCTGGATTGCAGTGGCGTGATCTCGGCTCACTGCAACCTCCACCTCCTGGGTTCAAGCGATTCTCCTGCCTCAGCCTCCTGAGTAGCTGGTACTACAGGCACATGCCACCACGCCCAGCTAATTTTTTTTTTTTAAGTAGAGACGGGGTTTCACCATGTTGGCCAGGATGGTCTCTTGACCTCGTGATCCACCTGCCTCGGCCTCCCAAAATGCTGGGATTACAGGTGTGAGCCACTGCGCCCAGCCTACTCTTTGTTTTAAGGAACAAAAAAAAGCTCTGGTGGAGCGTAGAATATATTTATTTATTTATTTATTTTTGAGACGGAGTCTCGCTCTGTTGCCCAGGCTGGAGTACAGTGGCGCGATCTCGGCTCACCGCAAGCTCCGCCTCCCGGGTTCACGCCATTCTCCTGCCTCAGCCTCCCGAGTAGCTGGGACTACAGGCAGCCGCTACCATGCCCGGCTAATTTTTTTTTTTGTATTTTCAGTAGAGACGGGGTTTCACCATGTTAGCCAGGATGGTCTCGATCTCCTGACCTCGTGATCCGCCCACCTCGGCCTCCCAAAGTGCTGGGATTACAGGCGTGAGCCACCGCGCCCGGCCGAATATATTTATATATACATAATATAGTGTCAGGCCGGGTGCGGTGGCTCACGCCTGTGATCCCAGCACTTTGGGAGGCCAAGGCAGGCAGATTCACGAGGTCAGGAGATCAAGACTATCCTGGCTAACACGGTGAAACCCCGTCTCTACTAAAAATACAAACAATTAGCTGGGTGTGGTGGTGGACGCCTATAGTCCCAGCTACTCGGGAGGCTGAGGCAGGAGAATGGCGTGAACCCAGGAGGCAGAGCTTGCAGTGAGCCAAGATCGCGCCACTGCACTCCAGCCTGGCTGACAGAGCGAGACTCCATCTCAAAAAAAAAAAAAAAAAAAAAAAAAAAATATATATATATATATATAAACACACATATATATACTGAGTGTCTTGCCCAAATCCTGTGTCAATCACATACTTCTTGAGGAAGCTAGAAAGATATGTGTATATATCAATCTCTCAATAGACTAAGCTCAGTATCTCTTTCACTATTGCATCCCCTGTAGGTAATCAATAAACATTTGATTCTTAGATGATGAGTTCCATAAGGGCAAAGTCTGTTATCTTCATCATCTTTGTTTCTTTAGCACCCCACCCAGGGCTGGGAATAAGTTTCTCAGAAAATAGTTCTTGATTAAAGTGGTTTAATTAATTAACAACCAGAAGTGCTTCCTATTAACTACATTTCTCCAACATTACTTCAAAGGTACAACCTGGCATATTTTTCACATGAACGCAAAAGAAGCTTGCCTCTTATAATGGATCAGAAAATTGTTTCTTAAAGCTGAGGAATTATACTGACTAGATGGAGTTTTAAAGATAGTATTCCTCATTTATGTGAAAATGTGAGATTTTTTTTCTTGAATTTTCCTGCTTCCACAAGCTTTATCATTGTGTCGATACTAGTAAATCTTTAAAAAAAACCCAATCTTAATTAAATACAGCTCAGGTAGATCATCATAAACTGGTACAAAGTGGTCTTCTCTTTCGGTTACCAGTATCAGTCTAGTTCCTTGTATCTGTATCTCTTCCAAAGCTGAAGTGTGAACTTTTTGAGGCCAGGAACTATTCTGATTTATCTTCATAGTCACAGAACTTTCATTAATAGTAGGTTTATTGAATTTCCAAGGTCAGGCAGCCAAAAGGGAAAGAATAATTCTGGGAAGTGCATGGGGTAAATAAAATGCAGTTTAAAAATTATTATAATGACCCTTTATTGAAGATTATTTTCCGAGTATCATGCTAGGTGCTTTACATATGTCTTAATACATTTTGATTACACTTCAATTCTAAAAACTCTTGAGCTAGCTGTTATAATGCTCATATTATGGGTAAAGAAACTAAGAATCGCAACTGATAAATAACTTGCCCAGACTGACACAGTTAACAAATTGGCAGAGCTGAGATTAGTACCAGACTCCAAAGTCTGTGCTCTCACCATGACTCCAGGAATTGTCATTTTCAAGTACATATTGGAGAGAGGAAGACTGGTGAGGTGCTTATAAGAACTTCCTTTAATCAGCCACTACATGGTACCTCAGAAGACTAAAGTTTGATTTTTTAAAAATGTGTGAGTGCACATGTGTGTAAAACAAGAGGTATGGAGGTATTTATTATAACTATATGTTTTGAGCCATGTTCTTTTTTTTTCTGTTCAGTTTTGTATTCAAAAGAACAAATGACTTTACATATATAATTAGACTTCATCTCCACCTTGACTGCAAACTGATGATATACTTAAATTACTATCACACTGTTGTTATCAAGGATTAAACATATGGGTTGTAGATGTTACAATCATTCATACCAATTTCATTTACCCCATCCAGAGGAATACATGTAGATCATGTTCAGATATGCAATGGAACCTTATCAGTCCAGATGTATAAGAACTGATCTGTGACAATCCAGATCCTCCTCTGAGCTGTAATTGTATACGGCAGTTATTCTGTTTTTTGTTTGTTTTGTTGTCGTTGTTGTTTTTGGTAAACGTGTACTTTTTGCCTGATGCTAACATCTTTTCAACAGTCCTCTTTTGCCTGCTCAACCGCCAGTCTCCCAGTTCAGTGATCCCAGGAAGAATCAGAGTCTTGTCTGCCCATGATGATTTGCTTCCAGTCTGCACCAGGTTAAATCACACCTTAAACTTTATCAAACTTTTGGAGTCTAAAAGCAAAAGCAACTCACAAAGTGCAAAGGTTGGCATAACTAATTTATTCATATGAATCAGAAAGAATTTAAAGAAGAGGAACCAAATATGGTAAAACGAGGGGCGGGGCGGGGCGAGGGGGGAAGCAGTTGATTTAAAAAATTGAGAAAAGCAAAACATGTTTTGCCTGGCTTTGTAACTAAAGAAGACTGCCAAAAATGGTCTGCAGAGGTGTAAGAATCAAAAAGCATCTCCAGTGTTCTACCTTCACCAGAAACATGCAAGGAATTTCCTAGGATGGAATTATGGAAAAGATCCTCTTCAGGCCTTCATTTGCTCATTCATTGCTAGTCATGGTGCTAAATATGGGAGATATAAAATGAGTATGGCATGGCCCTGGCCTCAAAGCTTACCCTAGTGGGAGATACAGCAACTGTGCCGTACGCTGATCTGTGAAAGGCACCAGAAAATAAATGTAAAAACCATACAGTGGATGCACAAAGGGGAGAGTGGTCAACTCTGTGAGTCTAATAAAAATAATTCACAATAAGCACATAGCGATGTTCCGTGAGTCCCGTCCCCACCCCATCCTCTTATAGCCAACCCCTAAGAGAAACGACAGGTGAGCAGGGCGCAATCCAAGCTGGGCTCTAATTAAATGTGTGCCCTAGAGCAACTCCTAGCACTACTCAGAGTCTCCGTTTCTCTCCCTGTAAAAGCCAGGAACCCTGCTCAACTATGAAGTCCATTTCTGCTCTGAATTAAGAAATAGAGGAAAAAAAAAAAAACCAGAAAGGAAACTCACGAAAAACAAAAGTGAAAGTGCCTGAAGGGAACCCAGTAGTAAACAAGAGTACAAAATTCTATATCTCACCGGAAAACAGTGGCAGAGTTCCCAAATATTTTTTTTTCAGCAACTGTGAACTTCGGAAAGAATGAAATGTCTATCACTCCCTTTGAATGTGAATAAGATCAGTGTAACACGAATCCACCTTGCTCTATGCAACTGTCTTCTGAAACAATCCTCTGACCCTGAACACCACTTATTTAAATAAGCGGTTCTTAAATCAATCAATCCGTAGTGAATGGTCCATCCCCACAAAACCAATCCCCATTGAAGACCACACCAAGTTGTGCCCCACTTTGGGAAAAGGGGGAAAGCGGGGGTAGAGAAAGAGGGGAAGGATTGGAACCAACATTAGATTGTGCCTGGTGTTGCCACGCGGTTGTCATAAACAACGGCGTCGAAGCAAACTGTTTTAAAACTTAGAAAATACGGCGGCCTTTAAACTCTATTATGTCCCTGCTCATGGCAATAGTGGGACTTCTCTGAACGTAGCCCACAACGGTACAGCCGCCCGGGAGGGAAAGCGAGCTCTGGGGCGGACAGGCGAGTGAAGGCAGCCAGAGGAGGGGAGCAGGCTGACAGCTCCCCCAGCTTCCGCGGCGCGTGGGGGACCAGGACGGGCGACCGCCACAATCAGAGGGTGCGAGCTGGACCCACCGGGGCCACTGGTCTCCAGGGTGGGAGGATGGCTGCTGCCTGTCCGCTGCCGGAGCCTCCTTTCTCCCAGCAGAGGAGGGAGAGCGCGCGCACGTACACACACTCTCATACACACACGCACGCACACACATCCTTCCCTTAGAGTTGTGTCTCGTCTCCCTTTTGTTTTTCTCCCTTCCCGGTCATGAGACCCGGAAGTTTTTTTTTTTTTTTTTTTTAATCCCGTCTCTCTCCCTTTTCCAACCCCCCCGCCATCTATCACATGGCAGAGATAGAATAAAAACAGAAAAATGGCGACGGTCACGTTGTGGCGAGCCTTGCTGCGTCATTAGATAATCCTCATGCAAATAGCGGGAAGAACAAAGGAAGGGGAGCCCGGGACCCCCGGGGGCGCAGGTGGGTGTGGGGGCGGCGGCCGGGCGCGGGGGCGGCGGGGCGCGCGGGGCCGAGCGCCCGCGGGAGGCGGGCTGCGTGGGGCGTGCGGCCGCGCGAGGCTCGGGGCGCAGAGTGTGGACGTCCGAGTGCGCGCCCGTGCGCCGCCGTGGAGCGCTGGCTGCTGCGCTCCCGGCCCCGTCTCGCGGCGCGTCGGAGCCGGCCTGGGGACGCGGGAAGCCGTGGGGCGCACAGAGCGGCTCCGGCGAGGCTGGCCGCGGCGCACACGCACACGCAGCCGTGGGGCTCGGCCCGCTAGGCATCCGCACTGGGGTCTGGGGGCGGGCCAGGCGGCGCCGGGGGCCGAGGGCGCGCCACTGCCCAGCGCCTAGCGCCTGCCTTCAGCCTCCTCCGGGGACCGCACGCAGTTCGCCACCTCGGGGTAGGCGGCGGAGCGCGGGGGCGGCGGCGCGGGGCGGGCCGGGCCGGGCCTCCGCACTCCGGGACCGACTGCGAGGGTGTTGCCGGACTGGGTTTGTTGTTGTTAGCGCGTGCGTGTGTTTTTCCCGAGGGGTAGCGGGGCGACCTCGCCCATGGGCATTTCCGCGGTTTTGCGCGGCCCTCGCTGGGGTGTCAGTGGCAACGCGGGGAGCCCCGGGCGCCTGGCTCGGCCCCCGGAGGGGAGCGGCGCGGAGGGGCGGGGTGTGTGTGTAAATGTTGCGCACTCGCTTTTCCCCCGCCCCCGCCCGCGTCCAGGGTGCTGGCGTGGGTCCCTTGCCGTCCGGCGGCGACTGTAAATAGAGCCTGGATGTTGTTTACATGAAGGATCCGGCGGGAGGAGTCTAAGAGGAGGAGGCGGCGGTGCCGGAGGAGGAGGAGGAGGGAGGGAGAAGAGAGGAAGACCGGAGTCCCCGCGGCGGCGGCGGTCCGGAGAGAGGGCGAGCCCCGCGCGGCGCCGGGGACCGGGCGCTACCACGAGGCCGGGACGCTGGAGTCTGGGGTAGGAGGGAGAACGGGCACGGGGCGGGAAGAGGGGTCCGTCAGTGGCATTTTTAGCTTGCACCCTGCCACGCAGATTCTCCCCGGCCGGAGGGGAGGAGGGTGGAGGGAGGGCGGGGAAGCCTCGGTTTCTCTGCACGTTCGGGAACGCCTTCTCCCCCTTCATTCTCCCATTCCCAGTGTTTTCCCGCTTCTCCCCGGGCTCACCTGTTTATTTCCATCAGCTAGAGCTCGTGGTTTTTTAATATAGGCATGAGAGTCTGTTTCTTTTATTAGAAACATTATTGGGGAGAGGGGTGCTTTGCTGTAATTTGTGCTGGTCCAGGTCGGTTTTCAGGAAGGGGGAGGGGACTTGGCGGAGACGCCGGCTCCTGGCCGCAGCTGACCCCAGGGCTTCTCCCTGCCTTCCTGTGCGAGGAATTCTTTCCCTCACTCTGCTACCCGCACGCCAGCTGCCACCTTCCTGGAGAAAGACCACACCTGTGCTTATCCCTGCTTTGAAGGAGAGGTGAGCTGAGAAACCAGGGAATCCCCTGCTCTCCAGGGTTCTTAGTTAGTCCTCTCCGCAATCCCAGCATTGGCCAAAAATTGCTGCTTTCACCTGCTGATTTAATTTGGCATGTCTGTCCCCAGCCCCCCTTTCCCCCGGCAAGTTGTGATCTGCAGATGTTTTGGGATTTTCTCTTCCCTCTGGACCTGTCCCCCACCAACCAGCAAATAGCTCCTGGGCCTAGGTTGAGGGAGAGAGAGAAGTGACCCCCTTTGGCCAGTGCGCTGTTTTTTATTCCCCTCTGGGTCTTCTAATGGAATCTGCTGTCCCTCCGTAGCCCCCTTTATTTTCCCCTTAAGCTTAACCCAGAGCCAGGCCTAAGCAGCCTGTCTCTGGCTTTCTTTCCCCAGGCCCCACCCTGGCCCCTTTTGCTTTTCCAGCGCCAAAAAAAACGCCTCCCAAGCAGAAGACACACCCAGCCCAAGTCTAACCATTCCAAAAGGGAGGAAAACACAGAGGAAGAGCAGGGACCCAAGGGTCTCCTGTCCTGAATATTCCAACAGCGTTTCCCTCTAAAAGCCTCCTAGCTTTATAATCCCTTTATTCTGCTTACCAGTCGACCCTCCCCTCCTCTTTGCCCCTTGTTCTGTGATAGATATTTGGGGAGAGGGGTGGAGAAAGAGGTTGTCACCCTCTGTTCCTTACAGTGAGGCATTTTTCTTTTTCTCAGTCTTTTCATTTATTAGATGTTTAGCATGTAAAATATGTAAATCTGTTTGCAGGCTTATTTGAACTTGTTTTCTTGCTGGCTAAGGAATAGCTGATATTCTATAAAGGGAAGGAGGGGGGAAAAGATCAAAAGTAACACTCTGAGTTTTCCCCATTTGAGCATCCCCAGAGTTGCCAGAGAAGACCCTCCTATAAAAACCAACAGTCTCCCTTCCATGACATCACCACCTAAGCCCTTCCAACTTTAGCTTCAGAACAGGAAGAAGGCTCAAAATAGAACTACCTTAGGAATCCAGCTCCTTGAAAAGATCAACTTTTAAATCAGCTGCAGGAGGAACACAATGAACTTTGACATGGGGAGTGAGAAGGGAGAGAAGACTGTATAGTGTTCATAATTGGTTCCTTTGAGGGAGGGTTGGGGGATACTTACCGTGTATTTCAGAAAAGCTTTCCTCTAGAGTTGGGTACCTAGACCACTGAATGATAAATAGGATGGTTCAAGATTCATTTATTGAATTATTCATAAGTTTTTGTACGTCAACAATAACAAGCACGTTTCAGAATATGAATTAAAGAGGGGCCTCTCTGCAGAATCTGCTCTAGATAGAGAAGGTTGTTTCAGGAAGCTAGGAGGGCACTTGAAGACAGAGAACCTGAGGATGCAGTGACAGCTGCTGTGAGTATGTAAGTTGAGAGGCTCATAAACAATAATTGTGATAAACAATAATTGTAACTTTTGTAGGTGACTGATACCCTGGACAAAGAAGTAAGGATGTCAGGATTTTCCACCTCTACCTTGGAAATTAACTTCTTGTCTTTGAATCTCACTCAGTGTCTCCATTCAGTCCCTGAATTGAGATATGCTTTCCTCTCTGAGCTAAAATACTCAGTCTTTTGGAAGGGCTACCTAATAAACGATAATCACTGAAGTGTTGACAACTTAAAGATTGGAAGTGGAGCAGAAAATACTTGGTATAATTTGAGCACTTGGTGGGTGCTGTAAGATGACTTTCTGGTTGATGGGGTAACATCTTTTACTCTGGTTCGGGTTTAAAAGAATCCAGGTGACAGAGACAGGATACCTGCCCTAATATGGTAGCCACTAGCCACGTGGCTATTAACCACCTGAAATATGGCTAGGGTGAGGAAGAGCTCAATTTTAAATTTTATTTAATTTTAGACTTTGATAACTTGATTTAGTTATTGGAAAGCTTATTTATATTTGGAAACATACTTGAGCTTACGCATCTACTTTTGAAACTAAGTGTTTTGAAATCCAAACGCAAATTAAGTATTTTGATGAAAATTTAGAATTGGGATATGTAAGTGCAAAGTAATCTTCAGATTTCAAAGAATGCAAAAAAAGTAGAATAGCCCATTAATTTTATGTTGATTCCATGTTCAGATGATAATATTTTAGATATATTGGGTTAAATGAATATGCTATTAATTCCACCTGTTTATTAGTGTGGCTACTAGAGAATTAAAAATTACATGTGTAGCTTGCATTATATACTTCATTGGACAGCTCAGGCCTGCATTACTCCTTTTCATCTATGAATTAATTTCTTTTCTTTTTTTCTTTCTTTTTTTTTTTTTTTTTTTGAGATAGAGTCTCTCTCTGTCTTCCAGGCTGGAGTGCAGTGACGCGATCTTGGCTCACTGCAACCTCCACCTCCCAGGTTCAAGCGATCCTCTTGTCTCAGCCTCCAGAGTAGCTGGGACTACAGGTGTGTGCCACCACGCCCGGCAGATTTTTTGTATTTTTAGTAGAGATGGGGTTTCCCCACGTTGGCCAGGCTGGTCTTGAACTCCTAAGCTCGGGTGATCCATCCGCCTTGGCCTCCCAAACTGCTGGGATTACAGGCATGAGCCACTGTGCCTAGCCCCATGGATTAATTTCAAAAGTGGTGACTGTATGAAATATTGTTATTTCATGTTTGTGTTTCTATTTTCCACTGCTGTGTTCCATGTGATGATTGGGGACCCCAAGTATTACATTATTACTGTTATATTAGGGAGATTAGTGTAAAAGTCCAGGGTTCTAGAACGGCTAGCAGGGGTGTCATGGGAAAATTGGGATACCCACATACCCGGCTATTGCTGCTTTTGTAAAAGGATCCTGAACATAGCAAAAGGTACCGGAAAACAATGTGTGGCAAAGTAACAATTGTGACACCTGGTGGCATTTTAGTGATTCTACTCATCTGTCACTCACTTCCATTTATTTTTTCTTTGCTTCATCTACTTTCTGTCCCCCTCCCCACCAAATCACGGCTCCACTCGTGGCATTTGGGCCCACAAGGCTGCTGACTCCTTTCCTCCAAAAAAAGTACAATGCTAACGTGAATAGAGGTAGTGCTGTCTTTGGGTTTTGTTTTGTCTAATGAGATTCAGAAATTGCACTGGAAGGAACTTAGGAGCTATTCGGTGCTATCCCTTTATTTTATAGATGACAAACTGCCAAACACCTCACCTAAGACCATATAGACAGAGACTGGAATTAAACATACTCTTGTTGATAACTGTTTAGAGGCTCCCTGAGAAATGGAGAGGTTCATCAATTAATCAATCAATCAAGTATCTGTTGAGCTAGCATTTTGTGGAAATGACCACTAAGTGTTGTGAAGGGACATGAGTAAAACAGTTTCTGACTTTTTTAGAAAGAGTCCTGTTGACTTGAGGAAATAAGATATAAACAGCACCAAATTAAATTGCAGTATACAACACAGCACTTAATGAGTGCAGTGCCACTGTGGCATGTGTTACTAGTTAGTAGAAATGTGTTCATTTTACAGATGTAGGAATAGAAGCTTCGAGAAGGGTGGAACCTGCAGGGAAGTGGAGTGTAATTGTGTTCCTGGAACAGCCCAAGGCTGTAGAATTGGAGGTCATTGCAAGTCTTTGGTATTGGCTCCTTTAGCTGTCCATTAAGGGAATTTGAAAATCTGAGACCCAGCATTTTCAAATGGCAGTGCTGTAGTAATAAGGCAATCATAGATTAATTGGAGACCATCAGGGTTTTTAGAGATGTTTAGCCAGGGGTGGATCATTCCGAAGTTAGCTGGCATATAAAACTGACTTGTGAGCAAACCATAAAATCTAAAATCCGGGGGGTGAGAGTGGTGAAATGTGATGTAGAGCAAAATCAGAAAGTAAATTAACTGTGGAGTATACAGTTGGACTAAAAATATTTGTGCTGAGTACATGTTTGAAGGGGAGAGGCCCATATAATGTAATATATGGGCCAGTCATGTATTTATAAATTTTTAGTCTCCTGGAGCCTTTTTGGACTAAACTCTTGGTCAACATGAGGAAGAAAGCTCAGTCTTCTCTTTGTTACCGTGTCCATAGGGTTTTTTTTTCGTCCACATGGACCTTATAAAGTTACATAGCATGAGATTAATTAGGGCCAGTGCTCAAAGTCAGTAAAATGATGACACCTCTTCTCTAATCACTCTCAGTTAATGCTTCTCTTTGAGAATTGGGGCTAACTTTGTATAGGGCGGTGGTCCTTGACATTTTCTTGCCTTTCTGCCTATTTCTTTTTCCATAAAAGAGAAAAAAATTCTGTAACCTGCCACCTCATCAATCTTTGGCACAAATTAGTTTTTAAAAACTCAGTATAGCAAAGTTTTGCAATAAAATGCAAGTATACATTCTGTGTACTTGTGACAAAGCAGTATTGGACATTTGAGCAACTTTTGCTGACAGTTTATAACATCTCAGTGTGGTCAAATTTGGCCATTTTATATAGTATCACTGAATTAGATGATAATTTTCAAATTGGAAAACAAATCACACTAGTTAAAAGACCAGTGGATTTAAATACACTAAACTATAGTTTAAAAGTATTTTCAAATATTCTGCTTGGCCAACAACTTACGGTGCCTTCAGTTATTTAATATATAATCAGATATTCAAAGGTTTAAAACAATATTTTCATCTTAGTTTATAAATATGAGGGATGTAGCATGTTTTTTGTGCTTTTATTTGTACTCCACATTGATTGATCGCTTGAGAAAAGGTCTTTGTCACCCAGGCTGGAGTGTAGTGGTGCAGTCATGGCAGCCTCAGCCTTTCATGTTCAAGCAATCCTCCCACCTCAGCCTCCAAAGTAGCTGGGACTACTGGCCCTGCTCATACTATTTTTTGTAGAGACAGGCTTCCACTATGTTGCCCAGGCTGGTCTTGAACTCCTGGATTCCAGCAATCCTCCTGCCTCAGCCTCCTAAGGCGCTGAGATTACAGGTGTGAGCCACCATGCCTGGCCTTGTACTCCACGTTATTTTAAAAGTTCTTTGGTGTGCCAGTTTTCTATAAGTGCCTGGTTTTGTAGATAATATTTGGTATATGCGTTATGAAGAAATTGTTCCTAGTTGTATCATTTTTAACATAGAAGAAGTAGTTTAAAATCAGTTTGGGTCCTGGAAGAAAGCATTTTACATCACTGTTTTCTCTCTTCCTTAGTATGCAGTTATTTTTTCTTACTGTAGCATGAGTACCTGTAGTCACTTGTTTATAAATTTAGACAGTTCAGTTCTTAGACGAAACATGTTGAAGAAGAAATATTTCTGATGGATTTAAATTTTCAAAAATGCACGTTTATAAACATTTTCAAGAAAAAGCAAGACACATTTTTGAAACATTTATTTTAAAAATACCATTTTGAAAACCCATATTTTTCTTCCTTGAAACTGCTTTAGAATCTGAGAGAATATTAATTTAAGTAACCATTCACAGAATAATGACAATTTGCTGCTTGTTATTAGGGATGCTTGGCTTCTTTTTTTTTCTAATTTAGGTAAAAAAATGAAATGAGAGAAAAATAAGGAGAAAAAGGAAGTATCTTTTACTTTACCAAAAATGTTTAGTTGTTGCATGGGTTTTGGTGATGGCTAGTAGAGTGAATTTCAACTTTGCAGTACACTTCCTTCGTCTTTATACTTCATATTTAGACATTGAATCACACTAATATTTTGGTGAAGAACAGTCTAATAACTACAAATATGTCAGGATTATTTATTTGTCTCCATACTTACCCAACCTTCAGTGTTTCAGGGTAAGTATTCAGTTTTCCAAAGCTGACAGAATTGTGGTCAAGAAATATTAGTTGATAATCTTATCCTTTTTCGTGGAACAGCTATCTAAAATTTTACTCTAAAATAATCACAGTATCTTTGTTCACGTAGCAGATGTTTATAATTCGGGTAAAAATGTGCAACTATTTCCAAGAACCTTAGGTTATGGGATCCAACTGTGATTTTTTTTTTTTCTTTAATCTTCGTTGCCCTCTCGTGTTTCAACTCTGTATTACAGTTGGCTAAGACCTAGATGATGACCTCCTTAATTTTTAGATATTTTTGCATTTTAGGCAATGTTGTTTTTAATTTGTGTGTAGGTGGATTGTTTCATTGGATGTTGCTTTTCTGAAGATAAGGTCATTTTCATAGTACGTAAAGTTAATAGTTGAGTTAGATTCACTGTACTTTTATTTTCTGACTTCTGCTGATCTAAAGAATTGATTCATCTACCTGACTTATTTGAAGTACAGTGCTAATATCTAATATGCATATAATGAGTCTTTGAAATTGAGCAAATGCCTAATGAAAACATAATTATTTTTCAAATATCTGTCAAGTTCCACTCATATTGAAATAACTTGAAACCTTATGACATGGAAAAAACCCAAGTGAATCATGGTTTTAATAAGTTGATATTCTGATGCCTGAATTCCAATTTCAGAATCTTTTGTACTTTTTATTAAAAGGAAGAATCATCCCTAAAATGACTTCAGAGTACGTCTCAAAGGTACAGATAATTTAAAAGCAAGTGATGTGTATATGTTATTATTACTTTTTAAAAAGGTATTCTGAAGGTTGTCAGTATCACCATAGGTATAGAATTGACATAAACTATAGTGAAAAATATCAATGTTACTAATTTGAGTACATTCTTAGCACTCAGAGCAAGAGGAATGAAAGTCATTTTTGCTAATGTGCATTTTTCTTCTTAATTATAAAGCCCCACTAGCTTCTGCTTCATGATCTCAGTTACTGAGAAAACTAAAACAAAAAGTAAATGTTTTTAGAAATCCTTTTGTTTGTGTAAACTGAATATCCAGTTGATGGAGTTGGACAGCTAGGGTAGGGTAGAGAAAACAAAGCACTGTGTTCACTCATTTGACATGGTTCTGGACATGGGTTCGCCATAACTTAGCAATATATGATCTCTGGCAAATCACCTAAGTTTTTTTTTTTTTTTTCTGCCTATAAAATGGGGTAATAATATCTAATCTATTTCCAGAATCCTTTTTTGATGAATTAATGAATAATTCATTGCCAGCCCCATAGCGTCTTGTGAAAACCAAATGAGAAAACATATAGAGCAGTTTTGAATGTTTGGCAGATATGAAGTATTATTGTCATGTTTGGTTATGAGCACTTTGAAGACAGGAATCATGTCTTAGTTATCTTTATTTCCTGAACATCTAGAAGAGGGCTTTAGAACGTAGTAGTTCCTCGGTATATATATGAAAAATCAATGATTGAGGTCAGGGAGGCACAGTCAGTGAATCCATGCATGGAAGAGATAAGCTGTGAAATATGCTGGAAGCTTACTGCATATTTGATGTATTAGAGTGAAAACCTAATCATGCAGTTGTTCATCCTCATTAATATGGATAAGTCATGTGTTCATCTTTCATTCTAATTTAATTCAACTGGGCCTTTTAATATTTCAGCCTCACCACTTGCTGGGCTCTGATCCTTCTTTTTCTTCTGCCTCCTCACGTCTCCAACCAGAAGGTGATCTTTTAGTCCTTCACTTCATGGGGAGCCTTCAGAGAGAGTAATGCAGCCACCAGAAAGGATGCCGTTGACCGACACAGTGACTGACAGGCTGCCCTGGCTCAGTTATCACAGTGCTGATGCTGTCTATTCTAAAGGTACAGTACTGTGATAACTGAAGGATGGCAGCCATCTTACCTTCCATCAGAGGAGCCTCACCGTACCCAGGAAGAAAGAAGGTGAAAGAGGAATGTGAAACAGGTGGCTGGGACCCAGAAACCCTCTTACCCTGCACCTCTGTCATACTTCTCCCGGGGCATAGGGAGAGTTATTCTGCTTCTCTTTGCCTTGTTTTGTAACATGGGGTAGTTGTTGGTGCAGCCATGTTGTGCTGAGTGAACATATATTAAGATCTTTGGAACCTTTAGGAGACTGAAAATAGGTAAGTATGAATTAGTATTTCTGGAATGGTATTCAGAGAACTTCGTACCATTTTTATAAATGTGAAAGGTAACCTAATTAGAACAGCTTGGCACTTGTCAGTACACTACTAGATTTCAAAATCAGATTCTACTTACAGGGAGAAAAAAAAAGCCCAATATGTTGAACAGTATTGAAATTGTTGCATAAATAAAAGTCCATCATTGTAGACCAGCTTACTGAAGTGAAGAAAGAAAAAAAGTATATCTTTGTCTTGAAGGAGTAGATAGTGACATGTCATGTTTCTTTCAGGATATTTAGGATCTGGCCTAATTCAAAAGAATATTTACTGAATGCCTATGTTATTGCTGCTGCTGTCACATTTACATGAAAATAAAATGTAAATTATTTTATTTCTATCAAATAAGGACTAGTCTGCAGTGATATCTGGCACATATCGATTTCAGGAATACGAAGCTGTAAACACCAAGCCAGCATCACGTGCATGAAAGACTAGGAAATTTTTTTTTTGTTGCCCACACGGGAGTGCAGTGGCATGATCATAGCTTACTTCAACCTTGATCTCCCAGGCTCAAGCAATCCTCCCACCTCAACCTCCCGAGTCTGAGACTACAGGCTCAGGCCACCCACCTGCAAATTTTTAGTAGAGACAGGAGTTCACTATGTTGCCAAGGCTGGTCTTGACCTCCTGAGCTTAATTGATTCTCCCACCTCAGCCTCCCAAAGTGCTGGGATTACAGGCATGAGCCACTATACCCAGCCAGGATTAGGAAATTTAACAGCACACATCTTCAACCTCCATCTTACTCTAGAGAGTACTGCTGGGGGTGAAAGGTGGTTATTGGAGAACCCAGGATTCTGCCAATGCCAATCTCTGCCAATTATCCCTCTTCCCTGTAGACTCCTAAGGACACTGTACACATGTAACAATAGCAAATAAGAAACAAAGTGCATGACTTGATTATGTGTTAGATCTTAGATCACAGTACTGTGCAAGGAAGGCTCAGGTAATTTCATGGAACGTGTTTTAGGCTCAGAGCCTAATCGGGTATATTACCTCATCCTAGGCTCATGTCTGTATCTGGGAGCCTGTGGATGTCTGACTGGTGTAGGAACCCAAAGCAGTGACCCATATGCTTGAGCAAAGAGAACAGAGATGGCTGAGGTTAGGCTGTAATTTGAACCTACCTACCACAGAGAGAAGAGGGGCCAGGGAGAGAAAAACCATTTGTGACTTTTTTTTTTTTTTTTTTTTTTAAAGAAAGAGTCTCAGTCTGCGGTCAGGCTGGAGTGCAGTAGCTCAGTCTTGGTTCACTGCAACCTCTGCCTCCCGGGGTCAAGTGATCCTTATGCCTCAGCCTGCCGAGTAGCTGGGATTACAGGTGTGCACCACCATGCCCATGTAATTTTGTATTTTTGGTAGAGATGGTGTTTCACCATGTTGCCCAAACTGGTTTCAAACTCCTGTCCTCAAGTGATTCTCCTACCCTCAGCCTCCCAAAGTGCTGAGATTACAGGCATTGAGCCACTGCACCCGGCCTCGTGTGACTTTTTAACATACTGTGAACCTTACCTACTATCAGCCCTGCCAACTGCATGTCTTAGATATGGGTCAGGTGTATTATCAGGTCCTCCACTGGGACACAATGGGGAAGAAAGGGAACTGAAAGGGAGTAGGCCTCGTACAGAGAGGTTCTTTCTTATCCTTCATTGTGCCAGTCCTCAGACATTGATGGTCACTGTGTTCCTTTGCTGGTGATTGCAGTTCCCTTTAGTGTCTCTTCCCTCTGCTCTACCCAAAGAGGAACCATTCTTAGTAGTGATCCCTTGAGCCACACTTGGTTGGCCCAGAACTGTTATTTTTTCAGACACATTGACCACATTATAGCCCAGTACCTTCACATGTCCTCATAGATCCACAATTTCTCTAAGCTATATAAGCTACACTACGTTTTTGATTAATTAGAGAGAGGGGTCTCCCCAGTTATTATGCTACCACTCCTGAAATTCTTTGGAGTTTTCTTAAAAGGAATTTCTGACAGAAACTCTGGAAGAACTTTTAGGAAGGGAAAGTTAGGGATTGGTGAATCCTCAAGTAATTTGAAACACTCCTTATGTTTAGTGTTTGAGCAGGTGGAAAAAAGTGCTTCAAGAAGTTATGTGTTGTGCAATCATTGGCCTTGGTGAAGATTTCACCACCTTCCCTGATCTTCCTGTTTTCCCCGTTACTAGTTTTATAAAAATTCATTGGGTTTTATACTTACCCAACCTTGACCTCAAAATCTACAACCAGGCCTGTGGGGTGTTGAAGAACTGAGTGTTGGGTGTCATTTGCAGTCACCCTGCACTACGGACAGAGTCATGCTGGGTCCCCTTTCCTCTAAACAAGAAGGCTGAGGCTTAGTCTGCAGCAGGAGCTCCAGAAGCTTGCCTGGACCTGGAGGTCTTTGGCATCTTCAAGGCATTTCATAGACGTAAGGTGTTCCAGCAGGTTAAGAGAGAAGTGATGCAAGACAGATCCAATGGGGTTTTTCCACTGCCTTGCTTAAAACACAGTGTGTGTTTGGTTGGTATATTCGTTACATTTTTCAGTTTAGGTGAAGTATGTGAGATGGTAAGATTGCAATTAAACCTAGGAATACCGTATAATCCAGCATTTCCACTTCTGGATACATACCCAAAAGATGTGAAAGGCGGCACTCTGACAGATATTGTATACCCATGTTTATAGCAACATGATTCACAATAACTAAAAGGAGCAACCCAAGTGTCCATTGATGGATAAGTAGATAAATGAAATGTAGTGTATACCTACATTGGAATATGATTCAGCCTTAAAAGGAAGGAAATTCTGACATATGCTACAACATGGATGAACCTTGAAGATACCATGCTAAGTGAAATAAGCCAGACATAAAAGGGTGTATACTGTTATGATTCCACTCACATGAGGCTCCTAGAGTCGTTAAATTCATACAGCCAGGAACTGATGGTTGCCAGGAGCTGGGGGAGAGGGGGGAATGGAGAGTTAGTGTTTAATGGAGTTGTATTTGGGGAAGATGAAAAAATTCTGGAGATGGATGATGGCAGTTGCACAACAACATGAATGTGCTTAATGACACAATGTACACCTAAAAATGGAAAATTTTATGTGTATTTTACCACAATAAAAGAGATTCAGGATAATAACCCTCTTGAAGCCAAAAACAGGATTTAGTTGATTTCTCTGCTCTCCCTTAGTTTTCCGTGTGAAGATAACTGCTGTTTCAAGTAAGCAATTAAAATGTAATTGCCATGTCTTTATGCATTTCAAGTTCTCTAATCTGAAGTCCTTTACACATGTTTCCAGGGTTTCCAACATAGCATAGCTTTAGAATTGTGTAAAATGTAAAGAAAACTCAATATAGTAGCAATGAATATTAAAAACAATGAGAAAAAGGCGTGGACAAGAAGTCACCTGATGTGGCATCTCTTGCTGGCTTTATGTCTTTTCTGGTGAGATTGGGCAACTCACTGGTCCTCTTCCTGTTCCAGTTGCCTCAACTGCCCACGTCTTTGGAGTTATGCTACCACTCCTGAAATTCTTTGGAGTTTTTTTAAACAGAAAAGGAATTTCTGACAACCTATGGAAGAACTCATAAGAAGGGAACGGTCTGGGATTGGTGAATCCTCAGGTAATTTAAAATACTCCTAATGTTTAGTGTTTCAAATTACTTGAGGATTCACCAATCCCAGACCTTTCCCTTCTTAGGGAAATCATATATATAAAATCATATATATAAGAGACTAAAGCAGCATTTAAATGTGGCATGTTATTAAAATATAAACATACAATATATGAAATAATAGTATTAAGTATAGTTTTAAAAAGTATCCTGGTTAGTCTTACAAGTCAAGTATTAGCAGCTTCATTAAAGGAGCATTCTACAGCTTGCTGTCTGTCACGAATAGTTTTCCTATTTGTTGTTACATGCTTAAATTTGATAATAAGAATATAATAATTGAGGCTGGAAATAGCAGTAACCTTCCCTAAGGGATCACATGTTTTATTAGCTGTGGGTAAAAAGGATTCATTTGTGGACCGTATCTGTTTCATCACAAAGTCCTCACTTAGGGTCATGCTTTTAAAACTAAAATCAGATTTTAGTTTTAGGAACATTAGACTACCTCCACCAGATCCTGCACAGTATTCTACCTTGATCATACTACACAGAGTTGGAGCAGACAGCTAGCTGTTGTTCTTGCCTGCCACGCTAATTTCAAATATTTTGCTATGCCTAGTACATTTCTAGCTTCTCTGAATAACCACCCAATTTTAAGTGTGCCACAAACTTGCCTTATCCTGTTTTGGGGGGCCCAGGGGAGACAGGGTCTTCCATAGCTCAGGCTTAGAGTGCAGTGGTGCCATCACGGCTCATTGTAGCCTCAGCCTCCTGATTAGCTGAGACTATGGGTGTGCACCACCATGCCCGGCTAATTTTTCAAAAATTTTTTTGTAGAGACAGGTTTTCACTGTTTCTCAGGCTGATCTTGAACTCCTGGGCTCAAGCAATCCTCCTGCTTTGGCCTCCCAAAGTGCTGGGATTACAGGCCTAGGCCACCACATTGGCTTGTCTATCCTGTTCTTAAGTGAGTATATTTCTTTCAGATCAGTTGCTCTTTGAGACAAACCTCTTACGTTTTTACACTTCAGAGATTTTTTTCCTTTAAAAATTGCTTCTTTAAAACTCTGCATTCATATTTACAGGTGCATTCTATTCATATTTACAGGTGCATTCTATTCATACTTTGTCTTCACCATTACCAGTCATCGTTTTTTGTTTTTGTGTTTTTTTTGAGGCGGAGTCTTGCTCTGTCGCCCAGTTGGAGTGCAGTGGCATAATCTTGCCTCATTGCAACCTCCGCCTCCCGGGTCAAGCGATTTTCCTGCCTCAGCCTCCCGAGTAGCTGGGACTACAGGCATATGCCACCATGCCTGGCTAATTTTTGTATTTTTTCTTAGAGATGGGGTTTCGCCATGTTGACCAGACTGGTCTCAAACTCCTGACCTCAGGTGATCTGCCTACCTCAGCCTCCCAAAGTGCTGGGATTACAGGCGTGAGCCACTGTGCCCAGCCTCTAGTCTTTTTTTTTTTTTTTTTTTTTTTTTTGAGACAAGAGTCTTGCTCTGTCACCAGGCTGGAGTGCAATGGCGTGATCTTGGCTCACTGCAACCTGTGCCTCCCGGGTCCCAGCGATTCTCCTGCCTCAGCCTCCTGAGTAGCTGGGATTACAGGCATGCGCCGCCATGCTTGGCTAATTTTTTTTTTTTTTTTTTTTGAGATGGAGTCTCGCTCTGACACCCAGGCTGGAGTGCCCAGACTGGAGTGTTGCCCAGGCTGGAGTGTCGCCCAGGCTGGAGTGCAGTGGCGCGATCTCAGCTCACTGCAAGCTCTGCCTCCCGGGTTCACGCCATTCTCCTGCCTCAGCCTCCCAAGTAGCTGGAACTACAGGCACCCACCACCACACCCGGCTAAGTTTTTTGTATTTTTAGTAGAGATGGGATTTCATCGTGTTAGCCAGGATGGTCTCGATCTCCTGACCTCGTGATCCGCCCGCCTCGGCCTCCCAAAGGTGCTGGGATTACAGGCATGAGCCACTGCGCCCAGCCTGATTTTGTATTTTTAGTAGGGGCGGGGTTTCACCGTGTTGGTCAGGCTGGTCTTGAACTGCCGACCTCAGGTGATCCACCTGCCTCGGCCTCCCAAAGTGCTGGGATTACAGGTGTGAGCCACCATGCCCGGCCTAGTCATCATTTGTAACCACAAGAATTCTTCATGAAGCATGAACGAGTTAGGTAAGGGAGGCACCAAAAGTCCATTTTGTATTTTTCTTTCATATTTAAGACATGATGAGTGTAAGGATTCCCACTGGAGGAGATTGCCAAGTACAAGAATGTGTGCCTGAGCTGGGTGTGGTGGCTCACATCTGTGATCCCAGTACTCTGGGAGACCAAAGTGGTCAAGACCAGCCTGAGCAACAAAGTGAGACTGTCTCTACCAAAAAAAAAAAAAAAAAAAAAATAGCCAGGCGTGGTGGTGCATGCTTGTAGTCCCAGCTCTTCCGGAGGCTGAGGCAGGATTGCGTGAGCCCAGGAGTTTGATGCTGCAGTGAGCTAGGATGGTGCCACTGCACTCCAGCCTGGGTAACAGCCAGACCCTGTCTCTTAATAAACAAATAAGCAAGCAGGTATGGAACATTCTCAGCTGGGTTCTTTAAGCTGTCTGACAAGGTTTCGGGTTGTAATACATGCTTCTAATGTAAATATGTTAAAATGCACATAATTGAAATGGAGTAAAGTAAGCTGATTATACGTTGCTTTGTGCATTTAGACTATTACTGTATTTTATTTTCCATGAGATTATGAGGAGATTGATGATGTTAAAAGGTGAGAAGAAATAGAGAACCATTTCGATTTAGTCTGTAGAAAATGTATTTTCACTTTTTTGCTACTATCTTTGTAAATGAAATTGCAGAAAAATTACTTAGACTCCCATTGGTTTTTTTCAATTTGAAAATGAGTATCTTCGAACCAGGAATATCTTGGGGTCCACTGGGGGCTAGCTGTCTAGGGCACTTTGCTGGGAAGACTTCTGAGACCACATCTGGGCTCTGCAGGAAGGAGTGCTGTAACCACCTTTCTGGGTCTACCTGTGATCAACCCGGGTGTGCTGTGGACATCAGACTGAGGAGGAGTGCTACATTTGCTGATACCTTAGTATGCAGTATTGGTAGTGTAGAAGCTTAGATCCTCTGGAATGGCAGAAATTCCCAGATTTATATTGATAGGGACTAGATTTCTGGAAAACCATATCACTGGGAATATAGACACCCTTTTTTATGGAGAGGGAATTATGGATTTTTAATTTTAAAAGTCTAGTGTAATATATAGTGTATATTGAGACATGAATCTTTCCACTTATCATCATTCACTAATTTCTGTTAAAAAAAAAAAAACCTGACATACCTATCAGGTCTCAAGCTATTCTAATAGCACTAGTCTAATAGCATAAAATTTGCTACTGTTAAATAAATGCTTATCCCCTGCATAATTTACAGGTAGAATTTTAAGTAATTGGATCAAATAGCTAGAAGAGGCTTTCCCTTTCTCCTTTTATTTCCTTAATTGTATTTGCTTGAGATGAGTCAATATTTGTTGAGCGCCTGTGTACCAAAGCACTCATTTCATCCTCATTGAAATCCTCAAAGAGTAGAAGAGTTCTCCATGTTTCCTAATTGAAGAACCTGAGGAGGCTCTCAGGCTCCCAGTGGGTCCCTAAGCCACACAGCTAGTCAGTGATGAAGCAGGCATTTGAGTCCAGAAACAATGTAAGAAGTTAATATTATGTTGATTAGTAGGTGAGGCTTCGAAACAGAGTTAGACCCAGCATGTGTAAAATTGCTTTAAAATTTGCACCATACACTGCCTCCCCTGTCCACTGTTGCCTTTTTCTGATGCCTTCTCTACTCTTCAGCTGGAGTTACCTCTGTAAAATGAAAGTTTGATCATGCCATCACTTAAAAACCCTCTGGTTTAAAACACTCTAGTGGCTTCTCCTCTTCAGCTGCCCCATGATGCCCTGGGCAGTGTGGTCCCACCTACTCCTCAGGTCCCATCTCTTGTACCCAGTTGACTGGCCTGGCCTTTGTCAGGGAATCAAGTCCTTTCTGTGTCAGATGCATTTCCTTCTGCCTGGGACACCCTTACCATTCAGTTCACCTTACCTCTTATCCTTCAGTTTCTGGCTAAGTACTGATTCCTCAGAGACCTTTTCCTGACATCCTGCCTAGGTCTGATCTCATGGCACTTTGTGCTTTTCCTTCAGAGCACTTGTCACAGTTGAATCACGTGTGTTGCGGGTGCATATTTTTAATGTCTCGTTAGATGGCGAATTCTGTGAAACAAGAAACATGGCTCTACCCATTGTTGTGTTTGCAGTGTCTGGCATAAGCCTGGCATGGAGTTCACAGTAGAAAACTAGTGTACTATGAGATGTGAGTGGAATGTTTCCTGTTTGCTAAGTATGGGTGAGAAGAACCCACAGCTAAAAACAAGGTGTTCAAAATCCCCACTTTCTGTGGTCAGAGATCTGCATCTCTGCGGCATTTTCCTGCAGAGCTTTTTCAAAAGGTGTCATTTCAGCAGAACCAATTCTCACATTGCCCCCACCCTTCACCCCCATAAAAAGATGACTGGAGGAGGGGGAGATGTCACCTTTTGTGGGAACTTCTCTCAGCGAAGCGGAGCATGCGAATTTGACATCATGATTGTCTGAAAATTGGTAAGCCACTATCCCAGAAAGAGCTCCCTATGCCCAGGGCTTGCAATGCTAAGAGAAGGAGGCAGGAGAGAGACAGGGAGCGACACTACATTTGGTGGGGTGAGGATATGAGGTTCCTTGGACATCATGGCCTCCAGTGAATATGTGGGTGATGGCTTGGAACTTAAGCTTTTTTGCTAGTGCCCCACAAAAGAGTACCCTCCACAACCCATCTGTGGACCACAGCAGTGCCTCTCAACAAACATGTGCCCCAAGGAGTGAGTTAGAATATGGATGGTATCCCAAAGGAAGGACCCGTGGCCAGTCAGAAAGCTCATGCCCACCAAGGTGGGTGGTTCTTCTAGGGACCAACCTCTTTTGAAGTTCGTGAAGAAGTGAGTTTTTGTGTAGTCTTTTTGTTGTTGTTTGGGTTGTGTTTTTTGTCATTGTTGTTTGTTTGAGACAGGATCTCACTCTGTTACCCAGGCTGGAGTGCAGGGCCACGATCATGGCTCACTGCAGCCTCAAACTTCTGGGCTCAAAGGATCCTCCTGCCTCAGCCTCCTGAGTATCTGGGACTACAGGTGTGCACTACCTGGCCGGCTGATTTTTAAATTTTTCTGTAGAGACAGGATCTCTCTTTGTTGCTCAGGCTGGTCTCAAACACCTGGCTCCAGGAGATATTCCCGCCTCAGCCTCCCAAAGTACTGGGATTACAGGCATGAGCCACCATGCCAGGCCTCGCCCTTACTCCTTTTGAAGTCCAGGTGGTTACAGCTGCCCCTGGAAGGGGCAGATTGTGGATGCAAGCCCCCTAACAGCAGAAAAAGGCTATTGACAGTGAATGAGGGACTTCCAATTCTAGAAATAGATCCCGTTGCCTTAGGGGTGGATAGTGGACAAGGTACTAACACCAATAAATGCCTCAAAGATTTCATTTGCTTTTGAACTTGCAGAAATGGGAGTGAAGTGATTTCTGATTTTTCCCTTGGGAAAGCAGAAAGAAACCCTTCCTCGTACAGCTGCTCCCATGAGAAAAAGTTCAACAGAAAACATATTAAATGCCCATTTCCCAAGACTCTCAATCAGAGTGGTAAGAAGCAAAGGGACGACGCTACAGAGGTGTCTGGGAAACTCAGGCTGATTAAAGGTAGCCTCCTTGACTTGCAGGCTCTGTGAAGGAAAGCACACCTCATAAATCCTTTTGGACTGTTTTTTGGCTAAACTCTCAGATTTATACGAAGAACTATTTTAAATGAATCAGCGTGTCTTTGTTTGCATCTTCTGAGATTCTGAAGACTGCAGCCAAGGAGCTAGTAAGGCTGAGAAATGGATTGAGCATTTAATCGGTTGAATACTTCCTTATGTTTTCCTCGTGTGTTCTCATAACAAGCGACCTTAGTCCAACTCCTAGTAACACATGATTGTGGAATGTGCCCTCCTGAGAAATACTGCCTTATTTTTTCATCCTGAGCACATTGAAAGTCTCTGAAAATGCAGATGAGCTTGTTTGGACAATGGTAATAATAATATATGCTAGCGATACCTGCTGTGTGTCTGGTATTTTACATGTTACAACTGAGTGTCACAACAGCCCTGGTCAAATGCAGGGAAAATGAAGACCTAGAAAAACTAGGTCACTTACCTGATGTCACTCAGTTCAAGCCCAGGTTTCTGCATTTCTAAATTTTCCACAGATTCTTATCAGCATCCTTGACAAATGAGGCTATGCCAGAACCCCCAAATCATGACATTTTCATTGATTCTTTTCTTCCACCTGCAAACAACATCAGGATCTACTCCTGTTTGGTTTTTTTCTTTGAATATACGTCACCTATTTAATAATTCAGAAGTGGGATGATGCACTTAACTGTAGGTCCGTGGGCTCAGAAGTCCCTGTGGTAGTAATAGCTTAACATTGTTTGAGGACTTTCTATTGAACTGTCCACAACTGATTTTTTTTTTACCTGTATTATCTCAATTCTTTCACAGAAGCCACATCCCCCTCCCTGTCCCTTTTTCTGCCTTATTTGTTCATAGCATTAACACTTGCACACAGTACGTCCACACTAACGTACTTCAGTATACTTACTGTGTTTAACGCTGCCTGACTCCACTAGAATGTAAGCTCTGTGCGATCTGTATGACTTTTTTTTTTTTTTGAGATGAAGTCTCGCTCTGTTGCCCGGGCTGGAGTGCAGTGGCGTGATCTCGGCGCACTGCAAGCTCCGCCTCCCAGGTTCACGCCATTCTCCTGCCTCAGCCTCCCGAGTAGCTGGGACTACACGCACCTGCCACCACGCCCGGCTAATTGTTTTGTATTTTTAGTAGAGACGGGGTTTCACCGTGTTAGCCAGGATGGTCTCGATCTCCTGACCTTGTGATTTGCCCGTCTTGGCCTCCCAAAGTGCTGGGATTACAGGCGTGAGCCATCGCGCCCAGCCTTGTATGACTTTTTAGTTATGAGATAAGTCCCTACCAAGTAGGACCAGGTTCAAATGTTTTTGAATTAATGAACAATCTATATAGGTAAATATCATCCCATTTACAGATATGGAAACTGAGGTTCATGGGATTAAATAATGTGTTTCAAAGGGGAAGTAGTTATTTTTAATTTCAAAATCAGTTTTTAAGTATTCATGGTAACAGTAGCTTCCTTTCCCCCACTGTATGGTTAGAATGAAACAAAAAAAATTTTTTGGAGACAGGGTTTTACCCAGGCTAGAGTTCAATGGCATAATCGTAGGTCACTGTTGACTCCAACTCCTGGGCTCAAGCTATCCTCTTGCCTCAGCCTCCAAGTAACTAGGACTACAGGTATGTGCCAAGATGCCTAGCTATTTTTTTTTTCCTATAGCGATGGGATCTCACTGTGTTGCCTAGGCTGGTCTTGAACTCCAGGCCTCAAGTGATCCTCCCTCAGCCTGTCAAAGTGCTGGGATTACAGGTGTGGGCCATTGTGCCTGACACTGAAATGAAAAAGTTAACCAAAAAAAAAAAAAAAAAAAGAGGTTGGGGCTGGATGCGGTGGCTCACACTGCGGTGGCTCACACCTGTAATCCCAGCACTTTGGGAGACTGAGGCGAGTGGATCACTTGAGGCCAGGAGTTCGACACCAGCCTGACCAACATGGTGAAACTCCATCTCTACTAAAAACACAAAAAACCAGAATTTCAGAGCTGTGAGAGACCTGGGAGCTATTTGAACCAGCCTACCTACCCCCTTCAGCCCCATCCCCAGTGCCAGATTCTGGGACTCAGGTCTCCTTCAACCAAATGGCCTGTTCCACTGATGGACAGCTACACTGTCATTGAATGGCTGCATTGTCAGAAAATTCTTTGTATCAAGCTGAATTTTATCTCCAGGTAACTTCCAAACGTTGGTCTGAGTCCTCCCCTTTAAGAATGACGAAATAAAGGAAAATATAATCTTGGTTTACTTATACTCCTCAGTGGGTGTCTCTTGTCCCAGTCCCTCAGACACTCCTGGCTTGGCATCTTTCCAGCCGTTTTCCATCCTGTGGGCTCCCTTTGGCATGGCCTCCAGCTTGTCCGTGTCTGACTTAAGGGCCTCATCCGGGCCTGCAGGTGGGGTATTGGGAGTGCATCATACCACCCTGTTGTTCATTCATATCCCCCAAGTCTTTCAAAGTAAACTATTGTTGAACTCTAGTGGGAAGAAAGTACTGCACAGGTGGAACCAAGGATTGCTGATGATTATGAAAAATAATAGTGATGTCTGTGGACACTCTGCTCTCCATTTTTCTGTGCACTCCCTGTGCCACACCCAAGACAGTTCTTAAAAGAGTGACCACTTATTGAGTTCTGACTGTGTATAAGATACTGTCCTAGACACTTTACATACACCACCCATTTAACTTTCTAAACAACCATATTCTTAGATATGATTTAGCTCTTGAGAAGACAGATTAGAAGAGATTAACTGATGTGTTTAAGATCACATAGCTTGTAATTGGTGGAGCTTGGATCTGAAGCTATGTTTGTCTGACTCCAAATCCCAAGCTTGATAAGATTTACTTCCAGGAGCTATAAAGAGGATAAGCTTAGCTATTTGAGGCTCCCATTTTCATTCTCTCTCAAAAACTTGCAAGAGAGATATTTTAAAGGAGTGATGACATCTTTTTCCTATCATGTGAAGAGGGGAAAGAGAAAGGAAAGGGCCCATATTATTGTGTTCCTGCTTGTGCCAGCTGTTCTATATCTGTTGATCTCATTTAGTCCTCATGACAGTTCTATGAGGAGGGCACTGTCATCATCACCATTGCACAGATGCAGAAACTGTGGCTCACAGAGGATAAAGCTAGGTCACTCACACAACCCCCTGACTCCAGAGCCACCATGATTTCATGCTTCCCACCATGCTTTCATGCTTCCCACCACACAAATGCCACATCACAGAGAAGGTTTTTGAACTCTAACTGCCACTCTCCCAGAGGGTCTTTAGCTAGACCCTTACCCACTGTGATAGTCTCTCTTCTCCTGTCTGTCACTTCCAATCTTAGTAACTGACCAAATTACCTAAGCAGAAAAGGAGAAAAAAAAACCCTTCACTAAATTAGATAAGCATTCATTCATTCATTAGACTTGCTATATGCTTGGCTTTGGGCCAGAGATCAGCCATGGGAGCAAAGTAAGAAGTCCGCTGCAGTTATTAGAGCTCAGCTTTGATGTGGCCATCATGCCTTCTTCCTCCCCAGCTGTATGACCCAATACAAGAACTCATGGTGAGTGTGACAGGCACTGCCAAGACCCAGTCATTTAGCGGTGCTGACCGAGGACCGTGGACCCACCAGTCTTCAGACTGAGTTGACTTACTTTCTAAAACATAGGTACAGAAATTATTTATTTAGGGACCACTAGATTTGGAATGCTACCAAATCCCATTACTAGTCTATAATCACACAATATTTTTACCTGCATCATTCCATTTGTTCCAACAACCTGGTAATGTAGGCTGGGCAACAGTTCATTGTTATGTTTTACAAACAGAGAATCAAACTCAGAGAAAAGACTTGCCCAGGGCATCACAGTCTCCAAGGGTGACAGCAGGACACAGCCTGCTGGAGCTATGAATCTTGCTGTTGCACTCAGTTGTCCTCTTTTGCTTCACTCCTCTCTTGTACTGCCGCCCAAACTGCGTGTACATCTCTCCCCTTGCCGTTGGCCTGTTGGCTACAAACAGCCACCAGCTCAGCAAAAACAACAAGACCAAATTGGAACTACTCTTTCAGGCTCCACTTCCCAAGCCATCTGGTCACCCTGACTTTCCACCACACAGGTGCAGTGGTTTGCAGATTGTCATCAATCTTCACCTTCACTTAAAAGTCACGTTGACTCTCTACAGCACCAAGCTGCCATAAGCATTCTTTTTCTACAGGCAGGTACGTAGGTATTAATCCTAATGTCACACTAACCCATTTGAAAAACTTGCAACTTCATTTACTTTCTCTAAGGTAGACAATAAGCTCAGAAATTGTCCTGAAAGCCAAGGATTTCCTGTGATGGGCTCACTGAAAAACATCTGACCTAAAGCTCACTCTGCACTTTGCCAAAAAGCAGAAACAACCATCTCCACATCACCAGTTCAGGGTCCCAGCCTGCTGAGCCTCCAAACCCAGCCCCATCCATATCTCTAACCTTTGCCAACCACTAGTCTATCCTTGCTTTCTAAAATTATGTCCTTTCAAAAATGTTACGTAAATAGGGCTGGGCACAGTGGTTTACACCTGTAATCCCAGCATTTTGGGAGGCCGAGGCAGGTGGATTACCTGGGGTCAGGAGTTTGAGACCAGCCTGGCCAACACAGTGTAACCTCATCTCTTAAAAAATACAAAAATTCAGCCAGGTGCGGTGACTCACGTCTGTAATCCCAGCACTTTTGGAGGCCAAGGCGGGTGGATCACTTGAGGTCAGGAGTTCGAGACCAGCCTGGCCAACATGGTGAAACCCTATCTTTATTAAAAATACAAAAATTAGCCAGGTGTGGTGGTGGGCCCCTGTAATCCCAGCTACTTGGGAGGCTGAGGCAGGAGAATTGTTGACTCCAGGAGGCGGAGGTTGCAGTGAGCTGCGATTGTGCCACTGCACTCCAGCCTGGGCAACAGAGGGAGACTCCATCTAAACAAACAAACAAGCAAAAAAAAAAAAAAAAAAAAAAAAATTAGCCAGGTGTGGTGGTGCATGCCTGTAGTCCCAGCTACTCAGGAGGCTGAGGTGGGAGAATCACTTGAGTCTGGGAGGCAGAGGTTGCAGTGAGCCAAGATTATGCCACTCCAGTCCAGCCTGGGCAACAGAGCAAGACTTTGTCTCAAAAACAAAAAACAAAAACAAACTATATATATATATAATCATATGCTATGTAACATTTTGGAATTGGCTTTTTTTCAATGTAGAATAACTCCCTGGAGATTCATCCAAATTGTGGTATAGGTTTTTGTTTTTATTATCTGAAGTCTATACATTTAAAAAAGTTTTTCTATTGAGTTTGTTTTATTATTAATGAAAATCTGTAACCAAGGTTATTGAAAGTAGGTGCCACTTCCTAGCTAGGAGACCTTGTGGATTACTTCATATCTCTGAGACTCCATCTCCTCACCTTTAGAATAGGCATAAAAATTAGGACTTTATATTATATTCCCCTTATTAATGGAGGCTAATTACAAAGATGCAATACCATGTCTTCTTTAGTCACAGAGTAACTCCAAGTCCTCATATTTCTGCGATTGGGATAAACAGCAGGTCTCATGCACTGTTTTGAGTGAAAAACATTAGATTCCATGATCTACTTTTTCTGAGACCACCTGTCATTCATATTGTCCTGCAGAAAGGATCTGATTGGGTTGGTTTGTCATTTCCAACATAGAGAACCTGTAATGGGCCCACACCAAACTCCTTGAAAGGTGTTTTCCTCTCTGTGGTTCTCTTGCAGAAGCACTAGGAGAATCTTTACACTTCTCTCTCTGGCCATCAGTCAGAACAAACTGAAGCCGGAGCTTGCCTTGGAGGTGATGCCCATGCGATAGAGGTGTTCTGGCTGAGGCTGATGACCACCTAGCAGATAGGGACTAAAAGCAGAAAAGCAGAGAGTTGAACTCATCCTCAGTTTAGTTCTCTGTAGACCAAGAACAGAAGTTATTTTATCAAACATAGTAAAAAATGAAAAGTCCCCGTTGAGTCAGTGCTCTCAGAAGAGGACTCTGGATTTGACAGGTACCTAGTACTTACTGGACCCGCATCAAAGACAGCTATTCCATAAGGTTGTTATAAGGAGAAAATTCAGTGGCCAGGACAACCTTCGGCCAACTCTAAAGCCCTATATGAAACACCAGTTATTTCACCAAGTCACCTGATGTAACATGAATTCAGTCTTCTCTATGCTTTTTGTGTATGAGCAACTGTAAAAAGAAATTTCTGGGGTGTGTTTGTGTGTGTGTGTGTGTGTGTGTGTGTGTGTTAAATAAGAGTGCCTGGTTTTTCATAACTAAGACTAAGAAAATGAAAAGTATATACAGTTGTCCTTCAGTATCTGAGGGAGATTGGTTCAGGATTCCCTCAGGTAGCAAAATCTATGGAAGCTGAAGTTCCTGATAATAAACGGGATAATATTTGCATTTACCCCATGCACATCCTCTCGTATACTTTCAATCATCTCTAGACTGCCTCTAATACCTAATACAATGTAAATGCTATGTAAATAGTTGTTATACTGTACTGCTTTAAAATTCGTTATTTTTTATTCTTATAGTGTTTTCTGTTTTGAGGGTTTTTTTGTTTTGTTTTTCTTTTCCAGATTTTTTTGTTTTGTTTTGTTTTGTTTTGAGACAGAGTTTTGCTCTTCTTGCCCAGGCTGGAGTGCAGTGGTGAGATCTCTGCTCACTGCAACCTCCGCCTCCTGGATTCAAGTGATTCTCCTGCCTCAGCCTCCCAAGTAGTAGCTGCGATTATAGGCATCTGCCAACATGCCTGGCTAATTTTTTGTATTTTTGCTAGAGACGGGGTTTTACCATGTTGGCCAGGCTGGTCTAGAACTCCTGAACTCAGGTGATCCACCCACCTTGGCCTCCCAAAGTGCTGGGATTACAGGCGTGAGCCACCGTGCCCAGCCCAGATATTTTTGATCCATGGCTGGTTGAATCTTCAGATGGGAGGACCAACTGTATGTATATATAGTATAAGTATTTGCTTGTGTTTCTGAAAGGAGACAGTAGAGTTCAGTACAGAGCTGGAAACTAGCGCCCCATGGTTCCTGTGAAATGTCTGTGTACAGGAACATACAGAATCAGATGATCGCTTCTGTGTTTGCTATGATAAGGGTTACACAGAGGCCATCAGGTAGGAGACGACACAGAGAGCACAGGTTGGAGCACAGGTGGGTCGCTAGGCATATCCAGGGTCCTGGGCTGATACAGTATCTAAAACAGAAAACATCCAGTGCTTACGGGGTACTGGCTCTTTCCTCAGACTCCACATTTGAGATGCAGAGGAACTAAAACTCCATCTTTGTGTATGTAGCAAGTTTTCCCCTTTCAGCTTTGAAAATGAAAGTTTGTTTTAGGTCAGGTTCAGCCTGGGGAAATGAGAAAATCACCCACTGGGATGAGCCCTTCCCCCTTCAACACTGTAAATAGCTTTTTCCACTTGGCGCGGTCTCCTCGCCACGGTAATAAGGAGCTCTTGCTGGCTGCTCCGACCCGTGCGACAGCCAGGCCTTCAGGAGGTCTGGTGTCCCTGCACTTTGTGGTCTCTGAGCAGTCCAGCTCTGCCTGCCATCAGTTTGGGCACTTGACATTTCAGGAAATCCTGAGCCCAGATTGCAGGCCCTCTTTTTCCGTGATGATACCCACTACATTGAAATGATGGATCTGTGATAGCAACAGGAGCGATGATATACATCTTTGTATATCCCTGCCCTCCCCAGACCCCAAGTCCTATATAAAAACTTCACTTCCTGGGCTTCCTTTACCCCACCCCAATATTTGCCATGTTTTCTTGTGTTTCATGATTTTTCTGTCAGCTCCTCTGAAATGTGAGGTCCTTCAAAGCAGGACTATGTTTTTTTTCGTGGTATCCCTTGCCCCTCGCAAAATGCCTAGGACATAATAGGTGTTCTATAAATGTTTGTTGAATGAATACAGAAAAACCAGAGCGCCACTATGGGTAGGTGAGTGGGATGGGGAAGGCCCTGAAATCCAGAGCACAGGGGGACCTGGGCATGTGTGTGTATGTGAGGGCTGAGTAGGGAGATTGTTGTGGACAGAATAATGGTCCGTAGAATAAAGGTCCACATTCTGATCCCTGGAACCTGAGAACACGTTATGTTAAATGCCAGAGGGAATTCTGGTTGCAGATGGAATGAAGGTTGCTCATCCCGATTGTAAGGTCGAGAGATTACTATGGATTACCCAGGTGGGTCAGGGTAATCACAGGGTTCTTACAAGTGGGAAGCAGGAGAGTCGGAGAAGATGTGATGACAGAAGCACAGGCTGGAGTGAAGTGGCCTCGAGCCACAGAAGGCAGGTGGCCTCTAGACGATAGAAAGGTCAAGGAACAGATTCTTTCCAGAGCCTCCAGAAGGAAAGCATCTGTGCTAGCACCTTGATGTTAGCCCTTTGAGGCCCAATTTCAGACTTCTTTTTTTTTTTTTTGGAGACAGGGTCTTGCTCTAGTTGCCCAGGCTGGAGTGTGGTGGGGCAATCTTGGCTCACTACAACCTCCACCTCCTAATTTCAAGGGATTCTCCTGCCTCAGCCTCCCGAGTAGCTGGGATTATAGGTGCCCACCACCATGTCTGGCTAATTTTTATATTTTTTGTAGAGACAGGGTTTTGCCATGTTGGCCAGGCTGGTCTTGAACTCCTGACCTCAGGTGATCCACCCGCTGCAGCCTCCCAAAGTGCTGGGATTACAGGTGTAAGCCACTGTGCCTCTTCGCATTTCAGACTTTTGACCTTAAAAACAACTTGTGTTGTTTTTAAGACACTAAGTTTGTGGTAGTTTCTTACAGCAGCTATTGGAAACTAATACAGAGGCTAAGCCTAGGGGAATGGGGGGAATCCTCAGGAAGGAACCAAATAGAACACATAACCCTGGAAAAGGCAATGGCTGTGTCGGAGAAGCTCAGTCAGCATCCAAAAATACCTTTCCTGCTGAATCACCCTAGATCAAAAGTCATTGACAGTAAGATCACCACTGGTACGCAGCTCAATGTGTGTTGCCTTTAGTGTCCCCAAATAGTGTGAATACCTCTAATAATTTGAGAGAAGCCATAGTAGAATATAGTGTAAAAGAGTCAGTCAAACCTGGGTTTGAGTTTCTTTCTGCCACCTATTGACTGTAGTAGCTTACAAATGATGTAACCTCTCGAAGCCACAGTTTACTTATCTGTAAACTGAAGATAAATCTGTTTCTTAACTAGAAAGATGGTGGTGAGGACTAAATAACACATATAATGTATTTAACATAATGCCTGCCATATAGGAAACATTGGATAAGCATTATCTATTACTAAAAACATACATACTAGGAACTTTTATAACAAGGTTGTTTGAGTTATCTCTATACTCCACACTGACTCAATCATATCTAGAGTCTGTAGTGAGTTGTGGGAACAAAGAGAGCAACTGGCATGGTCAAAAGGATGTCTAGGTTGGCAGTGGTGGCACACCTGGCCCCCTTGCATTTTCATAGGACTTTTACTGTTCAAAACACTTTCCCATCTATTATCTCAAACTATCAGATGAGGTTAATATGTATGTGTGTGTGTACTGGCTGGGTGTGGCGGCTCAAGCCTGTAATCCCAGCATTTTGGGAGGCTGAGGCAGGAGGATTGCTTGAGGCCAGGAGTTTGAGACCAACCTAGGCAGCATAGCGAGATCCTGTCTCTACACAAACACACACAAACACACACACACACACACACACACAAGACTGGGTGCGGTGGCTCACGCCTGTAATCCCAGCACTTTGGGAGGCCAAGGTGGGCAGATCACTTGAGGCCAGGAGTTTGAGATCAGCGTGGCCAACATGGCAAAACCCGTCTCTACTAAAAGTACAAAAATTAGCTGGGTGTGGTGGTGGGCACCTGTAATCCCAGCTACTCAGGAGGCTGAGGCATGAGAATTGCTTGAACCTGGGAGGCGGAGGTTGCAGTGAGCCAAGATCATGCCAATGCACTCCAGCCTGGGTGACAGAGTGAGACCTTGTCTCAAAACAAACAAACAAAGATGTCTAAAGGAATGGGGAGGTTTGACATAAAAGTTATGTGAAATATTTTCATGACTGGCTACATAATTTGTGGGGCCCAGTGCAAACTGAAAAAGTGGGTCCCCTTCTTCAAAAAAGTATTAAGAATTTCAAAATGGAATGGCTGGGCATGGTGGCTCACGCCTGTAATTCTAGCACTTTGGGAGGCCGAGGCGGGCAGATCACCTGAGGTCGGGAGTTCCAGACCAGCCTGACCAACATGGGGAAGCCCCGTCTCTACTAAAAATGCAAAAATTAGCTGGGCGTGGTGGCACATGCCTGTAATCCCAGCTACTCAGCAAGCTGAGGCAGGAGAATTGCTTGACCCCGGGAGGCAGAGGTTGCAGTGAGCTGAGATCGCGCCATTGTACTCCAGCCTGGGCAACAAGAGCAAAACTCTGTCTCAAAAAAAAAAAAAAAAAGAAAAGAAAAAAGAAAAAGAATTTCAAAATGGCAACATAAGAGCATTAAACCAAGCTTGGGGCCCTTCTGGACACAGTGCCCTGTTGCACAGGTTGTGCACCCGGATGGCCCCAAACATTCCCACGTAAGAAGGGATAGACTTGACCTCAACAGGGAAAACTAGAGCTAAGGGGAAGAAACTACAGACATAATGTGAGGCAGAACTTTGTAACAAGCCAATCATAGGAGCAACTTGGGCACTTAGGTCCCCAAAGTTGTTCAAGCAGAGGGTGGGCAGCCACTTTATAGAGACTTTATTGATTTATTTGTTTTATTTATTATTTTCTTCTTCAGAAACAAGGTCTCACTCTGTTGCCCAGGCTGGAGTACAATGGTGTCATCACAGCTCACTGCAGCCTTGACCTCCTGGCAAGAGGAGCGATCCTCTTGCCTCAGCCTCCCGAGTAGCTAAGACTATAGGCACATGCCACCACTCCTGGCTAAATTTTTAAATTCTTTCTAGAGATGGGGTCTTTCTATGTTGTGCAGGCTGGTCTCCAGCTCCTGGGCTCAAGCGATCTTCCTACCTGGGTACAGTTACTTTATATTAGAGAGCAGAGAGCTCATTATCACTAGAAATGTACAGTCTGAAGAAATGAAAATCTATACTTATTGACTTCTAAAATTATTTTAAGTTCTGAAACTTGAAAATTCTATCAAATATTTTAATAAAGGGGATTTTTAAGAGCTCTCAAATTTTTCTCAAGAACTTAATACAAGCTGGGCACGGTGGTGCACACCTGTAGTCCCAGCTACTTGGGAGGCTGAGGCAGGAGGAGTTGAGCCAGGAGTTTGAGGCCAGCCTGGGCAAAATAATGAGACCCCCCCCATCTCTAAAAACAAACAAACAAAAAAACTTCATATGATTTTGAACAATATAGAAAACACACACACACCCCTTTTTCCTACCATCACAGCTTTTGATATATTTGCATAGCTTTTTTCTCAATTGTTTTTCTTTTTCTTTTTGAGATGAGGTCTTGCTTGCTCTGTCACCCAGGCTGGAGTGCAGTGGCATAATTACAGATCACTGCAACCTCGAACTCCTGGGCTTAAGTGATCCTCCCACCTCAGCCTCCTGAATAGCTGGGACTATAGGTATGTGCTACCACGCCCTGCTAATTATTAAATTTTTTGTAGAGGTGGGGTCTTGCAATGTTAACCAGGCTGTCTTGAACTGCTGGTCTCAAGTGATCCACCTGACTCAGCCTCTCAAAATGTTGGGATTATAGGCATGAGCCACCACACCCAGCTTTTCTCAATCCTTATAAGCATGTATTTATTTTTTAAGACTACTGTAATTACTCTAGTTATGCACAGTTTTTATGTCCATGTACTGTAATGATTACATAATAGTCCATTGAATGGACATAGTACAATTTATTATTCCCTAGTTATTGGGCAACTCAGTTCTTTCCAAAGTTTCATTATTATAAAGAGCAATGCTCCAGATATTTTTGCATACACAGCTCTTCTTTACTCTTGAAATACTTTGTAGAATAATTAGAACTCACTTGGTTGCAAATTGCAAAGCTCATTGGAGTAGCCTAAGTGAAAGCAGTTATGTTAATAAGCACATAGGGCAGTCACGAAGATACAATGTGCAAGACACATAGAAATTGGAAAGTTGTCAGACAATCCCCCTCACCCTTCTCTGGTCTCTTATTTCCTTCAGACTTTTGCTGCCCATACCTTGTTCCCTGCTCCCTTATAACTTTGGCCTGCACGGGGACTTTCACTGTGTTGCCCAGGCTGGAGTGCAGTGGCTTTATCATAGTTCACTGCAGCCTCAAACTCCTGGGCTCAAGTGACTCTCCCACCTTAGCCTCTCAAGCAGCTAGGACTACAGATGTGTACCGCTATTCCTGGGTAAGTTTTAAACTTTTTTTGTAGGGATGGGGTTTCACTATTTTGCCCAGGCTGGTCTCAAACTCCTGGACTCAAGCAATCTTCCCACCTTAGTCAAGGTACACTACTTTCACGTGTACAATTCAGTGACATTAAATACATACATGTTGTTGTGCGACCATCACACTATCCATCCCAATAACTTTTTCATCATCCCAAACTGTCACTCTTTTCTTTTCTTTTTTTTGAGAGAGAGTCTCTGTCACCCAGGCTGGAGTACAGTGGCACAATCTCGGCTCACTGCAACTTCTACCTCCCGGGTTCAAGTGATTCTTCTGCCTCAGCCTCCTGAGTAGCTGGGACTACAGGCGTGCGCTACCACACCCGGATAATTTTTTGTATTTTCAGTAGAGATGGGGTTTCACCATGTTGGCCAGGCTGGTCTCGAGCTTGTGACCTCATGATCCGCCCGCCTCGGCCTCCCAAAGTGCTGGGATTACAGGCGTGAACCACCGCGTCCGGCCAGCTCTTTTCTTTTAGTTATGTTGCTATGATTATTTCAGATGTGCTTCCTGGGTCTGTCCTTTGGAATGTGTGATAGGGACACTCCCCAAAGAAGGGAACAGGGTGGGTAGGCACTCCAAGTGTCTATAGAAAATATCACACTTCTACAGTTTTTTAAACTTTAGAGAACACTCTCATACATTATTTTATGCAGACGTCTCAAGGAAGGACTTGTTGAAGTAGGAAGTGTTTATCCTTATTTTACAGGAGAGTAGAATGAAGTTGAGAAAATCTGATTTGCTCAACGTTTCCCAGTTTACTTCTAGAGTCAGCACTGAAGGTCAAGTCTCCTCAACTCCAAGTTCATACCTTTTCCATGACATCTCACGGATGCGTTTCCTCAGCTAAACTTTATACTCACTTGCTTATAGTTCCTACTACACATTCTATATCAGATTATGAGAAGGAAGAGAAGAATTCTCTGACTAGAACTCATGGATGGGCTCTGTCTAGAAACTACAGGTCACAAGAAGCTGGTTTAGCTTGCCAGTTTCTATTCTGGTATGTAGGAAAAGCAATAATGAACTCTATTGTACAATGTGATGATTCTGTGAAACCACATGAAAGGGTGGGTTAATGACCTCTTAATCTTTACCTCGAGAAAATCCTGAAGTATTTTCTGGAAACAAATGGCATTACTAAGAGAATTTATTTATTATTTATTTATTTATTTATTTATTTATTTATTTTGAGATGGAGTTTCACTCTTGTTGCCCAAGCTGGAGTGCAATGGTGCGATCTCAGCTCACTGCAACCTCCGCCTCCCAGGTTCAAACAATTCTCTTGCCTCAGCCTCCTGAGTAGCTGGGATTACAGGCGCACACCGCCATGCCTGGCTAATTTTTTGTATTTTTAGTAGAAACAAGGTTTCACCATGTTAGCCAGGCTGGTCTTGAACTCCTGACCTCAAGTGATCCGCCCGCCTTGGCCTCGCAAAGTGCTGGGATTACAGGCATGAGCCACCATGCCCAGCCACTAAGAGAATTTTTTAAATGAGATAGAGAAGAAAAAGATACCATGAGAAACAAAACAGTGAATTTCAGCTGGTGTTTCATGGTTTGTATGGAGAAACATATTTTGTCTGATTGGCTTGATTACTTTTTTTTAAGTGAAAAACAACTTTGCCATAATTCTTCATTTTATAGAGAAACCACAGGAAGAAAGCTTGTGTGGACTCAAGCTACCCTGTAGTACCTTTCTAACAACTAGATTAATGTTTGCCATTAGAAAATCTTTCCATTAAATTAATGGCTACCTTTTTGGATTAGACACTCACCTTCCATTTGGCACTCAGAGTCATTTCCTTGTCACTTGTTCCAAAAGAAAATCACTTAGGATAACTGAAGACCTTAGGGTAATGAGCTTTTATTAAGTCTGTCCTGATCCTTCCTTTTGTACAAAATTTATGAATTCTCCTTGCTCTTCCATATCAAGTCGTGTATCTTCTCTTTGGCTTTCAGCCTGATCCCACCCCATCTGTGCCATCCTGATCTCACCCTATTTATATGCCATCCCGTTTTCCTCAACTCTTCAATACCAGTTATGTTAATTTCCTTGTAGTTATCAAATACGTTATATTCAGCCAATCTTTATGTCTCTACCCACGTTGTACTTACCTTTCCTTTTATCCATGTGGAATACCTTTCCCCTTTACCCATCCTGAATAGTAAAATCCTACTTATTCTCTAAGGCTTTTGATCCACATCAATTTCTTATTTCTGTGAGTTTGTATAGCTTATAAATTACTATTATCATTTATTAAGCATATTTTGAGTGCCAGGCACATTATGTCTACTCCTTATTACAATTACACAAGGTAATTATTATCATCTTCATTTCATGAAAAGGGAAACAGAAGTTTAGAAATGTTATATAATTTGCCCAAAATCACACACTCTAAATTGCTAAGCTGAGGAGTGAACTGCAGGAGTGATGGATTCTAAAGCTCTTACTCTGTCTACCTATACTTTCTCTTACACTACATACTATACGGAAGTGTTTCCTTTTTTTTTTTTTTTTTTGGTACTACGGGAGTCTCACAATGTTACCTGGGCTGATCTCAAACTCCTGGCCTCAAGCAGTCCTCCTGCCTCGGCCTCCCAAAGCACTGGGATTACAGGCATGAGCCAGTTCACCCAAATGGGCAATGTTTTCTAATTATTTTGTGTGCATTAGTCTCTGCTGAATTTGTTCATGAAATCAGATACTATATAATTTAAGAGTTGTATTCAGTCACTAGTTCTGGAGATACAGGAGTTGAGGCCAGGTGTGGTGGCTTATACCTGTAATTCCAGCCCCTTGAGAGGCCAAGGTGGGAGGATTGCTTGAGGTTGGGAGTTTGAAACCATCCTGGGCAACATACCGAGACTCCATTTCTACAAAAATAAAAAAATTTTAAAATTTTATTGTTTAAAAAAAATTTATTATTTTATTATTATGTTGGGCACACACCTGTCATTCTAGCTCCCAGGAGGCTGAGCTGGGATGATCGCTTGACCCCAGGAGTTAGAGGCTGCAGTGAGAGCGCAAGAGTGACAGCACAAGAGTCTGTCTCTAAAATCCAAAAACAGGAACATAGCCTCTTTTTGCTATTTCCTCTGCCATCCCCAGGGTGGGGGCCTTTTCCTTGTGTTAACCAGATGGCTTCTGGAAGTCCAGCCTTCATATTTCTGTTCCAGGCAAGAAGGAGGAAAGGATTAAGGGTAAAGGGTAGGTTTCCCAGCCAAATTTTAAAGACTTTTTCTGGAAGTCTCGCTAATAGCTCATTGGCCACCAAATTTGCAAGGAAGGCTGGAAAATATTTTATAGCCAGGTACACTGACATACCCAACAATAAAGGTTTTTTGTTTCCAAGAAAGAATGGCTATTAAGTAGTGGTCTCTGCCACAGAGACCCATGTCTCAGTCTTTTACATTTTCATAGCACCTAATAGGTGCCCCATAACACTGGTGGGCAGTCTAACATAGAGAAATAGACAGTAGCAAAGGTAATTTAAAAAACGGATGCATGAAGACACTGAGAAGATGGCCATATGTAGTTTCTAATTTATAAGTACTTTATAAGAAAATAGATACCCACTGATTTCTCCCTAAACAATCCTGCTGTCCCTCAGGATTCACGTATGGAAGGATTATAACAGTAACATCAAGGTTAAGAAAATAAAGCCAGGTCATTTGAAATTATTTTGAGTGGATTCATTGTATTTCCTTTAGCCTGTTTTTTTTGTTGTTGTTGTTGTTGTTTTGCATATATTGTGTTTCCATTTACGAAATTGGCATTAGAAAATGTTCCATTTTGCAAAAGGGCTCGCTGTAAACAACCACTTCAGACAGAATGACCAGTACTCAGACAGTATCTGATGAGCACTTAGAACAAAAGAGTAATTACATTTCCAATAGAAATTAGCACTGTGCATTCTGGAACTCTCCTGAGTTTCTTATCTTGATTTGCAAAATAATTCAAAGCTTCAAAGAAAAATCTAGGCTGGGCGTGGTGGCTCACGCCTGTAATCCCAGCACTTTGGGAGGCTGAGGTGGGTGGATCACCTGAGGTCAAGAGTTTGAGACCAGCCTGGCCAATATGGCAAAACCCCGTCTCTACTAAAAATACAAAAATTAGCTGGGCGTGGTGGTGCGTGCCTGTAGTCCCAGCGACTTGGGAAACTGAGGCAGGAGAATTGCTTGAACCCAGGAGGCAGAGGTTGCAGTGAGCTGAGATCGCGCCACTGCACTCAAGTCTGGGCAGCAAAGCAAGACCCCATCTCACAAGAAAAAAAAAAAAAAAAAGAAAAAGAAAAATCTGTGTTTTTCCAGCCCCTAGGTTAACATCAAGAGAGGGTCTTTGAGATACAAAGCACATTTCTTTAATTTTTAATTTTGATACAGTCTCAAATTCTGTGTGCCCTTAACCCAGAATCATCAATTGTTTTAGCTCATTTCCTTTATCATTCTCTCTCTGTCTCTGGCATGTGTGTATGATTTTTTTCTGAAAAAATTTTAGAGTAAATTGGAGCCATGAGATGTTAGGAGACCCCTAAACACTTCAGATTATTTGCTGAAAAAAAGGACATTCTCTTATATAACCATAGCAAAATGATTAAAACAAGAAATTTAACTTTGATACAATACTGTTATCTAATCCAGGGTCCATGGACAAATTCCATTAATTGCCCTAATAATGTCTTTTTGTAGTTGTTTGACTTTCCCAGGTCAAATCCAGTCTTAGACCATGCAGTGCATTTGGTTGTCTCATCTCTGTAATCTTCTTTAATCTGGAAGAGTTCCTCAGCTTTTCATTGACTTTCTCTTACTTGAAATTTTTTAAAAAGTACAGGGCAGTTATTTTGTAGAATGTTCTACAAAATAACTCCTACAAGTATTCTGACTTGCCTAATGATCACATTCAGGTTGTATATTTTGAGCAGAAATACCACAGAAGTAGTGTTTTGTCCTTCTCAGCACTTTATATGAGAAAGTACATGATGCTGCTTTATCTTAGAACATCACGTACTTTGATCTCTGGTTAAGGCGGTATCCACCATATTTCCCCACTGTAAAGTGACTATTTTTCCTTTTTTTTTTTTTTTTTTTTTGAGATAGGGTCTCTCACTCTGTTGCCTAGGCTGGAGTGTAGTGACTTGATTTCGGCTCACTTCAGTCTCACCCTCCCTGGCTCAACTGATCCTCCCACCTCAGCCTACTGAGTAGCTGGGACTACAGGTGTGCGCCCCCACACCCAGCTAGCTGTTGTATTTTTTGTAGAGATGGGGTGTTGCCGTGTTGTCTAGGGGGGTCTTAAACTCCTAGGCTTAAGCATTCCACCCACCTCTGCCCCCCAAAGTCCTGGGACCACATGCATGAGCCACTGCACTGGCCACCGTTTTTTCTTTTGCAATTAAAAAACAATTGGTCACTGAGGCCAGGTGCGGTGGCTCACACCTGTAATCCCAGCACTTTGGGAGGCAGAGGTGGGTGGATCACCTGAGGTCAGGAGTTCAAGACCAACCTGGCCAACATGGTGAAACCCCATCTCTACTAAAAATACAAAAATTAGCTGGGCCTGGTGTGTGCACCTGTAATCCCAGCTAGTTGGGAGGCTGAGGCAGGAGAATCACTTGAACCCGGGAGGTGGAGGTTGCAGTGAGCAGAGATCGCACCACTGCACTCCAGCCTGGGTGACAGGGTGAGACTCTGTCTCAAAAAAAAAAAAAATTGTCAGGAGGTTTTGGGGACTATGTTAATATTCTGTTCCTCATCAAACACTCACCCACTAGTTTTAGCATTCACTGATGATTTTCAAATTCTATCCTCCCATTTATTAATTGGCTTTTTACTGCAAGAATGAGAAACTTTCTCTTCTAAGGGATGGTTTCTGATACAACACGTCTATGAGTTTCTGAGACTTTGTCTCAGTTTATTTGGGCTGCCATAACAAAATATTGTAGACTAGGTGGCTTAAACAACAGAAATTTATTTCTCACAGTTCTGGAGGCTGGGAAATCCAAGATCAAGATGCCAGCTGGTTCAGTTCCTTGTGAGAGCTCTCTTCCTGGTTTGCAGATGGCCACCTTCTTGCTGTGCCCTCACACATTGCAGAGAGAGTGCTGGTATCCCTTCCTCTTTTAATAAGGGCACTAATCCCACCAAGGGCTCCATCCTCATAATCTCGCTAAACCTAATTACTTCCCCAAAGCCTCACCTCCTAATACCATCACATGGGGGATTAGGGCTTCAAAACACGGATTTTGGTGTGGGGGAACACACAGTCCATAACAGACTTTTTTTTTTTTAACTTTTTAACTTTTAAGTTCAGAAGTACATGTGCAAGTTTCTTATGTAGGTAAACTTGTGTTGTGGGGTTTGTTGTACAGATTATTTCATTACACACTCTTAAGCCCAGTACCCATTCGTTATTCTTCCTGATCCTCTTTCTCTACCCTCCAATAGGCCCCAGTGTCTCTTGTTCCCCTCTATGTGTCCATGCGTTCTCATCATTTAGCTCACACTTGTAAGTGAGAACATGTGGTATCTAGTTTTCTGTTCCTTCATTAGTTTGTTAAGGATAATAGCCTCCAGCTCCATCCATGTTCCTGCAAAGGACATGATCTCATTCTTTTTTATGGCTGCATAGTACTCCATGGTGTATGTACCATATTTTATTTTCAAATACCAATGATGGGCATTTAGGTTGATTCCAAGTATTTGCTATGGCGAGTAGTGCTGCAGTGAACATACATGTGAATATATCTTTATGATAGAACGATTTGTATTCCTTTGGGTATATACCCAGTAATGGGATTGCTGGGTCAAATGGTATTTCTGCATAACAGACTTTTAAAAGGAAAAATAGGCTGGGTGTGTTGGCTCACGCCTGTAATCCCAGCACTTTGGGAGGCTGAGGCAGGCAGGTCACTTGAGTTCAGTAGTTTAAGACCAGCCTGGGCAACATAGTGAAACCCCATCTCTACAAAAAATACAAAAAAAATTAGCTGGGCACAGTGGTGCATGTCCGTAGTCCCAGCTACTTGAGAGGCTGAGATGGGAGTATCACCTGAGCCCTGGAGTTTGAGGCTGCAGTGAGCTATGATCATGCCACTGCCCTCTAGCCTGGGTGACAGAGTGAGACCCTGTCTCAGGAGAAAAAAAAAAGGAAAAATAAATACCCACTATTGTAAGAAGATGGTATCCTCATTGGATTGGGTAACTGATATTGAGCCTTGACCCCTGCATAGTAAAAGTAATTCCTTCCTTTGTCCTTTGTAATGATTCTTTTACTTTGTTCATATTTTTACTATCAAATGGTGAGCTAATTTTGCTCCTTTCCTCTTATTTGGCACTGAAGTCTGTTTCTTATTTGTTGCTATCAGATAAATCTGAATTTAAATTCCATACTTCCAGTTGTGTGTGACATTGGCCATGTTATTTGGGCCTCACCCTCCTTGCCCACAAAATAGGGATGATAACCCTTATCTCAGTGCTATTGGGAGGATTAAATCAGATAACGTATGTAAAAACATGTAACATGGTATCTGATAAAAAGAATACAATTAGTAAATAAGTTTTCTGTCTTTGACTTAAAGTTCCAATTTTTAGTGACACATTTTTATAAGTTTCAATGACTTAATTGCTCTCTTCAAGGGGTTAGATGATCTTCTTAGATAAGAAGTTTGCATCAGAAAGAGAAAGGATTAGTGGTATCTATCAACTTTTACATGATTTGTGTGGTTATACCAGTCCCTCCCTCCCTCCCTCCCTCCCTCCCTCCCTTCCTTCCTTTCTTCCTTTCTTCCTTCCATTTGCCACATAGTTAATGGCATTTGCTATATGCTAGTCACTATTCTGGGTGCTAGGGATAGAACAGCAGACAAAATCTCCTGACTTGACATCCATTATATTCTAATCAAAGGAGACAGATGATAAATATATAAATAAACTTTTAAAATTAGATAGGGTAAGTGCTATGGAGAAAAATAACACTGGGAAGGAGAATAAGAATTGTGAGGGGATTGCTATTTTAATTAGTCAGGGAAGGACTCACTGATGAGACAACACATGAGCAGAGACCTCAAGGAGATGAGGCATTGAGTTATTAGTGTAGCTGAGGGAAAAGCGTTCCAGGCAAAGGAAATATTTCAGACAAGAAACCTAAGGCATAGATTGACTTACTGAGGGTTCACCCAAAGGAATCATAAAAAGAGCTCAGGCAGTTCTGTGGAGCACAAAAACACTCTACTTCCCTTCTGTGAGCTTGATTATAGGTAAGAGCAGAATGGCTGGACAGCTGTTGGGGTTGTGCCAGCTGTGGCAGCGTGCCACGCAGACTTCCCTTCCAGAAAGAACCTGCTGCAAGGAATGCAGAACGCTGACAGCTTCTAGTCTGGATCCACCCCAGCATCCAGGGTGCAGCACTTTCTCCCAGGCAGCCCTCTACCAATGACTGAGCATGGCAGGGGTACTAGGGCATGACCACTGCCATGCAACGTGGGACTTTTTTGAGGGCAATCCTTGTGCCAGAGCTCCCTATTAGGCTGACCAGGACATTTCCAGAGCTGCACCACAGTCTGAGACTCTATTCACCCACACAATCATCCTTCCTTACCCTTCTCCTTTTACAAGCCTCAGACCTGCAACATGGTTTTAAGGCTTTCCCTGCCCTCTCCAGCTCCCTCTTCCTTTTGCCTTTCACAGTTATTACAACCCAGTGCTTTCACTTATAAACCCATCCTGGTGCCTGTCTGCTTCCTAGAGGACCCAAATTGACAGGAAGCGGAACAAAAATACATGTAAGGAGATTTTGCTCTGCTTCTTCTGCCGGCATCAGTCAGAGATAGACCAAGGGAATTGGAGGAGGGCAGTCGGCAGTGATGTCAAGGATGATCAAAGTTTCGAGATAATTGGCTGGGTGCAGTGGCTCACACCTGTAATCCCAGCACTTTGGGAGGCTGAGATGGGCGGATCACTTGAGGTCAGCCTGGCCAACATGGTGAAACCCCATCTCTACTAAAAGAAAAAAAAAATTAGCCAGGTGTGGTAAATTAGCCAGGTGTGGTGGTGTGCACCTGTAGTCCCAGTTACTCAAGAGACTGAGCCAGGAGAATAGCTTGAACCCAGGAGGCAGAGGTTGCAGTGAGTCGAGATCGCACCACTGCACTCCAGCCTGGGCAACAGAGTGATACTCCATCTAAAAAAAACAAAAAACCCCAAAAGTTTCCAGATAACCAGCTCTACCCAGGCCATCTCAAATAGTATACAATCTGAATGAAACCTGCTTATTTAAAAAAAATGGTTTTTATTTTTTTGAGACTGCCTAACTCTGTTGCCCAGGCTAGAGTGCAGTGGCGCAATCTCAGCTCACTGCAGCCTCTACCTCCTAGGTTCAAGCAATTCTCCTGCCTCTGGCTCCAGAGGTGCACTCCGCCATGCCTGGCTAATTTTTGTATTTTTTAGTAGAGATGAGGTTTCACCATGTTGGCCAGGTTGGTCTCAAACTCCTGGCCTCAGGTGATCTGCCCGCCCTCTGCCTCCCAAAGTGCTGGGATTACAGGTGTGAGCCACTGCACCTGGCCAAACCTTCTTATTTAAAATGCAAACAATTTCAAAAGCAACTCCTCTAGAAGCTCATAGCAGCCAGATGGCTGCCCCTAAGCTTTTCTTATGTAGAAATTCTGGGGCTACCAATGGAACAGTTCCAAACCCTTCCTTCCTTCTTTCCTGTTCTAGAGGAGGAAGGGATTAGCTAACAAACTAGAATCCAGGGGGGCAGCGTGCTTTGAGAGGGGAAGCTGGCACTCATTTTCACTGCTGGAAGCCAAACCGTGGGATTCTGAGGTCTCCAGGGACATTTTCTAGATCTCCAACTGTGATGATCATCTCTGTCTTATACCCCAGGCTGTGTTCAAAGGACTGCCTGTGTCTGGCTCACCATGCTCCACTGACATTCCAGCCAGAAACCATTCTCGGTGTTGATAGAACAATGCTCTAATCACATAGCTGAAATTACAGTTTGGGGCTCAATAAGGTAATGGTTCAAAAGATTTTCTGTGGAAATCTCTGCAGTCCCATCTGGAAAGCAAACACTGGCTGGATAGGTAGTAGCGTTGGGGTGGGATCACATGGAAGGCATGTAGACAAAGTTATGACCCAGGATTTCAGAGTGAATATCCTCTATGTGCCAGGCACTTTTACAGGTTTATATTTCTAGAACCAACCTATGATGCTGGAATGATAATTTGAGGTAATCCCTGTTTTATGGCTTAGAAAAATGTGGTTTGGCTGGGTGTGGTGGCTCATGCCTGTAATCCCAGCATTATGGGAGGTCAAGGCAGGAGGATCGCTTGAGTCCAGGAGTACAAGAGTAGCCTGGGCAACATGGCAAAACCCCATCTCTACAAAAAATATAAAAAATTAGCCAGGCATGGTGGTATGCACCTATAGTCACAGCTACTCGGGAGGCTGAGCTGGAAGCATTTCTTGAGCCTAGGAGGTCGAGGCTACAGTGAGCTGTGATCATGCCAGTGCACTCTAGCCTGGGTGACAGAGTAAGACCCTGTCTCAAAAAAGGAAAGAAAAAAGAAAGAAAGAAAAAAATTGATTTGTAAAGTTAAGTGATTTTTTCCAAGGTCATAGTGCTAGCAAGTAGCAAACCTAGGATTCGAGCCAGGTCTTCAGATGCTAAATTTAGTGACTTTTTAATGATTTTACTGCTGGCTAACTATTCTCTTGCCTTTATCCATATTCCTGTGTCAATAATAGTATTTTACCCTGTGGCCTCACCTCTTTGCTTAGTTGCTTAGATAAAAATCATGTTGATTTTTAGTGAGGCCGTGGTTGGGAAGCACTGTAGTGGACATTTGCTAGTTTTTGACATCCCCGACATCCCTTTTCCTCCTATTTTGGTAAATGTATTCTAATTTCTCTCTGGATAACTCTCTCTCTTCCCCGACTTGGAATCCATGTTTCGGGTGGGCTCTAACCATTGCTTCGGGAATGGGATCTGTGAATCCCCCTAAATCAGTGTACCTATTCCTCTTGGCCACTGCAGTTTGGATTGGTCTGTAATCAGTCAGGACCCGTAAGTCTTTTTGCCAGTGCTTCTGTGAGCAAGCACTCTTCTCCTGTGGGCCTGAACCTGGAAGAACGTGTGGCTGGAGCTGCTATAGCCATCTTGCTGTTCTAATTGGTGAGGCCTATCCAAGAATGGGGCTCAGACAGTGAAAACAGAGCTAAGAGGGGAGAAGGAAGAAATCAGGTTCTGGTGTCACTTTTTTTTTTGAGACAGAGTTTCGCTCTTGTTGTCCAGGCTAGAGTGCAATGGCACGATCTCGGCTCACTGCATCCTCTACCTCCCGGGTTCAAATGATTCTCGTGCCTCAGCCTCCTGAGTAGTTGAGATTACAGGTGCCTGCCACCACGACTGGCTAATTTTTGTATTTTTAGTAGAAATGGGGTCTCACCATGTTGGCCAGGCTGGTCTCAAACTCCTGACCTCATGTGATCTGCCCACCTTAGCCTCCCAAACTGCTGGGGTTACAGGTGTGAGCCACCACCCCTAGCCTTTTTTTTTCTTTCTTTTTTTTTTTTTTTTTTTTGCTTTGGACCAGGCCATTCTTGAAGCCACAACTACCTCCAAGAACTTTCAGTTCTGTGATACAACAAGTTCCATTAATGCTTAAGCTAATAATGTAGGTTGGGTTTTCTGTTACTTTCAACTGCAAGAGGCTTACCTGTTACAACAGACTCTCTCAATTCAATTTCACCCAAGTTAAGAATCAATTAGGACTCAACAACAAAAAGACAAATGACCCAATTTAAAATGAGCAAATGTTATGAATAGACATTTCCCCAAAGAAGGTGTACAAGTAGCCAATAAACTCTTGAAAAGATGTTCAACGTCATTAATCATTAAGAAAATGCAAATCAAAACCACAATGAGATATAACTTTACACCCCCTAGGATGGCTGTAATAAAAAATATGAACAACAAGTGTTGGCAAGGATATGGAGAAATTAGAACCCTTGTACCTTGCTGGTAGGAATGTAGGTGGTACAGCCACTTTGGAAAACAGTCTGGCAGGTCCTCAAATGATTAAACATAGAGTTACCAGCTATTCTACTCCTAGGTATATACCCCCAAAACATGGAAATATATGGCCGCAAAAAGTTTTGTACAAGAATGCTCATAGTACTTGTATTCATAACAGCCAAAAATGGAAAACAACTCAAATGTCCAGCAATAGGAGATTGGATAAACACATTGTGATATATTCATACAAAGGAATACTACTCAGCAATAAAAGGAACGAGCCACTGGTACATGCAAAAAAAAAAAAAAAAAAGGATGAATCTAGAACCATGGTGAGTGAAAGACACCAGATGCAAAATAATAAATACGGTATGACTCCATTTACATGCAATCCCAGAGCAGGCAAACTAATCTATGGTGATAGGATTAGAAAGTGGTTCCCTCAGCAGGGTGCAGTAGCTCACACCTGTAATCCCAGCACTTTGGGAGGCCGAGGTGTGTGGATCATGAAGTCAGGAGATCGAGGCCATCCTGGCTAACATGGTGAAACCCCATCTCTACTAAAAATACAAACAATTAGCCTGGTGTGGTGGTGGGCACCTGTAGTCCCAGCTCCTCGGGAGGCTGAGGCAGGAGAATGGCATGAACCCAGGAGGTGGAGCTTGCAGTGAGCCGAGATTGTGCCACTGCAGTCCAGCCTCAAAAAAAAAGAAAGTGGTTCCCTCAGTGAGAAGGAAAGGGGGTTTGACTAGAAAGGGACAAGAGGATGAGACAACTTTCTGGAACTTTAGATGGTAGTTACATTAATGTGTACAATTATCGAAATCTGTTGGCCAAGCATGTTGGCTCAGGCTTGTAATACCAGTGCCTCAGGAGGCTGAGGTGGGAGGATTGCTTGAGGCCAGGAATTCAAGACCAGCCTGGGCAACATAGCTTGACAAAAATAAAAAATAAAAATTAGCCCAGTATGGCTACGTATGCCTGTGTCTCCAGATACTTGGGAGGCTGAGGTGGGAGAATCACTTAAGCCTAGGGGATTGAGGTTGCAGTGAGCCATGATCACTCCACTGTACTTCAGCTTGGGTGACAGAACGAGACCCTACCTCTAAAATTTAAAAAAAAGTCATTGAACCGAACCTTAACATCAGCGTATTAAATACTTCACTTAAAAATAATTAATAGTTGGAATGATACAGAGAAGATTAGCATGGCCCCTGTGTAAGGATGACAGGAAAAAAAATTCTATGTTTTAAATGTTTACTGCTTCCTCACTTTTCATGAGAAAAAAAGCATCCACTGAATTTATATGATCTAACAGGTGTGAAAAACTCCCTATCAAAAAATATCATTCCCCACCAACTTAAGAATAGACTGAATTTCCCCTGATTAGTTTCTCCTTTGATATACACATTGAAAGCCCTAAATAAAATGCTATATTAATTTTTCCCAATGAATATTTTAGCATGACACTAATGTATGAAGTTGGTTCTCCTCCCTCTTAGCAAGGTACTGCAACCCACTATTGACTATGTTAAAGTCTAAAAATAAAGAAGATAATAAAAGTAATAAAATGGTGATTACCTTCTTCAAGTTGCTTAGAAGTCTGAAGAGGCACCAACTCTTACAAACTAAATTTTCACTTTGGCTGACTCAGTCTCATTTCTTAATTTTTTCTTTACATCACCCCACCTCCCAGCCTTATGCCTCATCACTTACTACCTACTGATCAGTTTAATGGGCCTCAGAAAGGCTATGGAAATCCTAAAATGCAGAGTCATTTACAAACTTCCCTCACATGAGCCCTCCAATCCCTATGGGTGCACTGGAATATCCATTTTGTTGGTGATTTATGGGTTAGAAAGAGCCCTTAATTGCTTCACTAGCATGGACTTCTCTGTGACCAAGAAAAAATAAAAAAATAAAAAAATGGCAATGTGGGCTCCTTTGAGAGAAAGGAGAGGGGACATTACACAAGAAAAATGTTATTTTCCAATATCAAGAAAATTCATTAGCAAACACATTAAAATGCACTCAAGTAGTCATCACCCTGAATTGTTTTGGAAAAGGCCCTGCTTTGGAAAAACACAGGGCAAAAACATTACTCTTGTAGCTTGGCACAATGAGATGGCAGGATGACAAATGTCTTATTCTCTACTGTGCCTTAATATTTAGAGGACATCTGCTACTGTGTATTCCTCCCTCCCTTGAGTCACCTTTATCACAGTCTAACGTTGTGTTATTGCTGTTTCCCATGTCCACCTGTTACAGTGATAAGACACAGCTGTACTCCTCCAGTATGTGGGAAGCAAATGAGTCTGAAAGTCAGGAGGCTGAGCTTCTAGTTCCATTGTTGTACTAACTATGCACTCTTAGGCAAATATTGCAAATTCTCTTGGTTTTAGTGTCCTCTTCTAAAAAAATGGGAAGTATAATAGACATGGTTCCAATGAAATGGAAGCTAAGTCTTACCCCCAGGCATTAGGGGTTCCTTAGGTCATAGAACCAATATATAGAAAAGGGGTAATATATCCTTAACAGCAGTAATTAGATTGCTGCTACCTAGCGGGGATAGACAGGGAGAGCTATGTTTAGAACTCAGGGATTCAATGAACAACTTCTTAGCATTCCTTGGCCCACTGTTCTGGTGAATGGAAAAGTGCAGCCACCCAATAAAGACAAGATTATCAATGCCTCATATCCTACACGCAACGAAGTTTGGGTCTCTCCAAATCTACTTTGGAAAATAGGCAAAAGCATCTTTACTATGGGACAAGTAGCCTGGGACAAGGAAAAAGGTAAAACACATCCTGCTGAAGTGCCGATGGAAGGAAAGAACAGAAGTGGGAGGTGGAAGAAGGTAGCCTTGAGTACCAATGTACGCCTTGTCATCAGCTGCAGAAGCAGGGATTATAACAGCTATAATTTAAATCCCTTGGTCATTTCTCCTTCTCCCCAAACCTTGTATTTTAAAAGAAAAACACTGGAAGTGGCTACCACTTTAGATTCAGACGGACATGTGAACAACTTCTCATCACTTCGGATCTACTCTTTGCCCAGCTCCATTCTGCTGGGTTCTCTGGGTGGTTGACCTAAATGCATTGCATCCACAGATTCTCTTGTCTTCTGGCTTCTGGTTGGGTTCACCAACAAGGAGCACAGACAGAAGATTGGGAGAGGGAAGGGAGAGGAGCAAAATCAGGGTATTTATCCCCTTTGTATGCGGTCACTGTGGTGTGGACTGGCTCTGTCTTTCCACTAGAGGTCATAGCTCAAGTTGAGTAGCTCTCTCCACATAGCTCTATCTCCTGGTTCTAATAAAGGCTTTCTTTCCCTGCCCCAAAGGGTGGGAAAGGCACCCCAAGTTACTAGTTCTAGAGTATTTTGTTACCACATTTGAGCTCCTTAAACCCTGCCCACACCTTTGTAGATGGTCCTTTTAAATTAAACTCTTCTCAAATTACCAAATTTGTACAAATAATTTCTTTTCTAGTGGAGCCCTAACTAATATGGACAAGTTTCTTATAGGAACCACAAGTGGTAATTGTAAAATCAGATAAGATTTATTAAAATGTGTGTGAAGTTTCTTTGAAGAATATAATGCCTTTGTAGAAGTTCAAATGAGACATATGCAGTACATATAGAAAAGTGCATAAAGCATATATGTGCAGTTTGAATGATTATAAAATGAACATCTACATAACCAGTACTGTGATCCAGATATAAAATTTTGCTGCCTCCCCAGAAGCACAGTGAATCGTTTCCAGTTTCAAGCTACTCAGAACAATGATGCTGAGAAAATTCTTGTACTTGTCTGTAGTACACATTGCAAGAGTTTCTCTAGGACAGTGGTTCACAGTCTTTTGGTGATAATGTGGATTGGTGATGAGAGTTCTCATAGGCTGTTGCTGAGAGTATAAATTAGCACAACCACTTTGAAAGAGTGTGGCATTGTCTAACAGAACTAAAGTTATACACAGCTTTTTTTTTTTTTTTTTTTTTTTGAGACGGAGTTTTGCTCTTTTTGCCCAAGCTGGAGTGCAATGGCGTGATCTCAGCTCACTGCAACCTCCGCCTCCCGGGTTCAAGCGATTCTCCTGCTTCAGCCTCCCATGTAGCTAGGATTACAGGCATGCACCAGCACACCTGGCTAATTTTATACTTTTAGTAGAGATGGGGTTTCACCATGTTGGCCAGGCTGGTCTTGAACTTCTGACCTCAGATGATCTGCCCACCTTGGCCTCCCAAAGTGCTTTGATTACAGGCGTGAGCCACCACGCTCTGCCTTCTTCTTCTTCTTCTTCTTTTTTTTTTGAGACAGAGTCTCGCTCTGTCACCCAGGCTGGAGTGCAGTGGCATGATCTCGGCTCACTGCAACCTCTGCCTCCCGGGTTCAAGCAATTCTCCTGCTTTAGCCTCTCAAGTAGATGGGATTACAGGTGCCTGCCACCACACCTTGCTAATTTTTGAATTTTAATAAAGATGGGGTTTCATAATGTTGGTCAGGCTGGTCTTGAACTCCTGGTCTCAGGTGATCCACCCACATTGGCCTCCCAAAGTGTTAGGATTACAGGAGTGAGCCACCATGCCCGGCCTCACATCTTCTGACATAGCAACTTCGCTATTTTGCATGATGTTTGCTACAGATTTTCTGTAGGTACCCTATTTCACTTAAAAGTTTCCTTTTATTTCAAGTTTGCTGATTTTTAAAATTAAGAATACATATTGACTTTTTTTTTTAACCATTCACTTTTCCTAAATATATTGGGGGGGGGGTCATATGGGTTCTCTCCTTTATTCTATTAACATGACAAATTACATTGTTTCATTTTCAAATATTAAACCAATTTTGTATTCCTAGGATACACTTGCTTTTCTATATTATCTTTTTGTATTGCTGGATTCAGTTTGCTAATATATTGTTTCAGATTTTTTTCAACATACATCCATAGGTCAAATTAGATTGTAATTTTATTTTGACATAGTCTTCACATGAATTTTAGTGTCTTATGAGTTTGAGAGTTGTTCCTTCTTGTATGTGTTTATGTAATATTAAAATACTTTGTTCCTTAAAAGATTGGTGGAAGTCATATGAAAGGCTTCTGGTCCTGGAATTTTCTTTGTGGATTTTCTGTAAACGATTCAACTTATTTAATGATCATAGGATTGTTCGAGATTTTTGTTTTTGTTTTTTGTATTATTTTTATTTTTATTTTTTTGAGACGGAATCTCACTCTGTCCCCCACGATGGAGGGCAGTGGCGCGATCTTGGCTCACTGCAAGCTCCGCCTCCTGGGTTCACCCCGTTCTCCTGCCTCAGCCTCCCGAGTAGCTGGGACTACAGGCGCCCGCCACCACGCCCGGCTAATTTTTTCGTATTTTTAGTAGAGACGGGGTTTCACCGTGTTAGCCAGGATGGTCTCGGTCTCCTGACCTCGTGATCTGCCCGCCTCGGCCTCCCAAAGTGCTGGGATTACAGGCGTGAGCCGCCGGGCCCGGCCTTTATTATTTTTTTCAAATGCTCTCTTAGCAGAATCATGTTCATGTTTTTAAAATATCTTTATAAGGTTTGTTGATTTTTCCCCGATGAAATTAGTCCATATAGTGTACTTTGTCAAATGGATTAGATTTAAGTCATTCATTATATCCTTTTATTATCTTTCCAGTGTGTACAACATCTGGAGTAATATCCCCTTTTTCACTCCTGATAGCGTGTGTGTGTGTGTGTGTGTGTGTGTGTGTTCTCTCTCTCTCTCTCTCTCTCTCTGTATGTATGTGTGTCTCTCATTAGTTTCACCAAATATTTTACACCTTTTTTAGTCTTCTCAAAGAATCAACTATTGGCTTTATTGTTCCTGTTACATAGTTTTTCTATTTTACACATTTTTGTTCTTATTTGTTATCTCTTTCCTACTTCTTTATTTCTGTTTATCTTGCAGCTTATTTCTAATATCCTGAGGCAGATGCTTGACTTACTTACTTTTAGCCTTTTTTCTTTTCTAATATAAAATGTAAGGCTATAAATCAGCTCTGTAAACACTTTTTAGCTATTACCCTATATGTTTTTGATATGAAGTAATTTTTAAGTCACTCACACATTTTAAAAAGGCACAGTTCACAGCCAGGTGCAGTGGCTCACACCTGTAATCCCAGCACTTTGGGAGGCTGAGGCGGGAGGATCACCCGAGATCAGGAGTTCGAGACCAGCGCCGGCCAACATGGTGAAACCCCATTTCTACTAAAAATACAAAAATTAGTTGGGCCTGGTGGCAGACACCTGTAATCCCAGCTACTTGGGAGGCTGAGGCAGGAGAATCACTTGAACCCAGGAGGTGGAGCTTGCAGTGAGATCCTGCCACTGAACTCCAGCCTGGGCGACAAGAGTGAGAATCTGTCAAAAAAAAAAAAAAGGCAGAGTTCACAATTAAAAATTTTTTCCACTATGATTTCTTCTTTGACCCATGAGTTATTTAAAAGCATGGTTTTAATTTTCCAAACATGGAGATGCTCTGTTTACCTTTTTATTATTGATTTATAGTTAGATCACTTTAGGTCAGAAAACATCCTCTGTATTAATCCTTTAATATCTGTTGAGGCTTGTTTTAATGACTATGTATGAGTCCATTTTTGAAATATTCTGTGTGGACTTCAGAATTTTTTTCTGCAGTTGTTGAATGAAATATAGATAATCTCTATTAGATCAGTTTTATTAATCATTATTGTTTGAATCCTCTAATGATTTATTTTTATTTTTATTTTTTTGAGACAGAGTCTCTCTCTGTTGCCCAGGCTGGAGTGCAGTGGCGCAATTTCAGCTCACTACAACCTCCGCCTCCTGGGTTCAAGCAATTCTCATACCTCAGCCTCCCGAGTAGCTGGGACTACAGGCTGTGCCACCATGCCCAGCTAATTTTTATATTTTTAGTAGAGACAGGGTTTCGCCATGTTGGCTAGGCTGGTCTCAAACTCCTGAGCTCAGGTGGTTCACCTGCCTCGGAGGCCTCCTAAAGTGCTGGGATTACAGGTATGAGCCACCAGTCCTGGCCTATTTAATGATTTTTCTTGTTCTATCAATTATCGGGAGATGTATTTTTTAATTTCCCATATAATTGTAGATTTGTCTATTTCTCCATATGGATCTTCTGATTTTTCTCTTATATAATTTGTGGCTGCACTACTAGGTACTTATAAATTCAAAATTTTTATATTTTCCTAGTAAGCTGAAATTGTATTGTTAAGTGATTATCTTTATTGTTGTAATTTTAAAATTCTGATAAAATGTATACAGTAAAATTTGCCATTTTAAGTTTTTATTTATTTACTTATTTTTTTGAGATGGAGTCTTGCTCTGTTGCCCAGGCTGGAGGGCAGTGGCGCGATCTCGGCTCACTGCAACCTCTGCCTCTCGGGTTCAAGCAATTCTCCTGCCTCAGCCTCCCAGGTAGCTGGGATTACAGGTGCCTGCCACCATGCACGGCTAATTTTTGTATTTTTAGTAGAGACAGGGTTTCACACTTTGGCCAGGCTGGTCTCTAACTCCTGACCTCAAGTGATCCACCCGCCTCAGCCTCCCAAAGTGTTGGGATTACAGGCGTGAGCCACTGCACCCAGCCTATTTATTTATTTTGAGACAGGGTCCTATTCTGTTGCCAGGCTGGAGTGCAGTGGTGCAGTCAACCTCCTAGGTTGAAGTGATCCTCCTACCTTAGCCTCCGGAGTAGTTGGGACTACAGGCGCATGCCATCATGCTCAGCTAATTTTTGTATTTTTTGTAGAGACAGGGTTTCACTATGTTGCCCAAGCTGGTCTCAAACTCTGGTGCTCAAGTGATCTGCCCTCCTAGGCCTCCCAACGTGCTAGGATTACAGGCATAAGCCACCATGCTCGGCCCATTTAAACCATTTTTAAGGGTACAATTTAGTGGCATTACTTAGGTCCACAATGTTATACAACTACCATCGCTATCTACTTCGAAAACTTTTTCATCACCCCAAACTGAAACTCAGTAACTAGTAAGTAAAAACTCCCCAGGTCCCTTCTCCCCAGCCCCTGACAAACTTGCGTCTAGTTTACATTTCTACGAATTTTCCTATTTGAGATATTTCATGTCAGTGTAGTTATACAATATTTGTCCTTTTGCATCTAGCTTATTTCACTTAGCATATGTCTTCAAGGTTTATCTACCATGGGGCATCTATCAGAACTTCACTCCTCTTTATGTCTGAATAATATTCCATTGTATGTATATACCACATTTCGTTCATACATCTGGTTGGTACATGGGTTGTTTCCACCTTTTGACCATTGTAAATAATGCTACAATGAACACTGGTATACAAGTACTTGTTTGAGTCCCCGCTTTCTATTCTTTGGGATATATATATAATACTTAGGAGTGGCATTACTGGGCCATATGGTAATGCTATTTTTAGCTTTTTGAGGAATTGCCAAATTGTTTTCAATAATGATTTTTGGCTTAAAGTCTATTTTGTGTACTATTAACATAAAAATGCCAATTCTTTTGGAGTTATATTTCCGTTTTAAAATTTCAACCTGTTTGAATATCTATAAGTTTTCTCCAGTCCGAGAAGCTTTGTCTTTTAACTGAAGTATTTAATCCATTTACATTTTATTCATTTTAATTAACTGATATTAGTTACTAATATTTTAAATCTATCACTTTACATTTTGCTTTCTCTTTGCTTCACTTTTATATACTTCTTTTTCTCTTCTTTTTTGTATTATTTTTATTCCTTTTTTTAACTCTGTTTATAGGCTATATTCTGTCTTTATTATTTTTTAGAGTTTAGCCTAACATGTTTATATGTATATATCACCTATTAAGTAAAAAGTTAGTCACTAATGTTTTTCTTGTGCTAAATACCACAAAAACTAAACACCAACCTCATTGACTCTCTTCTTAATTTGCATGCTTTTATTTTTGTGTATTTATTTACTTTTTCATCTCATATGACATTGTTAATGCTGTGTTATGCACAATTTTGCATTGTTTAGATTTATTCATATATTTACCACTCTCTTTACTCTTCATTCTTTCTTGTACCTCAGAGCATCCATCTAGGATCTCATTCTTTCTTCCAGAATGACACCCTTCTGAATTCCTTTGTACAAAGGTCTGGATAATAGCAAAGTCTCTGTGTTTCTACTTGTTTTTGGAAATGTACATATTAATACTATGCCCTCATTCTTGAAAGATTTTTTTTCACTAAGAATAGAATAATATGGGCCGGGCGCGGTGGCTCAAGCCTGTAATCCCAGCACTTTGGGAGGCCGAGGCGGGTGGATCACGAGGTCAGGAGATCGAGACCTTCCTGGCTAACACGGTGAAACCCTGTCTCTACTAAAAGTACAAAAAAATTAGCCGGGCGTGGTGGCGGGCGCCTGTAGTCCCAGCTATTCGGGAGGCTGAGGCGGGAGAATGGCGTGAACCCGGGAGGCAGAGCTTGCAGTGAGCCGAGGTCGCGCCACTGCACTCCAGCCTGGGCGACAGAGAGAGACTCCATATCCAAAAAAAAAAAAAAGAATAGAATAATAGATTATTTATTATTTTCTTTCAACCCATGGAGTGTGTTATTGTATTGTCATTTGGCTTCCATTGCAGCTACTGAGAAGTTAGTGGTCCATCTCACTGCCATTCCTTTGATAATGATCTCCACACTTTCCCTGACCTCAAATTTTTTCCTTTGATGTTCATTAGTTTTATTGTGATGAATTTGAGTGAGAATTTTTCTTTCTTTTTCTCCTTTCTTTCCTTTCCTTTCCCTCCCTCCCATTCTCTCTTTCTTTCTTTTCTTTCTACCTTCTTTCCTTTTCCTCCTTTTTTCCCTTTCCTTCCCTCCTTTGTTCTTTTTCTTCTTCTCCTTCTCTCCTGCCCACCTTTCTTCCTGGGATTTGTTTGGCCTCTTGAGTATGTGAATTAATTTCATTAATAGGTTCTGGAAAAGTTTAGGCCAGTATTTCTTCAAATACTGTTTCTGCCATATAATCTCTGGTCTTCTAGTGCTCTAATTAAATATATGTTAGACTTTCTCACTCTATCTTCTATGAATTTTAATTTCTCTTTCATATATTGTATTTCTTTAAATTTCTATGCTTCATTCTGTAAAATCTTGTGACCCAACCTTCTTGTTCTCTAATTCTCTTTTCAGTTGTATGTAATATGCTGTTAAGCTGTTGGTTTTTGTTTTGCTCTCAATCTCAGTAATGGTAAATTTTATTTCTAGAAGTTTAATTTTATTGTTCTTAAAAATTTGTTGGTCACTTTTTGTAGTTTCCAGTATCTTGAAGATATTTTCAAGCTCATCTTTTATTTCTTTAACAATAGTAGGCATAATTTTATAATCTGTGTCTGATAATTCCAGCATCTGAAATCTTTTTGACTCTGTTTCTACTCTTTCATTTCTTCTAGCTCTCATACGTGATGCTTATTATGTATGCTTAGTTGTTTTTTTTACCAGTACTGCTTGTTAACCTTGAAAACTTATTTGTGTAAATACATTGAGGCCCAGGATGAGGGTAACTTCTCAAAATGGATTTGTATTTGTTCCTTTGCTTCCTAGGGACGTCATCAATATGGCACCAAATTAAATGAAATTTGTGGCTTGAATTCTTTTGGACCACCCTGTGGTTATAACTTCAATAATGCCAGCAAGTGATTACAAATTTTCAGAGATGAAATTGTTTCCTCATTGTACTGGTCAGCAGCAGTCCCTTTAGGGTAGAAATTTGGGGAAAATGTAGCCTTTGAATTCCAATTCCATTGATGGATTTTCTTTTTTTGTTTCGGTTTTTGTTTTTTTTGTTTTTTTTTTTTTAGACAGAGTCTTGCTCTGTTGCCCAGGCTGGAGTGCAGTGGCATGATCTTGGCTCACCGCAACCTCCGCCTCCTGATTCATGTGATTCTCCTGCCTCAACCTCCTGAGTAGCTGGGATTACAGGTGCATGCCAGCACGCCCGGCTAATTTTTTATATTTTTAGTAGAGATGGGGATTCACCATGTTGGCCAGGCTGGTCTCAAACTCCTGACTTCAAGTGATCTGCCCACCTCAGCCTCCCAAAGTGCTGGGATTACAGGTGTGAGCCACTGCACCGGCCTTTTTTTTTTTTTTTTTTTGAGACGGAGTGTTGCTCTGTCACCCAGGCTGGAGTGCAGTGGCACGATCTTGGCTCACTGCAAGTTCCGCCTCCCAGGTTCACGCCATTCTCCTGCCTCAACCTCCAGAGTAGCTAGGACTACAGGTGCTCGCCACCACGCCCAGCTAAACCAGTTTTGTATTTTTAGTAGAGATGGGGTTTCACCGTGTTAGCCAGGATGGTCTTGATCTCCTGACCTCGTGATCCGCCTGCCTTGGCCTCCCCAAGTGCTGGGATTACAGGTGTGAGCCACCGTGCCTGGCCTTTTTTTTTTTTTTTGAGACAGGGTCTTACTGTGTCACTCAGGCTGGAGTACAGTGGTATGGTGCAAACATGGCTCAGTGCAGCCTTGAACCCCTGGGTTCAAGTGATTCTCCTGCCTCAGCCTCCCCAGTAGCTGGGGCCACAGGTGCACACCATCATGCCTAGCTAATTTGGTGAATTTTCTTTTGTACTTTCCTTCTTAGGAGATAGAGGCTCAAATTGGCTGTATTGGCAAATGTCCTCAGGGCAAAAGTGGCTTCAGTACTCAGTATACCTTAGATTTTGTCCTGCTAATTCCTTACTGTCTTATTAGTACTTTGATACTTCTAATCTTATTTCTAATAATTATTTTAATATTTGATACTCTATCTTCAATCTAACATTCTTAGTTTGTCAGTTTCCATAGTCAGGTGACTGAGGTGAGCTGTCCTAGGCTGGCTCCTGGACTGGTGTCCACTAAGGCCTCACGGGTGCTCTTTATGGTCTTCTGTTGGTATCTTTGCTTAGTAGCTGGGGTATTTCCTAGGATGGTCCTTTTTCTCTACTTGGTCAGGACCTCAGACCTCAGACCTCAGATGACTCAGGCCACCATAGTTCTCACCAGCATTATAGGCCTCTTTGAGTCTCTGCCACAGCTTCTGTTCAACAACTTCCTCTCCACTTTGCTGTGGGGTCACTTCAACCTCCCCATGACAGAGCTGTTGTCTCTCAGCTGAGCCAGGTTCTGTGTTTTCCATCAGAGATGCAGGAACATCTGAGTGCCTTTCACACCACACAGGAGCTAACAGGCGCCCAAACTGGGCCCTCTTTTCCTGACTACTCTATTTTGCTCTCTTTCCTCTTCTGGGCCTACCCAATTGTACTGCTGACTCACCTTAACTAGCGATTTCCTTCTGGAATCCCAAATGGGAAACAGAAGAGAAGCCCCTCAGGCCTTAGCCTTCAATCAGTCTGAAACACCTTCCTTCCCTGGGATTTACTCCTGGGATCAAGAGAACTTTTCATTACCTAGTTTTCCTAACTCCACTCCCCTTCTTCTCCCTGCCATCCACTAGAACAGGAAGAGGTTCAGACATTCTACTTCCTCAATGTCCTACCCTTGCTCCATCCTGGGACAGCAAGCTCAGTGGTCTAGTCATCACAGGTGAAAAAATATGTCTCCTTATACTATAAAATAAACTATGATCTAGTTTACCAGGTATAACCTTCGATATGTCAGTGGTAGTAAAAGGAATCTGGAAAATATATTTTCTCACCTTTTTTCTGGCTTTCTAAGTAACTATTTCAATGAAAAGTCCTATTTTGGATATCGGAAGCTGGTTTTTTGTTTTTTGTTGGTTGTTGTTTGTTTGTTTGTTTTTTGAGACAGGGTGTTGCTCTGCCACCCAGGCTGCTACAGCTTCGATCTTCCGGGCTCAAGTGATCCTCCTGCCTCAGCCTCCCAAGTAGCTGGGACTATTGGCATGCACTACCACACCCAGCTTATTTTTCCATTTTTTGTAGAGATGAAGTCTCATGATGTTGCTCAGGCTGGTCTCAAACTCCTGAGCTCAAGCAGTCCTCCCGCCTCGGCCTGCTAAAGTGCTGAGATTACAGGCATAAGCCACCGTGTCCAGCCAGAAGCTGATTTTTAACTCTTCCTTTTAAAATTTTTGCTTTGACAGTTCTAATCCCACCCTCCACACACTGCCCCCAGGCAAATGAATGCTTTTGGTCTACTAAAGAAAAGATCATATACATGAAAATGAAAAAGAAAAAAGCACATTAATATGTTTCATAAATATTCAAGTTGTGAATATAAACATATCTATTATTATTATTTTAGAGACAGGATCTGTCTCTGTTACCCAGGTTGGAGTGCAGTGGTGCAATTATAGCTCACTACAGCCACAAAGTGGCTGGATGGCCTTGAAGTGGGAGAATAGCTTCTTCCCACCTCAGCCTCCCAAGTAGCTAGGACTACAGGCATGCCACCACGGCTGGCTAGTTTATTTACTACTTTTTTTTAAGAGACAGGGTCTCACTATATTGCCCAGCTGGTCTCAAACTGCCAACCTCAAGCTTTGGCCTCCCAGAATGTTCGGATTACAGGTGTAAGCCACCATGCCTGGCCACCTATTTTTTTAAATAAAGAATATTTGTATTAGTTATCTATTGCCATGTAACAAATTGCCCCAATGTTTAGTGACTTCCAACAATGAACAGTTATTATTTTACAGTTTCTAAAGGTTATACATTTGGTAGGAGCTTAACTGGACGATACAGTCCAGAGGAAAGCTGGGCTGCAGTCATCAGAAGGCATGACTGAGGCCGGAGGATCAACTTCCAAGCTCACCCACGTGGCTATTAGCAGGAGGCTTTAGTTTCTTGCTGGCTGTTGGCTGGAGGCCTCAGTTTCTCAACACATAGGCCTCTCTGCATGATGTGGCAGCCGGTTTCCCTCAGAGCAAGTGTTCTGAGGGCAGGAGGATGGATGGAGGAAGGGGGAGAGAGAGAGAGAGAATGAGCGTGCGAGAGAGAGCGCAAGCATAAGAGAGAACAGGAAGCCACAGTGCCTTGTATGTCTTAGTCTCTGAAGTCACACAATGTCACTTTTGCTTTATTCTATCCATTAGAAGTGAGTCACTAAATCCAGTCCATACCCAAGGGGAGGGCAATTAGACTCTTCCTCTTAAAGGGAGTGCCAAAAAATTTGTGGACAATTTAAACCACCACAGCATTCAAAATTGCCCACTTCCTGTGTGCCAAAGTACAAAACTAGGATATATCAGCAACAAAATGGGGATTCCTTGCATGATGGAGTCGAAAGTCTAGTGGGTACATGAACATGAAAATAATCCATTGCAGTACACTAAGATAGAGCTCCTAGTTTTCTCTCATGTGACATGGGGGACAGTAGGTGCTTGAGGGCACAGGAGTCAATACAAAAATGCTTTTGCATAAGTGTAATTTAGCAAAGGGGATCAAGACCTGAGATGTAAGAGCCAGAATCCCAGCTCTGCCACTTACTGGCAATGTGACCATGGGCCAGTAACTCTTCCTCTCTGTACTTCAGTTTCCTCATCAGTAAGATGGGAGAATAACAGTATTTATCTGATAGGGTCTTTGTGAGAATTAAATGAGTTAGCATATGTAAAAGGCTAAACATGTGTCTGGATCATAGCAGGTGTTAGTTATTAATTGTAAACTGCAAGCCACTTCAGAAATGGCAGTATTATTATTCTAATTTTGAAACTAGGTACATGTCCTTTTCCCTGTCTTATTGAAAATGGAATTAACTTTCTTCCTAATTTAATTATTTTTCATTTCCAGTAAGTTTCCCGATGTAATTTAATTTTTAATGATACATTTGTACTTTTTTCTTTTTAAGCATGTAACATATGTCATAAAATGTAAATGTCACTCTTTACCTCCACCCCCACCTGCTCATCAATTCCACTTCCTTCCCCAGAGGAAACCACTTTAGCAGTTTCATGAATGTTTTTTTAGAAATGTTTCTGCCTATTTAAAAGCTATGCATTTTTGAAATATTTTAACATAAATGGAATCAAACTATGCATATCATTCTACTTGATTTTTTCTGTAATTAACAGATCTTTTCATCTTAGTGATTATAGCTTTACATCATTCCTTTTAATTTAATTTAATATTAAATTCTATAGGATGGCTATACCATAGATGCTTTAACCATTCTTCTGTCGGTGGACATTCCGGTTGTTTCTAACATTTTATTATAAACAACTGTGTAGTGAACATAAGCATTTAAATATATTTCCTAACCTTCAAAGACTTTGTGAATATATTTTCAATTAAGACTTGTTACAAGGGCCATGTGCAGTGGCTCACGCCTGAAATCCCAGCACTTCTAGAGGCCAAGACAGGTTTGCTTGAGCCCAGGAGTTTGAGACCGGCCTGGGCAACATAGGGAGACCCCTGTCTCTACAAAAAATTTAAAAATTAGCCAGGCATGTGGCATGCACCTGTAGCCCCAGCTACTTGAGAGGCTGAGTTGGGAGGATTACTTGAGCCCAGGCAGGTTGAGGCTGCAATGAGCTGTGATCATGCCACTGCACTCCAGCCAGGGCAACTGAGTGAGACCCTGTCATAAAAAAGAAGGAGAAGGAGAAAGAGAAGGAGAAGGGGAAGGGAAAGGGGAAGAGGAAGGCGAAGGGGAAGGGGAAGGGGAAGGGGAAGGGGAGCAGGACTTATTATATGAACCTGTACAGCTGTAAGGAAAAGTCAGTGGGGCATGCTGGCTCATGCCTGTAATTTCAAACTTTGGGAGGCCATAGTGGGAGGATCACTTGAGGCCAGGATTTTAAGACCACCCTGAGAAACACAGTGAGACTCTGTCTCTTAAAGAAAAAAAAAGAAGTTCATAGAAAATTTAAACCTTTTAGTTTGACATTCAGGAATTTCTCTAATGTGACC